>NC_000020.11:26646554-26971044 GCF_000001405.40 Homo sapiens | reverse complement strand
CTGCTGTCTGCTTTTTATACGTATTCCCGTTTCCAACGAAATCCTCCAAGCTGGCCTAATACCCACTTGCATATTCCACAAAAAGAGTGTTTCAAAACTGCTCTCTCAAAAGAAATGTTCAACTCTGTTTGCTGAGTAGATACATCACGAAAAAAGTTCTGACATTGCTTCTATCTAGTTTTTATTGGAAGATATCTCCTTTTTCACCGTAGACCTGAAAGCGCTCCAAATGTCCACTTCCAGATAGTACAAAAAGAGTGTTTCAAACCTGCTCTATGAAAGGGAATGTTCAACACTGGGACTTCAATTGAAACATCCCAAAGCAGTTTCTGAGAATGCTTCTGTCTAGAGTTTACATGAAGACATTCCCGTTTCCAACGAAATCCTCAAAGCTATCCAAATATCCTCTTGCAGATTTTACAAAAAGTGTGTTTCAGAACTGCTCTATCAAAACAAAGGTTCAACACTGTCAGTTGAGGGCACACATCACAAATAAGTTTCTGAGAATGCTTCTGTCTAGTTTTCATGGGAAGATATTTCCTTTTTCACCATAGGCCTGAAAGCGATCCAAATGTCCACATCCAGATACTACAAAAAGAGTGTTTCAAACCTGCTTTATGAAAGGGAAAGTTCAACTCTGTGACTTGAATGCAAACATCACAAAGAAGTTTCTGAGAATGCTGCTGTCTGCTTTTTGTATGTAATCCCGTTTCCAACGAAATCCTCCCAGCTAGCCAAATATCCACTTGCAGATTCCGCAAAAAGAGTGTTTCAAAACTGCTCCTTCAAAACGATGGGTTTAGTTCTGTTAGTTGAGTACATACATCACAGATAAGTTTCTGAGAATGCTTCTGTCTAGTTTTTATGGGAGGATATTTCCTTTTTCAACACAAGCCTGAATGCGCTCCGAATGGACACTTCCAGATATGACAAAAGGCGTGTTTCAAACCTGCTCTCTCAAAGGGAATGTTCAACTCTGTGACTTCAATGCAAACATCACAAAGAAGTTTCTGAGAATGCTGCTGTCTCCTTTTTACATGTATTCCCGTTTCCAACGAAATCCTCAAAGCTGCCCTAATATCCACTTGCATATTCCACAAAAAGAGTGTTGCAAAACTGCTCTCTCAAAAGAAAGGTTCAACTCTGTTAGCTGAGTAGATCCATCACATAAAAGTTTCTGACATTGCTTCTATCTAGATTTTCTTGGAAGATATTTCCATTTTCACCGTCGTCCTGAAAGCGCTCCAAATGTCCACTTCCAGGGAATGCAGAAAGAGTGTTTCCAACCTGCTCTATAAAAGGGAATGTTCAACACTGGGACTTCAATCGAAACATCCCAACGAAGTTTCTGAGAATGCTTCTGTCTAGAGTTTATATGAAGCCATTCCCGTTTGCAACGAAATCCTCAAAGCTATCCAAATATCCTCTTGCAGATTTTACAAAAAGAGTGTTTCAAAACTGCTCTATCAAAAGAAAGGTTCAACTCTGTTAGTTGAGGGCACACATCACAAATAAATTTCTGAGAATGCTTCTGTCTAGTTTTTACGGGAAGATATTTCCTTTTTCACCATACGCCTGAAAGCGCTCCAAATGTCCTCATCCAGATACTACAAAAAGAGTGTTTCCAACCTGCTCTATGAAAAGGAATGCTCAACTCTGTGACTTGAATGCAGACAGCACAAAGAAGTTTCTGAGAATGCTGCTGTCTCCTTTTTATATGTAATCCCGTTTCCAACGAAATCCTCAAAGCTAGCCAAATATCCACTTGCAGATTCCACGAAAACAGTGTTTCAAAACTGCTCCTTCAAAACGATGGTTCAATTCTGTTAGTTGAGCAAACACATCACAAGTAAGTTTCTGAGAATGCTTCCGTCTAGTTTTTATGGGAAGATATTTCCTTTTTCAACATAGGCCTGAAAGCGCTCCAAATGTCCACTTCCAGATACTACAAAAAGAGTGTTTCAAATCTGCTCTATGAATGGGAATGTTCTACTCTGTGACTTGAATGCAACATCCCAAAGAAGTTTCTGAGAATGCTTCTGTCTAGAGTTTATCTGAAGACATACCCGTTTCCAACGAAATCCTCAAAGCTATCCAAATATCCTCTTGCAGATTCTACAAAAAGAGTGTTTCAAAGCTGCTCTTTGCAAAGAAAGGTTCAACTGTGTCAGTAGAGGGGACACATCAAGAACAAGTTTCTGAGAATGCTTCTGTCTAGCTTTTATGGGAAGATATTTCCTTTTTCACGTTAGGCCTGAAAGCACGCCAAATGTTCACTTATAGACACTACAAAAAGAGTGTTTCAAACATGCTCTGTGAAAGGGAATGTTCAACACTGTGACTTCAATTGAAACATCCCAAAGAAGTTTCTGAGAATGCTTCTGTCTAGAGTTTATCTGAAGACATACCCGTTTCCAACGAAATCCTCAAAGCTATCCACATATCCTCTTGCAGATTCTACAAAAAGAGTGTTTCAAAGCTGCTCTTTGCAAAGAAAGGTTCAACTCTGTCAGTAGAGGGCACACATCACGAACAAGTTTCTGAGAATGCTTCTGTCTAGTTTTTATGGGAAGATATTTCCTTTTTCACGTTAGGCCTGAAAGCACGCCAAATGTTCAATTATAGACACTACAAAAAGAGTGTTTCAAACCTGCTCTGTGAAAGGGAATGTTCAACACTGTGACTTCTATTGAAACATCCCAAAGAAGTTTCTGAGAATGCTTCTGTCTAGAGTTTATCTGAAGACATTCCCGTTTCCCAAGAAATCCTCAAATCTATCCAAATATCCTCTTGCAGATTCTACAAAAAGAGTGTTTCAAAACTGCTCTTTGCAAAGAAAGGTTCAACTCTGTCAGTAGAGGGCACACATCACAAACAAGTTTCTGAGAATGCTTCTGTCTAGTTTTTATGGGAAGATATTTCCTTTTTCACCTTAGGCCTGAAAGCAATCCAAATGTTCACTTACAGACACTACAAAAAGAGTGTTTCAAACCTGCTCTGTGAAAGGGAGTGTTCAATTCTGTGACTTGAATGCAAACATCACAAAGTAGTTTCTGACAATGCTGCTGTCTGCTTTTTATACGTATTCCCGTTTCCAACGAAATCCTCCAAGCTGGCCTAATACCCACTTGCATATTCCACAAAAAGAGTGTTTCAAAACTGCTCTCTCAAAAGAAAGGTTCAACTCTGTTTGCTGAGTAGATACATCATGAAAAAAGTTCTGACATTGCTTCTATCTAGTTTTTATTGGAAGATATCTCCTTTTTCACCGTAGACCTGAAAGCGCTCCAAATGTCCACTTCCAGATAGTACAAAAAGAGTGTTTCAAACCTGCTCTATGAATGGGAATGTTCAACACTGGGACTTCAATTGAAACATCCCAAAGCAGTTTCTGAGAATGCTTCTGTCTAGAGTTTACATGAAGACATTCCCGTTTCCAACGAAATCCTCAAAGCTATCCAAATATCCTCTTGCAGATTTTACAAAAAGTGTGTTTCAGAACTGCTCTATCAAAACAAAGGTTCAACACTGTCAGTTGAGGGCACACATCACAAATAAGTTTCTGAGAATGCTTCTGTCTAGTTTTCATGGGAAGATATTTCCTTTTTCACCATAGGCCTGAAAGCGATCCAAATGTCCACATCCAGATACTACAAAAAGAGTGTTTCAAACCTGCTCTATGAAAGGGAATGTTCAACTCTGTGACTTGAATGCAAACATCACAAAGAAGTTTCTGAGAATGCTGCTGTCTGCTTTTTGTATGTAATCCCGTTTCCAACGAAATCCTCCCAGCTAGCCAAATATCCACTTGCAGATTCCGCAAAAAGAGTGTTTCAAAACTGCTCCTTCAAAACGATGGTTTAGTTCTGTTAGTTGATTACATACATCACAAATATGTTTCTGAGAATGCTTCTGTCTAGTTTTTATGGGAGGATATTTCCTTTTTCAACACAAGCCTGAATGCGCTCCGAATGGACACTTCCAGATATGACAAAAGGCGTGTTTCAAACCTGCTCTCTCAAAGGGAATGTTCAACTCTGTGACTTCAATGCAAACATCACAAAGAAGTTTCTGAGAATGCTGCTGTCTGCTTTTTACATGTATTCCCGTTTCCAACGAAATCCTCAAAGCTGCCCTAATATCCACTTGCATATTCCACAAAAAGAGTGTTGCAAAACTGCTCTCTCAAAAGAAAGGTTCAACTCTGTTAGCTGAGTAGATCCATCACATAAAAGTTTCTGACATTGCTTCTATCTAGATTTTCTTGGAAGATATTTCCATTTTCACCGTCGTCCTGAAAGCGCTCCAAATGTCCACTTCCAGGGAATGCAGAAAGAGTGTTTCCAACCTGCTCTATAAAAGGGAATGTTCAACACTGGGACTTCAATCGAAACATCCCAACGAAGTTTCTGAGAATGCTTCTGTCTAGAGTTTATATGAAGCCATTCCCGTTTGCAACGAAATCCTCAAAGCTATCCAAATATCCTCTTGCAGATTTTACAAAAAGAGTGTTTCAAAACTGCTCTATCAAAAGAAAGGTTCAACTCTGTTAGTTGAGGGCACACATCACAAATAAACTTCTGAGAATGCTTCTGTCTAGTTTTTACGGGAAGATATTTCCTTTTTCACCATAGGCCTGAAAGCGCTCCAAATGTCCTCATCCAGATACTACAAAAAGAGTGTTTCCAACCTGCTCTATGAAACGGAATGCTCAACTCTGTGACTTGAATGCAGACATCACAAAGAAGTTTCTGAGAATGCTGCTGTCTGCTTTTTATACGTATTCCCGTTTCCAACGAAATCCTCCAAGCTGGCCTAATACCCACTTGCATATTCCACAAAAATAGTGTTTCAAAACTGCTCCCTCAAAAGAAAGGTTCAACTCTGTTTGCTGAGTAGATACATCATGAAAAAAGTTCTGACATTGCTTCTATCTAGTTTTTATTGGAAGATATCTCCTTTTTCACCGTAGACCTGAAAGCGCTCCAAATGTCCACTTCCAGATAGTACAAAAAGAGTGTTTCAAACCTGCTCCTATGAAAGGGAATGTTCAACACTGGGACTTCAATTGAAACATCCCAAAGCAGTTTCTGAGAATGCTTCCTGTCTAGAGTTTACATGAAGACATTCCCGTTTCCAACGAAATCCTCAAAGCTATCCAAATATCCTCTTGCAGATTTTACAAAAAGTGTGTTTCAGAACTGCTCTATCAAAACAAAGGTTCAACACTGTCAGTTGAGGGCACACATCACAAATAAGTTTCTGAGAATGCTTCTGTCTAGTTTTCATGGGAAGATATTTCCTTTTTCACCATAGGCCTGAAAGCGATCCAAATGTCCACATCCAGATACTACAAAAAGAGTGTTTCAAACCTGCTCTATGAAAGGGAATGTTCAACTCTGTGACTTGAATGCAAACATCACAAAGAAGTTTCTGAGAATGCTGCTGTCTGCTTTTTGTATGTAATCCCGTTTCCAACGAAATCCTCCCAGCTAGCCAAATATCCACTTGCAGATTCCGCAAAAAGAGTGTTTCAAAACTGCCCTTCAAAACGATGGTTTAGTTCTGTTAGTTGAGTACATACATCACAGATAAGTTTCTGAGAATGCTTCTGTCTAGTTTTTATGGGAGGATATTTCCTTTTTCAACACAAGCCTGAATGCGCTCCGAATGGACACTTCCAGATATGACAAAAGGTGTGTTTCAAACCTGCTCTCTCAAAGGGAATGTTCAACTCTGTGACTTCAATGCAAACATCACAAAGAAGTTTCTGAGAATGCTGCTGTCTGCTTTTTACATGTATTCCCGTTTCCAACGAAATCCTCAAAGCTGCCCTAATATCCACTTGCATATTCCACAAAAAGAGTGTTGCAAAACTGCTCTCTCAAAAGAAAGGTTCAACTCTGTTAGCTGAGTAGATCCATCACAGAAAAGTTTCTGACGTTGCTTCTATCTAGATTTTCTTGGAAGATATTTCCATTTTCACCGTCGTCCTGAAAGCGCTCCAAATGTCCACTTCCAGGGAATGCAGAAAGAGTGTTTCCAACCTGCTCTATAAAAGGGAATGTTCAACACTGGGACTTCAATCGAAACATCCCAACGAAGTTTCTGAGAATGCTTCTGTCTAGAGTTTATATGAAGCCATTCCCGTTTGCAACGAAATCCTCAAAGCTATCCAAATATCCTCTTGCAGATTTTACAAAAAGAGTGTTTCAAAACTGCTCTATCAAAAGAAAGGTTCAACTCTGTTAGTTGAGGGCACACATCACAAATAAATTTCTGAGAATGCTTCTGTCTAGTTTTTACGGGAAGATATTTCCTTTTTCACCATACGCCTGAAAGCGCTCCAAATGTCCTCATCCAGATACTACAAAAAGAGTGTTTCCAACCTGCTCTATGAAAGGGAATGCTCAACTCTGTGACTTGAATGCAGACATCACAAAGAAGTTTCTGAGAATGCTGCTGTCTCCTTTTTATATGTAATCCCGTTTCCAACGAAATCCTCAAAGCTAGCCAAATATCCACTTGCAGATTCCACGAAAACAGTGTTTCAAAACTGCTCCTTCAAAACGATGGTTCAATTCTGTTAGTTGAGCAAACACATCACAAGTAAGTTTCTGAGAATGCTTCCGTCTAGTTTTTATGGGAAGATATTTCCTTTTTCAACATAGGCCTGAAAGCGCTCCAAATGTCCACTTCCAGATACTACAAAAAGAGTGTTTCAAATCTGCTCTATGAATGGGAATGTTCTACTCTGTGACTTGAATGCAACATCCCAAAGAAGTTTCTGAGAATGCTTCTGTCTAGAGTTTATCTGAAGACATACCCGTTTCCAACGAAATCCTCCAAGCTATCCAAATATCCTCTTGCAGATTCTACAAAAAGTGTGTTTCAAAGCTGCTCTTTGCAAAGAAAGGTTCAACTCTGTCAGTAGAGGGCACACATCACGAACAAGTTTCTGAGAATGCTTCTGTCTAGTTTTTATGGGAAGATATTTCCTTTTTCACGTTAGGCCTGAAAGCACGCCAAATGTTCACTTATAGACACTACAAAAAGAGTGTTTCAAACCTGCTCTGTGAAAGGGAATGTTCAACACTGTGACTTCAATTGAAACATCCCAAAGAAGTTTCTGAGAATGCTTCTGTCTAGAGTTTATCTGAAGACATTCCCGTTTCCCAAGAAATCCTCAAAGCTATCCAAATATCCTCTTGCAGATTCTACAAAAGAGTGTTTCAAAACTGCTCTTTGCAAAGAAAGGTTCAACTCTGTCAGTAGAGGGCACACATCACAAACAAGTTTCTGAGAATGCTGCTGTCTGCTTTTTGTATGTAATCCCGTTTCCAACGAAATCCTCCCAGCTAGCCAAATATCCACTTGCAGATTCCGCAAAAAGAGTGTTTCAAAACTGCTCCTTCAAAACGATGGTTTAGTTCTGTTAGTTGAGTACATACATCACAGATAAGTTTCTGAGAATGCTTCTGTCTAGTTTTTCTGGGAGGATATTTCCTTTTTCAACACAAGCCTGAATGCGCTCCGAATGGACACTTCCAGATATGACAAAAGGCGTGTTTCAAACCTGCTCTCTCAAAGGGAATGTTCAACTCTGTGACTTCAATGCAAACATCACAAAGAAGTTTCTGAGAATGCTGCTGTCTGCTTTTTACATGTATTCCCGTTTCCAACGAAATCCTCAAAGCTGCCCTAATATCCACTTGCATATTCCACAAAAAGAGTGTTGCAAAACTGCTCTCTCAAAAGAAAGGTTCAACTCTGTTAGCTGAGTAGATCCATCACAGAAAAGTTTCTGACGTTGCTTCTATCTAGATTTTCTTGGAAGATATTTCCATTTTCACCGTCGTCCTGAAAGCGCTCCAAATGTCCACTTCCAGGGAATGCAGAAAGAGTGTTTCCAACCTGCTCTATAAAAGGGAATGTTCAACACTGGGACTTCAATCGAAACATCCCAACGAAGTTTCTGAGAATGCTTCTGTCTAGAGTTTATATGAAGCCATTCCCGTTTGCAACGAAATCCTCAAAGCTATCCAAATATCCTCTTGCAGATTTTACAAAAAGAGTGTTTCAAAACTGCTCTATCAAAAGAAAGGTTCAACTCTGTTAGTTGAGGGCACACATCACAAATAAATTTCTGAGAATGCTTCTGTCTAGTTTTTACGGGAAGATATTTCCTTTTTCACCATACGCCTGAAAGCGCTCCAAATGTCCTCATCCAGATACTACAAAAAGAGTGTTTCCAACCTGCTCTATGAAAGGGAATGCTCAACTCTGTGACTTGAATGCAGACATCACAAAGAAGTTTCTGAGAATGCTGCTGTCTCCTTTTTATATGTAATCCCGTTTCCAACGAAATCCTCAAAGCTAGCCAAATATCCACTTGCAGATTCCACGAAAACAGTGTTTCAAAACTGCTCCTTCAAAACGATGGTTCAATTCTGTTAGTTGAGCAAACACATCACAAGTAAGTTTCTGAGAATGCTTCCGTCTAGTTTTTATGGGAAGATATTTCCTTTTTCAACATAGGCCTGAAAGCGCTCCAAATGTCCACTTCCAGATACTACAAAAAGAGTGTTTCAAATCTGCTCTATGAATGGGAATGTTCTACTCTGTGACTTGAATGCAACATCCCAAAGAAGTTTCTGAGAATGCTTCTGTCTAGAGTTTATCTGAAGACATACCCGTTTCCAACGAAATCCTCAAAGCTATCCAAATATCCTCTTGCAGATTCTACAAAAAGAGTGTTTCAAAGCTGCTCTTTGCAAAGAAAGGTTCAACTCCGTCAGTAGAGGGCACACATCATGAACAAGTTTCTGAGAATGCTTCTGTCTAGTTTTTATGGGAAGATATTTCCTTTTTCACGTTAGGCCTGAAAGCACGCCAAATGTTCAATTATAGACACTACAAAAAGAGTGTTTCAAACCTGCTCTGTGAAAGGGAATGTTCAACACTGTGACTTCAATTATAACATCCCAAAGAAGTTTCTGAGAATGCTTCTGTCTAGAGTTTATCTGAAGACATTCCCGTTTCCCAAGAAATCCTCAAAGCTATCCAAATATCCTCTTGCAGATTCTACAAAAAGAGTGTTTCAAAACTGCTCTTTGCAAAGAAAGGTTCAACTCTGTCAGTAGAGGGCACACATCACAAACAAGTTTCTGAGAATGCTTCTGTCTAGTTTTTATGGGAAGATATTTCCTTTTTCACCTTAGGCCTGAAAGCAATCCAAATGTTCACTTACAGACACTACAAAAAGAGTGTTTCAAACCTGCTCTGTGAAAGGGAGTGTTCAGTTCTGTGACTTGAATGCAAACATCACAAAGTAGTTTCTGACAATGCTGCTGTCTGCTTTTTATACGTATTCCCGTTTCCAACGAAATCCTCCAAGCTGGCCTAATACCCACTTGCATATTCCACAAAAAGAGTGTTTCAAAACTGCTCTCTCAAAAGAAAGGTTCAACTCTGTTTGCTGAGTAGATACATCATGAAAAAAGTTCTGACATTGCTTCTATCTAGTTTTTATTGGAAGATATCTCCTTTTTCACCGTAGACCTGAAAGCGCTCCAAATGTCCACTTCCAGATAGTACAAAAAGAGTGTTTCAAACCTGCTCTATGAATGGGAATGTTCAACACTGGGACTTCAATTGAAACATCCCAAAGCAGTTTCTGAGAATGCTTCTGTGTAGAGTTTACATGAAGACATTCCCGTTTCCAACGAAATCCTCAAAGCTATCCAAATATCCTCTTGCAGATTTTACAAAAAGTGTGTTTCAGAAGTGCTCTATCAAAACAAAGGTTCAACACTGTCAGTTGAGGGCACACATCACAAATAAGTTTCTGAGAATGCTTCTGTCTAGTTTTCATGGGAAGATATTTCCTTTTTCACCATAGGCCTGAAAGCGATCCAAATGTCCACATCCAGATACTACAAAAAGAGTGTTTCAAACCTGCTCTATGAAAGGGAATGTTCAACTCTGTGACTTGAATGCAAACATCACAAAGAAGTTTCTGAGAATGCTGCTGTCTGCTTTTTGTATGTAATCCCGTTTCCAACGGAAATCCTCCCAGCTAGCCAAATATCCACTTGCAGATTCCGCAAAAAGAGTGTTTCAAAACTGCTCCTTCAAAACGATGGTTTAGTTCTGTTAGTTGAGTACATACATCACAGATAAGTTTCTGAGAATGCTTCTGTCTAGTTTTTATGGGAGGATATTTCCTTTTTCAACACAAGCCTGAATGCGCTCCGAATGGACACTTCCAGATATGACAAAAGGCGTGTTTCAAACCTGCTCTCTCAAAGGGAATGTTCAACTCTGTGACTTCAATGCAAACATCACAAAGAAGTTTCTGAGAATGCTGCTGTCTGCTTTTTACATGTATTCCCGTTTCCAACGAAATCCTCAAAGCTGCCCTAATATCCACTTGCATATTCCACAAAAAGAGTGTTGCAAAACTGCTCTCTCAAAAGAAAGGTTCAACTCTGTTAGCTGAGTAGATCCATCACAGAAAAGTTTCTGACGTTGCTTCTATCTAGATTTTCTTGGAAGATATTTCCATTTTCACCGTCGTCCTGAAAGCGCTCCAAATGTCCACTTCCAGGGAATGCAGAAAGAGTGTTTCCAACCTGCTCTATAAAAGGGAATGTTCAACACTGGGACTTCAATCGAAACATCCCAACGAGGTTTCTGAGAATGCTTCTGTCTAGAGTTTATATGAAGCCATTCCCGTTTGCAACGAAATCCTCAAAGCTATCCAAATATCCTCTTGCAGATTTTACAAAAAGAGTGTTTCAAAACTGCTCTATCAAAAGAAAGGTTCAACTCTGTTAGTTGAGGGCACACATCACAAATAAATTTCTGAGAATGCTTCTGTCTAGTTTTTACGGGAAGATATTTCCTTTTTCACCATAGGCCTGAAAGCGCTCCAAATGTCCTCATCCAGATACTACAAAAAGAGTGTTTCCAACCTGCTCTATGAAAGGGAATGCTCAACTCTGTGACTTGAATGCAGACATCACAAAGAAGTTTCTGAGAATGCTGCTGTCTCCTTTTTATATGTAATCCCGTTTCCAACGAAATCCTCAAAGCTAGCCAAATATCCACTTGCAGATTCCACGAAAACAGTGTTTCAAAACTGCTCCTTCAAAACGATGGTTCAATCCTGTTAGTTGAGCAAACACATCACAAATAAGTTTCTGAGAATGCTTCCGTCTAGTTTTTATGGGAAGATATTTCCTTTTTCAACATAGGCCTGAAAGCGCTCCAAATGTCCACTTCCAGATACTACAAAAAGAGTGTTTCAAATCTGCTCTATGAATGGGAATGTTCTACTCTGTGACTTGAATGCAACATCCCAAAGAAGTTTCTGAGAATGCTTCTGTCTAGAGTTTATCTGAAGACATACCCGTTTCCAACGAAATCCTCCAAGCTATCCAAATATCCTCTTGCAGATTCTACAAAAAGAGTGTTTCAAAGCTGCTCTTTGCAAAGAAAGGTTCAACTCTGTCAGTAGAGGGGACACATCAAGAACAAGTTTCTGAGAATGCTTCTGTCTAGTTTTTATGGGAAGATATTTCCTTTTTCACGTTACGCCTGAAAGCACGCCAAATGTTCACTTATAGACACTACAAAAAGAGTGTTTCAAACCTGCTCTGTGAAAGGGAATGTTCAACACTGTGACTTCAATTGAAACATCCCAAAGAAGTTTCTGAGAATGCTTCTGTCTAGAGTTTATCTGAAGACATTCCCGTTTCCCAAGAAATCCTCAAAGCTATCCAAATATCCTCTTGCAGATTCTACAAAAAGAGTGTTTCAAAACTGCTCTTTGCAAAGAAAGGTTCAACTCTGTCAGTAGAGGGCACACATCACAAACAAGTTTCTGAGAATGCTTCTGTCTAGTTTTTATGGGAAGATATTTCCTTTTTCACCTTAGGCCTGAAATCAATCCAAATGTTCACTTACAGACACTACAAAAAGAGTGTTTCAAACCTGCTCTGTGAAAGGGAGTGTTCAATTCTGTGACTTGAATGCAAACATCACAAAGTAGTTTCTGACAATGCTGCTGTCTGCTTTTTATACGTATTCCCGTTTCCAACGAAATCCTCCAAGCTGGCCTAATACCCACTTGCATATTCCACAAAAGGAGTGTTTCAAAACTGCTCTCTCAAAAGAAAGGTTCAACTCTGTTTGCTGAGTAGATACATCATGAAAAAAGTTCTGACATTGCTTCTATCTAGTTTTTATTGGAAGATATCTCCTTTTTCACCGTAGACCTGAAAGCGCTCCAAATGTCCACTTCCAGATAGTACAAAAAGAGTGTTTCAAACCTGCTCTAT
Organism: Homo sapiens; assembly: GCF_000001405.40. NCBI lineage: Eukaryota > Metazoa > Chordata > Mammalia > Primates > Hominidae > Homo > Homo sapiens. Next base: position 26,958,700 of record NC_000020.11, on the reverse strand, counting down.
GAAAGGGAATGTTCAACACTGGGACTTCAATTGAAACATCCCAAAGCAGTTTCTGAGAATGCTTCTGTCTAGAGTTTACATGAAGACATTCCCGTTTCCAACGAAATCCTCAAAGCTATCCAAATATCCTCTTGCAGATTTTACAAAAAGTGTGTTTCAGAACTGCTCTATCAAAACAAAGGTTCAACACTGTCAGTTGAGGGCACACATCACAAATAAGTTTCTGAGAATGCTTCTGTCTAGTTTTCATGGGAAGATATTTCCTTTTTCACCATAGGCCTGAAAGCGATCCAAATGTCCACATCCAGATACTACAAAAAGAGTGTTTCCAACCTGCTCTATGAAAGGGAATGCTCAACTCTGTGAATTGAATGCAAACATCACAAAGAAGTTTCTGAGAATGCTGCTGTCTCCTTTTTATATGTAATCCCGTTTCCAACGAAATCCTCAAAGCTAGCCAAATATCCACTTGCAGATTCCACGAAAACAGTGTTTCAAAACTGCTCCTTCAAAACGATGGTTCAATCCTGTTAGTTGAGCAAACACATCACAAATAAGTTTCTGAGAATGCTTCCGTCTAGTTTTTATGGGAAGATATTTCCTTTTTCAACATAGGCCTGAAAGCGCTCCAAATGTCCACTTCCAGATACTACAAAAAGAGTGTTTCAAATCTGCTCTATGAATGGGAATGTTCTACTCTGTGACTTGAATGCAACATCCCAAAGAAGTTTCTGAGAATGCTTCTGTCTAGAGTTTATCTGAAGACATACCCGTTTCCAACGAAATCCTCCAAGCTATCCAAATATCCTCTTGCAGATTCTACAAAAAGAGTGTTTCAAAGCTGCTCTTTGCAAAGAAAGGTTCAACTCTGTCAGTAGAGGGGACACATCAAGAACAAGTTTCTGAGAATGCTTCTGTCTAGTTTTTATGGGAAGATATTTCCTTTTTCACGTTAGGCCTGAAAGCACGCCAAATGTTCACTTATAGACACTACAAAAAGAGTGTTTCAAACCTGCTCTGTGAAAGGGAATGTTCAACACTGTGACTTCAATTGAAACATCCCAAAGAAGTTTCTGAGAATGCTTCTGTCTAGAGTTTATCTGAAGACATTCCCGTTTCCCAAGAAATCCTCAAAGCTATCCAAATATCCTCTTGCAGATTCTACAAAAAGAGTGTTTCAAAACTGCTCTTTGCAAAGAAAGGTTCAACTCTGTCAGTAGAGGGCACACATCACAAACAAGTTTCTGAGAATGCTTCTGTCTAGTTTTTATGGGAAGATATTTCCTTTTTCACCTTAGGCCTGAAAGCAATCCAAATGTTCAGTAACAGACACTACAAAAAGAGTGTTTCAAACCTGCTCTGTGAAAGCGAGTGTTCAATTCTGTGACTTGAATGCAAACATCACAAAGTAGTTTCTGACAATGCTGCTGTCTGCTTTTTATACGTATTCCCGTTTCCAACGAAATCCTCCAAGCTGGCCTCATACCCACTTGCATATTCCACAAAAAGAGTGTTTCAAAACTGCTCTCTCAAAAGAAAGGTTCAACTCTGTTTGCTGAGTAGATACATCATGAAAAAGGTTCTGACATTGCTTCTATCTAGTTTTTATTGGAAGATATCTCCTTTTTCACCGTAGACCTGAAAGCGCTCCAAATGTCCACTTCCAGATACTACAAAAAGAGTGTTTCAAACCTGCTCTATGAAAGGGAATGTTCAACACTGGGACTTCAATTGAAACATCCCAAAGCAGTTTCTGAGAATGCTTCTGTCTAGAGTTTACATGAAGACATTCCCGTTTCCAACGAAATCCTCAAAGCTATCCAAATATCCTCTTGCAGATTTTACAAAAAGTGTGTTTCAGAACTGCTCTATCAAAACAAAGGTTCAACACTGTCAGTTGAGGGCACACATCACAAATAAGTTTCTGAGAATGCTTCTGTCTAGTTTTCATGGGAAGATATTTCGTTTTTCACCATAGGCCTGAAAGCGATCCAAATGTCCACATCCAGATACTACAAAAAGAGTGTTTCAAACCTGCTCTATGAAAGGGAATGTTCAACTCTGCGACTTGAATGCAAACATCACAAAGAAGTTTCTGAGAATGCTGCTGTCTGCTTTTTGTATGTAATCCCGTTTCCAACGAAATCCTCCAAGCTAGCCAAATATCCAGTTGCAGATTCCGCAAAAAGAGTGTTTCAAAACTGCTCCTTCAAAACGATGGTTTAGTTCTGTTAGTTGAGTACATACATCACAAATAAGTTTCTGAGAATGCTTCTGTCTAGTTTTTATGGGAGGATATTTCCTTTTTCAACACAAGCCTGAATGCGCTCCGAATGGACACTTCCAGATATGACAAAAGGCGTGTTTCAAACCTGCTCTCTCAAAGGGAATGTTCAACTCTGTGACTTCAATGCAAACATCACAAAGAAGTTTCTGAGAATGCTGCTGTCTGCTTTTTACATGTATTCCCGTTTCCAACGAAATCCTCAAAGCTGCCCTAATATCCACTTGCATATTCCACAAAAAGTGTTGCAAAACTGCTCTCTCAAAAGAAAGGTTCAACTCTGTTAGCTGAGTAGATCCATCACAGAAAAGTTTCTGACGTTGCTTCTATCTAGATTTTATTGGAAGATATTTCCATTTTCACCGTCGTCCTGAAAGCGCTCCAAATGTCCACTTCCAGGGAATGCAGAAAGAGTGTTTCCAACCTGCTCTATAAAAGGGAATGTTCAACACTGGGACTTCAATCGAAACATCCCAACGAAGTTTCTGAGAATGCTTCTGTCTAGAGTTTATATGAAGCCATTCCCGTTTGCAACGAAATCCTCAAAGCTATCCAAATATCCTCTTGCAGATTTTACAAAAAGAGTGTTTAAAAACTGCTCTATCAAAAGAAAGGTTCAACTCTGTTAGTTGAGGGCACACATCACAAATAAATTTCTGAGAATGCTTCTGTCTAGTTTTTATGGGAAGATATTTCCTTTTTCACCTTAGGCCTGAATGCGCTCCAAATGTGCACTTCCAGATACTACAAAAAGAGTGTTTCAAACCTGCTCTATGAAAGGGAATGTTCAACTCTGTGACTTGAATGCAAACATCACAGAGATGTTTCTGAGAATGCTTCTGTCTAGATTTTATATGAAGATATTCCTGTTTCCAATGAAATCCTCAAAGCTATCCAAATATCCACTTGCAGATTCTACAAAAAGAGTGTTTCAAAACTGCTCTATCAAAAGAAAGGTTCAACTCTGTCAGTTGAGTACACACATCACAAACAAGTTTCTGAGAATGCTTCTGTCTAGTTTTTATGGGAAGATATTTCCTTTTTCACCATAGGCCACAAAGCGCTCCAAATGTCCAGTTGCAGATACTACAAAAAGAGTGTTTCAAACCTGCTCTATGAAAGCGAATGTTCAACTTTGTGACTTGAATGCAAACATCACAAAGACGTTTCTGATAATGCTGCTGTCTCCTTTTTATATGTAATCCCGTTTCCAACGAAATCCTCAAAGCTAGCCAAATATCCACTTACAGATTCCACGAAAACAGTGTTTCAAAACTGCTCCTTCAAAACGATGGTTCAATCCTGTTAGTTGAGCAAACACATCACAAATAAGTTTCTGAGAATGCTTCCGTCTAGTTTTTATGGGAAGATATTTCCTTTTTCAACATAGGCCTGAAAGCGCTCCAAATGTCCACTTCCAGATACTACAAAAAGAGTGTTTCAAATCTGCTCTATGAATGGGAATGTTCTACTCTGTGACTTGAATGCAACATCCCAAAGAAGTTTCTGAGAATGCTTCTGTCTAGAGTTTATCTGAAGACATACCCGTTTCCAACGAAATCCTCCAAGCTATCCAAATATCCTCTTGCAGATTCTACAAAAAGTGTGTTTCAAAGCTGCTCTTTGCAAAGAAAGGTTCAACTCTGTCAGTAGAGGGCACACATCACGAACAAGTTTCTGAGAATGCTTCTGTCTAGTTTTTATGGGAAGATATTTCCTTTTTCACGTTACGCCTGAAAGCACGCCAAATGTTCACTTATAGACACTACAAAAAGAGTGTTTCAAACCTGCTCTGTGAAAGGGAATGTTCAACACTGTGACTTCAATTGAAACATCCCAAAGAAGTTTCTGAGAATGCTTCTGTCTAGAGTTTATCTGAAGACATTCCCGTTTCCCAAGAAATCCTCAAAGCTATCCAAATATCCTCTTGCAGATTCTACAAAAAGAGTGTTTCAAAACTGCTCTTTGCAAAGAAAGGTTCAACTCTGTCAGTAGAGGGCACACATCACAAACAAGTTTCTGAGAATGCTTCTGTCTAGTTTTTATGGGAAGATATTTCCTTTTTCACCTTAGGCCTGAAAGCAATCCAAATGTTCACTTACAGACACTACAAAAAGAGTGTTTCAAACCTGCTCTGTGAAAGGGAGTGTTCAATTCTGTGACTTGAATGCAAACATCACAAAGTAGTTTCTGACAATGCTGCTGTCTGCTTTTTATACGTATTCCCGTTTCCAACGAAATCCTCCAAGCTGGCCTAATACCCACTTGCATATTCCACAAAAAGAGTGTTTCAAAACTGCTCTCTCAAAAGAAAGGTTCAACTCTGTTTGCTGAGTAGATACATCATGAAAAAAGTTCTGACATTGCTTCTATCTAGTTTTTATTGGAAGATATCTCCTTTTTCACCGTAGACCTGAAAGCGCTCCAAATGTCCACTTCCAGATAGTACAAAAAGAGTGTTTCAAACCTGCTCTATGAATGGGAATGTTCAACACTGGGACTTCAATTGAAACATCCCAAAGCAGTTTCTGAGAATGCTTCTGTGTAGAGTTTACATGAAGACATTCCCGTTTCCAACGAAATCCTCAAAGCTATCCAAATATCCTCTTGCAGATTTTACAAAAAGTGTGTTTCAGAACTGCTCTATCAAAACAAAGGTTCAACACTGTCAGTTGAGGGCACACATCACAAATAAGTTTCTGAGAATGCTTCTGTCTAGTTTTCATGGGAAGATATTTCCTTTTTCACCATAGGCCTGAAAGCGATCCAAATGTCCACATCCAGATACTACAAAAAGAGTGTTTCAAACCTGCTCTATGAAAGGGAATGTTCAACTCTGTGACTTGAATGCAAACATCACAAAGAAGTTTCTGAGAATGCTGCTGTCTGCTTTTTGTATGTAATCCCGTTTCCAACGAAATCCTCCCAGCTAGCCAAATATCCACTTGCAGATTCCGCAAAAAGAGTGTTTCAAAACTGCTCCTTCAAAACGATGGTTTAGTTCTGTTAGTTGAGTACATACATCACAGATAAGTTTCTGAGAATGCTTCTGTCTAGTTTTTATGGGAGGATATTTCCTTTTTCAACACAAGCCTGAATGCGCTCCGAATGGACACTTCCAGATATGACAAAAGGCGTGTTTCAAACCTGCTCTCTCAAAGGGAATGTTCAACTCTGTGACTTCAATGCAAACATCACAAAGAAGTTTCTGAGAATGCTGCTGTCTGCTTTTTACATGTATTCCCGTTTCCAACGAAATCCTCAAAGCTGCCCTAATATCCACTTGCATATTCCACAAAAAGAGTGTTGCAAAACTGCTCTCTCAAAAGAAAGGTTCAACTCTGTTAGCTGAGTAGATCCATCACATAAAAGTTTCTGATGTTGCTTCTATCTAGATTTTCTTGGAAGATATTTCCATTTTCACCGTCGTCCTGAAAGCGCTCCAAATGTCCACTTCCAGGGAATGCAGAAAGAGTGTTTCCAACCTGCTCTATAAAAGGGAATGTTCAACACTGGGACTTCAATCGAAACATCCCAACGAAGTTTCTGAGAATGCTTCTGTCTAGAGTTTATATGAAGCCATTCCCGTTTGCAACGAAATCCTCAAAGCTATCCAAATATCCTCTTGCAGATTTTACAAAAAGAGTGTTTCAAAACTGCTCTATCAAAAGAAAGGTTCAACTCTGTTAGTTGAGGGCACACATCACAAATAAACTTCTGAGAATGCTTCTGTCTAGTTTTTACGGGAAGATATTTCCTTTTTCACCATACGCCTGAAAGCGCTCCAAATGTCCTCATCCAGATACTACAAAAAGAGTGTTTCCAACCTGCTCTATGAAAGGGAATGCTCAACTCTGTGAATTGAATGCAGACATCACAAAGAAGTTTCTGAGAATGCTGCTGTCTCCTTTTTATATGTAATCCCGTTTCCAACGAAATCCTCAAAGCTAGCCAAATATCCACTTGCAGATTCCACGAAAACAGTGTTTCAAATCTGCTCCTTCAAAACGATGGTTCAATCCTGTTAGTTGAGCAAACACATCACAAATAAGTTTCTGAGAATGCTTCCGTCTAGTTTTTATGGGAAGATATTTGCTTTTTCAACATAGGCCTGAAAGCGCTCCAAATGTCCACTTCCAGATACTACAAAAAGAGTGTTTCAAATCTGCTCTATGAATGGGAATGTTCTACTCTGTGACTTGAATGCAACATCCCAAAGAAGTTTCTGAGAATGCTTCTGTCTAGAGTTTATCTGAAGACATACCCGTTTCCAACGAAATCCTCCAAGATATCCAAATATCCTCTTGCAGATTCTACAAAAAGAGTGTTTCAAAGCTGCTCTTTGCAAAGAAAGGTTCAACTCTGTCAGTAGAGGGGACACATCAAGAACAAGTTTCTGAGAATGCTTCTGTCTAGTTTTTATGGGAAGATATTTCCTTTTTCACGTTAGGCCTGAAAGCACGCCAAATGTTCACTTATAGACACTACAAAAAGAGTGTTTCAAACCTGCTCTGTGAAAGGGAATGTTCAACACTGTGACTTCAATTGAAACATCCCAAAGAAGTTTCTGAGAATGCTTCTGTCTAGAGTTTATCTGAAGACATTCCCGTTTCCCAAGAAATCCTCAAAGCTATCCAAATATCCTCTTGCAGATTCTACAAAAAGAGTGTTTCAAAACTGCTCTTTGCAAAGAAAGGTTCAACTCTGTCAGTAGAGGGCACACATCACAAACAAGTTTCTGAGAATGCTTCTGTCTAGTTTTTATGGGAAGATATTTCCTTTTTCACCTTAGGCCTGAAAGCAATCCAAATGTTCACTTACAGACACTACAAAAAGAGTGTTTCAAACCTGCTCTGTGAAAGGGAGTGTTCAATTCTGTGACTTGAATGCAAACATCACAAAGTAGTTTCTGACAATGCTGCTGTCTGCTTTTTATACGTATTCCCGTTTCCAACGAAATCCTCCAAGCTGGCCTAATACCCACTTGCATATTCCACAAAAAGAGTGTTTCAAAACTGCTCTCTCAAAAGAAAGGTTCAACTCTGTTTGCTGAGTAGATACATCATGAAAAAAGTTCTGACATTGCTTCTATCTAGTTTTTATTGGAAGATATCTCCTTTTTCACCGTAGACCTGAAAGCGCTCCAAATGTCCACTTCCAGATAGTACAAAAAGAGTGTTTCCAACCTGCTCTATGAATGGGAATGTTCAACACTGGGACTTCAATTGAAACATCCCAAAGCAGTTTCTGAGAATGCTTCTGTGTAGAGTTTACATGAAGACATTCCCGTTTCCAACGAAATCCTCAAAGCTATCCAAATATCCTCTTGCAGATTTTACAAAAAGTGTGTTTCAGAACTGCTCTATCAAAACAAAGGTTCAACACTGTCAGTTGAGGGCACACATCACAAATAAGTTTCTGAGAATGCTTCTGTCTAGTTTTCATGGGAAGATATTTCCTTTTTCACCATAGGCCTGAAAGCGATCCAAATGTCCACATCCAGATACTACAAAAAGAGTGTTTCAAACCTGCTCTATGAAAGGGAATGTTCAACTCTGTGACTTGAATGCAAACATCACAAAGAAGTTTCTGAGAATGCTGCTGTCTGCTTTTTGTATGTAATCCCGTTTCCAACGAAATCCTCCCAGCTAGCCAAATATCCACTTGCAGATTCCGCAAAAAGAGTGTTTCAAAACTGCTCCTTCAAAACGATGGTTTAGTTCTGTTAGTTGAGTACATACATCACAGATAAGTTTCTGAGAATGCTTCTGTCTAGTTTTTATGGGAGGATATTTCCTTTTTCAACACAAGCCTGAATGCGCTCCGAATGGACACTTCCAGATATGACAAAAGGCGTGTTTCAAACCTGCTCTCTCAAAGGGAATGTTCAACTCTGTGACTTCAATGCAAACATCACAAAGAAGTTTCTGAGAATGCTGCTGTCTGCTTTTTACATGTATTCCCGTTTCCAACGAAATCCTCAAAGCTGCCCTAATATCCACTTGCATATTCCACAAAAAGAGTGTTGCAAAACTGCTCTCTCAAAAGAAAGGTTCAACTCTGTTAGCTGAGTAGATCCATCACAGAAAAGTTTCTGACGTTGCTTCTATCTAGATTTTCTTGGAAGATATTTCCATTTTCACCGTCGTCCTGAAAGCGCTCCAAATGTCCACTTCCAGGGAATGCAGAAAGAGTGTTTCCAACCTGCTCTATAAAAGGGAATGTTCAACACTGGGACTTCAATCGAAACATCCCAACGAAGTTTCTGAGAATGCTTCTGTCTAGAGTTTATATGAAGCCATTCCCGTTTGCAACGAAATCCTCAAAGCTATCCAAATATCCTCTTGCAGATTTTACAAAAAGAGTGTTTCAAAACTGCTCTATCAAAAGAAAGGTTCAACTCTGTTAGTTGAGGGCACACATCACAAATAAATTTCTGAGAATGCTTCTGTCTAGTTTTTACGGGAAGATATTTCCTTTTTCACCATACGCCTGAAAGCGCTCCAAATGTCCTCATCCAGATACTACAAAAAGAGTGTTTCCAACCTGCTCTATGAAAGGGAATGCTCAACTCTGTGAATTGAATGCAGACATCACAAAGAAGTTTCTGAGAATGCTGCTGTCTCCTTTTTATATGTAATCCCGTTTCCAACGAAATCCTCAAAGCTAGCCAAATATCCACTTGCAGATTCCACGAAAACAGTGTTTCAAAACTGCTCCTTCAAAACGATGGTTCAATCCTGTTAGTTGAGCAAACACATCACAAATAAGTTTCTGAGAATGCTTCCGTCTAGTTTTTATGGGAAGATATTTCCTTTTTCAACATAGGCCTGAAAGCGCTCCAAATGTCCACTTCCAGATACTACAAAAAGAGTGTTTCAAATCTGCTCTATGAATGGGAATGTTCTACTCTGTGACTTGAATGCAACATCCCAAAGAAGTTTCTGAGAATGCTTCTGTCTAGAGTTTATCTGAAGACATACCCGTTTCCAACGAAATCCTCCAAGCTATCCAAATATCCTCTTGCAGATTCTACAAAAAGAGTGTTTCAAAGCTGCTCTTTGCAAAGAAAGGTTCAACTCTGTCAGTAGAGGGGACACATCAAGAACAAGTTTCTGAGAATGCTTCTGTCTGGTTTTTATGGGAAGATATTTCCTTTTTCACGTTACGCCTGAAAGCACGCCAAATGTTCACTTATAGACACTACAAAAAGAGTGTTTCAAACCTGCTCTGTGAAAGGGAATGTTCAACACTGTGACTTCAATTGAAACATCCCAAAGAAGTTTCTGAGAATGCTTCTGTCTAGAGTTTATCTGAAGACATTCCCGTTTCCCAAGAAATCCTCAAAGCTATCCAAATATCCTCTTGCAGATTCTACAAAAAGAGTGTTTCAAAACTGCTCTTTGCAAAGAAAGGTTCAACTCTGTCAGTAGAGGGCACACATCACAAACAAGTTTCTGAGAATGCTTCTGTCTAGTTTTTATGGGAAGATATTTCCTTTTTCACCTTAGGCCTGAAAGCAATCCAAATGTTCACTTACAGACACTACAAAAAGAGTGTTTCAAACCTGCTCTGTGAAAGGGAGTGTTCAATTCTGTGACTTGAATGCAAACATCACAAAGTAGTTTCTGACAATGCTGCTGTCTGCTTTTTATACGTATTCCCGTTTCCAACGAAATCCTCCAAGCTGGCCTAATACCCACTTGCATATTCCACAAAAAGAGTGTTTCAAAACTGCTCTCTCAAAAGAAAGGTTCAACTCTGTTAGCTGAGTAGATACATCATGAAAAAAGTTCTGACATTGCTTCTATCTAGTTTTTATTGGAAGATATCTCCTTTTTCACCGTAGACCTGAAAGCGCTCCAAATGTCCACTTCCAGATAGTACAAAAAGAGTGTTTCAAACCTGCTCTATGAATGGGAATGTTCAACACTGGGACTTCAATTGAAACATCCCAAAGCAGTTTCTGAGAATGCTTCTGTGTAGAGTTTACATGAAGACATTCCCGTTTCCAACGAAATCCTCAAAGCTATCCAAATATCCTCTTGCAGATTTTACAAAAAGTGTGTTTCAGAACTGCTCTATCAAAACAAAGGTTCAACACTGTCAGTTGAGGGCACACATCACAAATAAGTTTCTGAGAATGCTTCTGTCTAGTTTTCATGGGAAGATATTTCCTTTTTCACCATAGGCCTGAAAGCGATCCAAATGTCCACATCCAGATACTACAAAAAGAGTGTTTCAAACCTGCTCTATGAAAGGGAATGTTCAACTCTGTGACTTGAATGCAAACATCACAAAGAAGTTTCTGAGAATGCTGCTCTCTGCTTTTTGTATGTAATCCCGTTTCCAACGAAATTCTCCCAGCTACGCACAAATATCCACTTGCAGATTCCGCAAAAAGAGTGTTTCAAAACTGCTCCTTCAAAACGATGGTTTAGTTCTGTTAGTTGAGTACATACATCACAGATAAGTTTCTGAGAATGCTTCTGTCTAGTTTTTATGGGAGGATATTTCCTTTTTCAACACAAGCCTGAATGCGCTCCGAATGGACACTTCCAGATATGACAAAAGGCGTGTTTCAAACCTGCTCTCTCAAAGGGAATGTTCAACTCTGTGACTTCAATGCAAACATCACAAAGAAGTTTCTGAGAATGCTGCTGTCTGCTTTTTACATGTATTCCCGTTTCCAACGAAATCCTCAAAGCTGCCCTAATATCCACTTGCATATTCCACAAAAAGAGTGTTGCAAAACTGCTCTCTCAAAAGAAAGGTTCAACTCTGTTAGCTGAGTAGATCCATCACATAAAAGTTTCTGACGTTGCTTCTATCTAGATTTTATTGGAAGATATTTCCATTTTCACCGTCGTCCTGAAAGCGCTCCAAATGTCCACTTCCAGGGAATGCAGAAAGAGTTTTTCCAACCTGCTCTATAAAAGGGAATGTTCAACACTGGGACTTCAATCGGAAACATCCCAACGAAGTTTCTGAGAATGCTTCTGTCTAGAGTTTATATGAAGCCATTCCCGTTTGCAATGAAATCCTCAAAGCTATCCAAATATCCTCTTGCAGATTTTACAAAAAGAGTGTTTCAAAACTGCTCTATCAAAAGAAAGGTTCAACTCTGTTAGTTGAGGGCACACATCACAAATAAATTTCTGAGAATGCTTCTGTCTAGTTTTTACGGGAAGATATTTCCTTTTTCACCATACGCCTGAAAGCGCTCCAAATGTCCTCATCCAGATACTACAAAAAGAGTGTTTCCAACGTGCTCTAGGAAAGGGAATGCTCAACTCTGTGAATTGAATGCAGACATCACAAAGAAGTTTCTGAGAATGCTGCTGTCTCCTTTTTATATGTAATCCCGTTTCCAACGAAATCCTCAAAGCTAGCCAAATATCCACTTGCAGATTCCACGAAAACAGTGTTTCAAAACTGCTCCTTCAAAACGATGGTTCAATCCTGTTAGTTGAGCAAACACATCACAAATAAGTTTCTGAGAATGCTTCCGTCTAGTTTTTATGGGAAGATATTTCCTTTTTCAACATAGGCCTGAAAGCGCTCCAAATGTCCACTTCCAGATACTACAAAAAGAGTGTTTCAAATCTGCTCTATGAATGGGAATGTTCTACTCTGTGACTTGAATGCAACATCCCAAAGAAGTTTCTGAGAATGCTTCTGTCTAGAGTTTATCTGAAGACATACCCGTTTCCAACGAAATCCTCCAAGCTATCCAAATATCCTCTTGCAGATTCTACAAAAAGTGTGTTTCAAAGCTGCTCTTTGCAAAGAAAGGTTCAACTCTGTCAGTAGAGGGCACACATCACGAACAAGTTTCTGAGAATGCTTCTGTCTGGTTTTTATGGGAAGATATTTCCTTTTTCACGTTACGCCTGAAAGCACGCCAAATGTTCACTTATAGACACTACAAAAAGAGTGTTTCAAACCTGCTCTGTGAAAGGGAATGTTCAACACTGTGACTTCAATTGAAACATCCCAAAGAAGTTTCTGAGAATGCTTCTGTCTAGAGTTTATCTGAAGACATTCCCGTTTCCCAAGAAATCCTCAAAGCTATCCAAATATCCTCTTGCAGATTCTACAAAAAGAGTGTTTCAAAACTGCTCTTTGCAAAGAAAGGTTCAACTCTGTCAGTAGAGGGCACACATCACAAACAAGTTTCTGAGAATGCTTCTGTCTAGTTTTTATGGGAAGATATTTCCTTTTTCACATAGGCCTGAAAGCAATCCAAATGTTCACTTACAGACACTACAAAAAGAGTGTTTCAAACCTGCTCTGTGAAAGGGAGTGTTCAATTCTGTGACTTGAATGCAAACATCACAAAGTAGTTTCTGACAATGCTGCTGTCTGCTTTTTATACGTATTCCCGTTTCCAACGAAATCCTCCAAGCTGGCCTAATACCCACTTGCATATTCCACAAAAAGAGTGTTTCAAAACTGCTCTCTCAAAAGAAAGGTTCAACTCTGTTTGCTGAGTAGATACATCATGAAAAAAGTTCTGACATTGCTTCTATCTAGTTTTTATTGGAAGATATCTCCTTTTTCACCGTAGACCTGAAAGCGCTCCAAATGTCCACTTCCAGATAGTACAAAAAGAGTGTTTCAAACCTGCTCTATGAATGGGAATGTTCAACACTGTGACTTCAATTGAAACATCCCAAAGCAGTTTCTGAGAATGCTTCCTGTCTAGAGTTTACATGAAGACATTCCCGTTTCCAACGAAATCCTCAAAGCTATCCAAATATCCTCTTGCAGATTTTACAAAAAGTGTGTTTCAGAACTGCTCTATCAAAACAAAGGTTCAACACTGTCAGTTGAGGGCACACATCACAAATAAGTTTCTGAGAATGCTTCTGTCTAGTTTTCATGGGAAGATATTTCCTTTTTCACCATAGGCCTGAAAGCGATCCAAATGTCCACATCCAGATACTACAAAAAGAGTGTTTCAAACCTGCTCTATGAAAGGGAATGTTCAACTCTGTGACTTGAATGCAAACATCACAAAGAAGTTTCTGAGAATGCTGCTGTCTGCTTTTTGTATGTAATCCCGTTTCCAACGAAATCCTCCCAGCTAGCCAAATATCCACTTGCAGATTCCGCAAAAAGAGTGTTTCAAAACTGCTCCTTCAAAACGATGGTTTAGTTCTGTTAGTTGAGTACATACATCACAGATAAGTTTCTGAGAATGCTTCTGTCTAGTTTTTATGGGAGGATATTTCCTTTTTCAACACAAGCCTGAATGCGCTCCGAATGGACACTTCCAGATATGACAAAAGGCGTGTTTCAAACCTGCTCTCTCAAAGGGAATGTTCAACTCTGTGACTTCAATGCAAACATCACAAAGAAGTTTCTGAGAATGCTGCTGTCTGCTTTTTACATGTATTCCCGTTTCCAACGAAATCCTCAAAGCTGCCCTAATATCCACTTGCATATTCCACAAAAAGAGTGTTGCAAAACTGCTCTCTCAAAAGAAAGGTTCAACTCTGTTAGCTGAGTAGATCCATCACATAAAAGTTTCTGACATTGCTTCTATCTAGATTTTCTTGGAAGATATTTCCATTTTCACCGTCGTCCTGAAAGCGCTCCAAATGTCCACTTCCAGGGAATGCAGAAAGAGTGTTTCCAACCTGCTCTATAAAAGGGAATGTTCAACACTGGGACTTCAATCGAAACATCCCAACGAAGTTTCTGAGAATGCTTCTGTCTAGAGTTTATATGAAGCCATTCCCGTTTGCAACGAAATCCTCAAAGCTATCCAAATATCCTCTTGCAGATTTTACAAAAAGAGTGTTTCAAAACTGCTCTATCAAAAGAAAGGTTCAACTCTGTTAGTTGAGGGCACACATCACAAATAAACTTCTGAGAATGCTTCTGTCTAGTTTTTACAGGAAGATATTTCCTTTTTCACCATAGGCCAGAAAGCGCTCCAAATGTCCTCATCCAGATACTACAAAAAGAGTGTTTCCAACCTGCTCTATGAAAGGGAATGCTCAACTCTGTGAATTGAATGCAGACATCACAAAGAAGTTTCTGAGAATGCTGCTGTCTCCTTTGTATATGTAATCCCGTTTCCAACGAAATCCTCAAAGCTAGCCAAATATCCACTTGCAGATTCCACGAAAACAGTGTTTCAAAACTGCTCCTTCAAAACGATGGTTCAATCCTGTTAGTTGAGCAAACACATCACAAATAAGTTTCTGAGAATGCTTCCGTCTAGTTTTTATGGGAAGATATTTCCTTTTTCAACATAGGCCTGAAAGCGCTCCAAATGTCCACTTCCAGATACTACAAAAAGAGTGTTTCAAATCTGCTCTATGAATGGGAATGTTCTACTCTGTGACTTGAATGCAACATCCCAAAGAAGTTTCTGAGAATGCTTCTGTCTAGAGTTTATCTGAAGACATACCCGTTTCCAACGAAATCCTCCAAGCTATCCAAATATCCTCTTGCAGATTCTACAAAAAGAGTGTTTCAAAGCTGCTCTTTGCAAAGAAAGGTTCAACTCTGTCAGTAGAGGGGACACATCAAGAACAAGTTTCTGAGAATGCTTCTGTCTGGTTTTTATGGGAAGATATTTCCTTTTTCACGTTACGCCTGAAAGCACGCCAAATGTTCACTTATAGACACTACAAAAAGAGTGTTTCAAACCTGCTCTGTGAAAGGGAATGTTCAACACTGTGACTTCAATTGAAACATCCCAAAGAAGTTTCTGAGAATGCTTCTGTCTAGAGTTTATCTGAAGACATTCCCGTTTCCCAAGAAATCCTCAAAGCTATCCAAATATCCTCTTGCAGATTCTACAAAAAGAGTGTTTCAAAACTGCTCTTTGCAAAGAAAGGTTCAACTCTGTCAGTAGAGGGCACACATCACAAACAAGTTTCTGAGAATGCTTCTGTCTAGTTTTTATGGGAAGATATTTCCTTTTTCACCTTAGGCCTGAAAGCAATCCAAATGTTCACTTACAGACACTACAAAAAGAGTGTTTCAAACCTGCTCTGTGAAAGGGAGTGTTCAATTCTGTGACTTGAATGCAAACATCACAAAGTAGTTTCTGACAATGCTGCTGTCTGCTTTTTATACGTATTCCCGTTTCCAACGAAATCCTCCAAGCTGGCCTAATACCCACTTGCATATTCCACAAAAAGAGTGTTTCAAAACTGCTCTCTCAAAAGAAAGGTTCAACTCTGTTTGCTGAGTAGATACATCATGAAAAAAGTTCTGACATTGCTTCTATCTAGTTTTTATTGGAAGATATCTCCTTTTTCACCGTAGACCTGAAAGCGCTCCAAATGTCCACTTCCAGATAGTACAAAAAGAGTGTTTCAAACCTGCTCTATGAATGGGAATGTTCAACACTGGGACTTCAATTGAAACATCCCAAAGCAGTTTCTGAGAATGCTTCTGTCTAGAGTTTACATGAAGACATTCCCGTTTCCAACGAAATCCTCAAAGCTATCCAAATATCCTCTTGCAGATTTTACAAAAAGTGTGTTTCAGAACTGCTCTATCAAAACAAAGGTTCAACACTGTCAGTTGAGGGCACACATCACAAATAAGTTTCTGAGAATGCTTCTGTCTAGTTTTCATGGGAAGATATTTCCTTTTTCACCATAGGCCTGAAAGCGATCCAAATGTCCACATCCAGATACTACAAAAAGAGTGTTTCAAACCTGCTGTATGAAAGGGAATGTTCAACTCTGTGACTTGAATGCAAACATCACAAAGTAGTTTCTGAAAATGCTGCTGTCTGCTTTTTGTATGTAATCCCGTTTCCAACGAAATCCTCCCAGCTAGCCAAATATCCACTTGCAGATTCCGCAAAAAGAGTGTTTCAAAACTGCTCCTTCAAAACGATGGTTTAGTTCTGTTAGTTGAGTACATACATCACAGATAAGTTTCTGAGAATGCTTCTGTCTAGTTTTTATGGGAGGATATTTCCTTTTTCAACACAAGCCTGAATGCGCTCCGAATGGACACTTCCAGATATGACAAAAGGCGTGTTTCAAACCTGCTCTCTCAAAGGGAATGTTCAACTCTGTGACTTCAATGCAAACATCACAAAGAAGTTTCTGAGAATGCTGCTGTCTGCTTTTTACATGTATTCCCGTTTCCAACGAAATCCTCAAAGCTGCCCTAATATCCACTTGCATATTCCACAAAAAGAGTGTTGCAAAACTGCTCTCTCAAAAGAAAGGTTCAACTCTGTTAGCTGAGTAGATCCATCACATAAAAGTTTCTGACATTGCTTCTATCTAGATTTTCTTGGAAGATATTTCCATTTTCACCGTCGTCCTGAAAGCGCTCCAAATGTCCACTTCCAGGGAATGCAGAAAGAGTGTTTCCAACCTGCTCTATAAAAGGGAATGTTCAACACTGGGACTTCAATCGAAACATCCCAACGAAGTTTCTGAGAATGCTTCTGTCTAGAGTTTATATGAAGCCATTCCCGTTTGCAACGAAATCCTCAAAGCTATGCAAATATCCTCTTGCAGATTTTACAAAAAGAGTGTTTCAAAACTGCTCTATCAAAAGAAAGGTTCAACTCTGTTAGTTGAGGGCACACATCACAAATAAACTTCTGAGAATGCTTCTGTCTAGTTTTTACGGGAAGATATTTCCTTTTTCACCATACGCCTGAAAGCGCTCCAAATGTCCTCATCCAGATACTACAAAAAGAGTGTTTCCAACCTGCTCTATGAAAGGGAATGCTCAACTCTGTGAATTGAATGCAGACATCACAAAGAAGTTTCTGAGAATGCTGCTGTCTCCTTTTTATATGTAATCCCGTTTCCAACGAAATCCTCAAAGCTAGCCAAATATCCACTTGCAGATTCCACGAAAACAGTGTTTCAAAACTGCTCCTTCAAAACGATGGTTCAATCCTGTTAGTTGAGCAAACACATCACAAATAAGTTTCAGAGAATGCTTCCGTCTAGTTTTTATGGGAAGATATTTCCTTTTTCAACATAGGCCTGAAAGCGCTCCAAATGTCCACTTCCAGATACTACAAAAAGAGTGTTTCAAATCTGCTCTATGAATGGGAATGTTCTACTCTGTGACTTGAATGCAACATCCCAAAGAAGTTTCTGAGAATGCTTCTGTCTAGAGTTTATCTGAAGACATACCCGTTTCCAACGAAATCCTCCAAGCTATCCAAATATCCTCTTGCAGATTCTACAAAAAGAGTGTTTCAAAGCTGCTCTTTGCAAAGAAAGGTTCAACTCTGTCAGTAGAGGGGACACATCAAGAACAAGTTTCTGAGAATGCTTCTGTCTAGTTTTTATGGGAAGATATTTCCTTTTTCACGTTACGCCTGAAAGCACGCCAAATGTTCACTTATAGACACTACAAAAAGAGTGTTTCAAACCTGCTCTGTGAAAGGGAATGTTCAACACTGTGACTTCAATTGAAACATCCCAAAGAAGTTTCTGAGAATGCTTCTGTCTAGAGTTTATCTGAAGACATTCCCGTTTCCCAAGAAATCCTCAAAGCTATCCAAATATCCTCTTGCAGATTCTACAAAAAGAGTGTTTCAAAACTGCTCTTTGCAAAGAAAGGTTCAACTCTGTCAGTAGAGGGCACACATCACAAACAAGTTTCTGAGAATGCTTCTGTCTAGTTTTTATGGGAAGATATTTCCTTTTTCACCTTAGACCTGAAAGCAATCCATATGTTCACTTACAGACACTACAAAAAGAGTGTTTCAAACCTGCTCTGTGAAAGGGAGTGTTCAATTCTGTGACTTGAATGCAAACATCACAAAGTAGTTTCTGACAATGCTGCTGTCTGCTTTTTATACGTATTCCCGTTTCCAACGAAATCCTCCAAGCTGGCCTAATACCCACTTGCATATTCCACAAAAAGAGTGTTTCAAAACTGCTCTCTCAAAAGAAAGGTTCAACTCTGTTTGCTGAGTAGATACATCATGAAAAAAGTTCTGACATTGCTTCTATCTAGTTTTTATTGGAAGATATCTCCTTTTTCACCGTAGACCTGAAAGCGCTCCAAATGTCCACTTCCAGATAGTACAAAAAGAGTGTTTCAAACCTGCTCTATGAATGGGAATGTTCAACACTGGGACTTCAATTGAAACATCCCAAAGCAGTTTCTGAGAATGCTTCTGTGTAGAGTTTACATGAAGACATTACCGTTTCCAACGAAATCCTCAAAGCTATCCAAATATCCTCTTGCAGATTTTACAAAAAGTGTGTTTCAGAACTGCTCTATCAAAACAAAGGTTCAACACTGTCAGTTGAGGGCACACATCACAAATAAGTTTCTGAGAATGCTTCTGTCTAGTTTTCATGGGAAGATATTTCCTTTTTCACCATAGGCCTGAAAGCGATCCAAATGTCCACATCCAGATACTACAAAAAGAGTGTTTCCAACCTGCTCTATGAAAGGGAATGCTCAACTCTGTGACTTGAAAGCAAACATCACAAAGAAGTTTCTGAGAATGCTGCTGTCTGCTTTTTGTATGTAATCCCGTTTCCAACGAAATCCTCCCAGCTAGCCAAATATCCACTTGCAGATTCCGCAAAAAGAGTGTTTCAAAACTGCTCCTTCAAAACGATGGTTTAGTTCTGTTAGTTGAGTACATACATCACAGATAAGTTTCTGAGAATGCTTCTGTCTAGTTTTTATGGGAGGATATTTCCTTTTTCAACACAAGCCTGAATGCGCTCCGAATGGACACTTCCAGATATGACAAAAGGCGTGTTTCAAACCTGCTCTCTCAAAGGGAATGTTCAACTCTGTGACTTCAATGCAAACATCACAAAGAAGTTTCTGAGAATGCTGCTGTCTGCTTTTTACATGTATTCCCGTTTCCAACGAAATCCTCAAAGCTGCCCTAATATCCACTTGCATATTCCACAAAAAGAGTGTTGCAAAACTGCTCTCTCAAAAGAAAGGTTCAACTCTGTTAGCTGAGTAGATCCATCACAGAAAAGTTTCTGACGTTGCTTCTATCCAGATTTTATTGGAAGATATTTCCATTTTCACCGTCGTCCTGAAAGCGCTCCAATTGTCCACTTCCAGGGAATGCAGAAAGAGTGTTTCCAACCTGCTCTATAAAAGGGAATGTTCAACACTGGGACTTCAATCGAAACATCCCAACGAAGTTTCTGAGAATGCTTCTGTCTAGAGTTTATATGAAGCCATTCCCGTTTGCAACGAAATCCTCAAAGCTATCCAAATATCCTCTTGCAGATTTTACAAAAAGAGTGTTTCAAAACTGCTCTATCAAAAGAAAGGTTCAACTCTGTTAGTTGAGGGCACACATCACAAATAAATTTCTGAGAATGCTTCTGTCTAGTTTTTACGGGAAGATATTTCCTTTTTCACCATACGCCTGAAAGCGCTCCAAATGTCCTCATCCAGATACTACAAAAAGAGTGTTTCCAACCTGCTCTATGAAAGGGAATGCTCAACTCTGTGACTTGAATGCAGACATCACAAAGAAGTTTCTGAGAATGCTGCTGTCTCCTTTTTATATGTAATCCCGTTTCCAACGAAATCCTCAAAGCTAGCCAAATATCCACTTGCAGATTCCACGAAAACAGTGTTTCAAAACTGCTCCTTCAAAACGATGGTTCAATTCTGTTAGTTGAGCAAACACATCACAAGTAAGTTTCTGAGAATGCTTCCGTCTAGTTTTTATGGGAAGATATTTCCTTTTTCAACATAGGCCTGAAAGCGCTCCAAATGTCCACTTCCAGATACTACAAAAAGAGTGTTTCAAATCTGCTCTATGAATGGGAATGTTCTACTCTGTGACTTGAATGCAACATCCCAAAGAAGTTTCTGAGAATGCTTCTGTCTAGAGTTTATCTGAAGACATACCCGTTTCCAACGAAATCCTCAAAGCTATCCAAATATCCTCTTGCAGATTCTACAAAAAGAGTGTTTCAAAGCTGCTCTTTGCAAAGAAAGGTTCAACTCTGTCAGTAGAGGGCACACATCACGAACAAGTTTCTGAGAATGCTTCTGTCTAGTTTTTATGGGAAGATATTTCCTTTTTCACGTTAGGCCTGAAAGCACGCCAAATGTTCACTTATAGACACTACAAAAAGAGTGTTTCAAACCTGCTCTGTGAAAGGGAATGTTCAACACTGTGACTTCAATTGAAACATCCCAAAGAAGTTTCTGAGAATGCTTCTGTCTAGAGTTTATCTGAAGACATTCCCGTTTCCCAAGAAATCCTCAAAGCTATCCAAATATCCTCTTGCAGATTCTACAAAAAGAGTGTTTCAAAACTGGTCTTTGCAATGAAAGGTTCAACTCTGTCAGTAGAGGGCACACATCACAAACAAGTTTCTGAGAATGCTTCTGTCTAGTTTTTATGGGAAGATATTTCCCTTTTTCACCTTAGGCCTGAAAGCAATCCAAATGTTCACTTACAGACACTACAAAAAGAGTGTTTCAAACCTGCTCTGTGAAAGGGAGTGTTCAATTCTGTGACTTGAATGCAAACATCACAAAGTAGTTTCTGACAATGCTGCTGTCTGCTTTTTATACGTATTCCCGTTTCCAACGAAATCCTCCAAGCTGGCCTAATACCCACTTGCATATTCCACAAAAAGAGTGTTTCAAAACTGCTCTCTCAAAAGAAAGGTTCAACTCTGTTTGCTGAGTAGATACATCATGAAAAAAGTTCTGACATTGCTTCTATCTAGTTTTTATTGGAAGATATCTCCTTTTTCACCGTAGACCTGAAAGCGCTCCAAATGTCCACTTCCAGATAGTACAAAAAGAGTGTTTCAAACCTGCTCTATGAAAGGGAATGTTCAACACTGGGACTTCAATTGAAACATCCCAAAGCAGTTTCTGAGAATGCTTCTGTCTAGAGTTTACATGAAGACATTCCCGTTTCCAACGAAATCCTCAAAGCTATCCAAATATCCTCTTGCAGATTTTACAAAAAGTGTGTTTCAGAACTGCTCTATCAAAACAAAGGTTCAACACTGTCAGTTGAGGGCACACATCACAAATAAGTTTCTGAGAATGCTTCTGTCTAGTTTTCATGGGAAGATATTTCCTTTTTCACCATAGACCTGAAAGCGATCCAAATGTCCACATCCAGATACTACAAAAAGAGTGTTTCAAACCTGCTCTATGAAAGGGAATGTTCAACTCTGTGACTTGAATGCAAACATCACAAAGAAGTTTCTGAGAATGCTGCTGTCTGCTTTTTGTATGTAATCCCGTTTCCAACGAAATCCTCCCTGCTAGCCAAATATCCACTTGCAGATTCCGCAAAAAGAGTGTTTCAAAACTGCTCCTTCAAAACGATGGTTTAGTTCTGTTAGTTGAGTACATACATCACAGATAAGTTTCTGGGAATGCTTCTGTCTAGTTTTTATGGGAGGATATTTCCTTTTTCAACACAAGCCTGAATGCGCTCCGAATGGACACTTCCAGATATGACAAAAGGCGTGTTTCAAACCTGCTCTCTCAAAGGGAATGTTCAACTCTGTGACTTCAATGCAAACATCACAAAGAAGTTTCTGAGAATGCTGCTGTCTGCTTTTTACATGTATTCCCGTTTCCAACGAAATCCTCAAAGCTGCCCTAATATCCACTTGCATATTCCACAAAAAGAGTGTTGCAAAACTGCTCTCTCAAAAGAAAGGTTCAACTCTGTTAGCTGAGTAGATCCATCACAGAGAAGTTTCTGACGTTGCTTCTATCTAGATTTTCTTGGAAGATATTTCCATTTTCACCGTCAACCTGAAAGCGCTCCAAATGTCCACTTCCAGGGAATGCAGAAAGAGTGTTTCCAACCTGCTCTATAAAAGGGAATGTTCAACACTGGGACTTCAATCGAAACATCCCAACGAAGTTTCTGAGAATGCTTCTGTCTAGAGTTTATATGAAGCCATTCCCGTTTGCAACGAAATCCTCAAAGCTATCCAAATATCCTCTTGCAGATTTTACAAAAAGAGTGTTTCAAAACTGCTCTATCAAAAGAAAGGTTCAACTCTGTTAGTTGAGGGCACACATCACAAATAAATTTCTGAGAATGCTTCTGTCTAGTTTTTGCGGGAAGATATTTCCTTTTTCACCATACGGCTGAAAGCGCTCCAAATGTCCTCATCCAGATACTACAAAAAGAGTGTTTCCAACCTGCTCTATGAAAGGGAATGCTCAACTCTGTGAATTGAATGCAGACATCACAAAGAAGTTTCTGAGAATGCTGCTGTCTCCTTTTTATATGTAATCCCGTTTCCAACGAAATCCTCAAAGCTAGCCAAATATCCACTTGCAGATTCCACGAAAACAGTGTTTCAAAACTGCTCCTTCAAAACGATGGTTCAATCCTGTTAGTTGAGCAAACACATCACAAATAAGTTTCTGAGAATGCTTCCGTGTAGTTTTTATGGGAAGATATTTCCTTTTTCAACATAGGCCTGAAAGCGCTCCAAATGTCCACTTCCAGATACTACAAAAAGAGTGTTTCAAATCTGCTCTATGAATGGGAATGTTCTACTCTGTGACTTGAATGCAACATCCCAAAGAAGTTTCTGAGAATGCTTCTGTCTAGAGTTTATCTGAAGACATACCCGTTTCCAACGAAATCCTCCAAGCTATCCAAATATCCTCTTGCAGATTCTACAAAAAGAGTGTTTCAAAGCTGCTCTTTGCAAAGAAAGGTTCAACTCTGTCAGTAGAGGGGACACATCAAGAACAAGTTTCTGAGAATGCTTCTGTCTAGTTTTTATGGGAAGATATTTCCTTTTTCACGTTACGCCTGAAAGCACGCCAAATGTTCACTTATAGACACTACAAAAAGAGTGTTTCAAACCTGCTCTGTGAAAGGGAATGTTCAACACTGACTTCAATTGAAACATCCCAAAGAAGTTTCTGAGAATGCTTCTGTCTAGAGTTTATCTGAAGACATTCCCGTTTCCCAAGAAATCCTCAAAGCTATCCAAATATCCTCTTGCAGATTCTACAAAAAGAGTGTTTCAAAACTGCTCTTTGCAAAGAAAGTTTCAACTCTGTCAGTAGAGGGCACACATCACAAACAAGTTTCTGAGAATGCTTCTGTCTAGTTTTTATGGGAAGATATTTCCTTTTTCACCTTAGGCCAGAAAGCAATCCAAATGTTCACTTACAGACACTACAAAAAGAGTGTTTCAAACCTGCCCTGTGAAAGGGAGTGTTCAATTCTGTGACTTGAATGCAAACATCACAAAGTAGTTTCTGACAATGCTGCTGTCTGCTTTTTATACGTATTCCCGTTTCCAACGAAATCCTCCAAGCTGGCCTAATACCCACTTGCATATTCCACAAAAAGAGTGTTTCAAAACTGCTCTCTCAAAAGAAAGGTTCAACTACTGTTTGCTGAGTAGATACATCATGAAAAAAGTTCTGACATTGCTTTCTATCTAGTTTTTATTGGAAGATATCTCCTTTTTCACCGTAGACCTGAAAGCGCTCCAAATGTCCACTTCCAGATAGTACAAAAAGAGTGTTTCAAACCTGCTCTATGAATGGGAATGTTCAACACTGGGACTTCAATTGAAACATCCCAAAGCAGTTTCTGAGAATGCTTCTGTGTAGAGTTTACATGAAGACATTCCCGTTTCCAACGAAATCCTCAAAGCTATCCAAATATCCTCTTGCAGATTTTACAAAAAGTGTGTTTCAGAACTGCTCTATCAAAACAAAGGTTCAACACTGTCAGTTGAGGGCACACATCACAAATAAGTTTCTGAGAATGCTTCTGTCTAGTTTTCATGGGAAGATATTTCCTTTTTCACCATAGGCCTGAAAGCGATCCAAATGTCCACATCCAGATACTACAAAAAGAGTGTTTCAAACCTGCTCTATGAAAGGGAATGTTCAACTCTGTGACTTGAATGCAAACATCACAAAGAAGTTTCTGAGAATGCTGCTGTCTCCTTTTTGTATGTAATCCCGTTTCCAACGAAATCCTCCCAGCTAGCCAAATATCCACTTGCAGATTCCGCAAAAAGAGTGTTTCAAAACTGCTCCTTCAAAACGATGGTTTAGTTCTGTTAGTTGAGTACATACATCACAGATAAGTTTCTGAGAATGCTTCTGTCTAGTTTTTATGGGAGGATATTTCCTTTTTCAACACAAGCCTGAATGCGCTCCGAATGGACACTTCCAGATATGACAAAAGGCGTGTTTCAAACCTGCTCTCTCAAAGGGAATGTTCAACTCTGTGACTTCAATGCAAACATCACAAAGAAGTTTCTGAGAATGCTGCTGTCTGCTTTTTACATGTATTCCCGTTTCCAACGAAATCCTCAAAGCTGCCCTAATATCCACTTGCATATTCCACAAAAAGAGTGTTGCAAAACTGCTCTCTCAAAAGAAAGGTTCAACTCTGTTAGCTGAGTAGATCCATCACAGAAAAGTTTCTGACGTTGCTTCTATCTAGATTTTCTTGGAAGATATTTCCATTTTCACCGTCGTCCTGAAAGCGCTCCAAATGTCCACTTCCAGGGAATGCAGAAAGAGTGTTTCCAACCTGCTCTATAAAAGGGAATGTTCAACACTGGGACTTCAATCGAAACATCCCAACGAAGTTTCTGAGAATGCTTCTGTCTAGAGTTTATATGAAGCCATTCCCGTTTGCAACGAAATCCTCAAAGCTATCCAAATATCCTCTTGCAGATTTTACAAAAAGAGTGTTTCAAAACTGCTCTATCAAAAGAAAGGTTCAACTCTGTTAGTTGAGGGCACACATCACAAATAAACTTCTGAGAATGCTTCTGTCTAGTTTTTACGGGAAGATATTTCCTTTTTCACCATACGCCTGAAAGCGCTCCAAATGTCCTCATCCAGATACTACAAAAAGAGTGTTTCCAACCTGCTCTATGAAAGGGAATGCTCAACTCTGTGAATTGAATGCAGACATCACAAAGAAGTTTCTGAGAATGCTGCTGTCTCCTTTTTATATGTAATCCCGTTTCCAACGAAATCCTCAAAGCTAGCCAAATATCCACTTGCAGATTCCACGAAAACAGTGTTTCAAAACTGCTCCTTCAAAACGATGGTTCAATCCTGTTAGTTGAGCAAACACATCACAAATAAGTTTCTGAGAATGCTTCCGTCTAGTTTTTATGGGAAGATATTTCCTTTTTCAACATAGGCCTGAAAGCGCTCCAAATGTCCACTTCCAGATACTACAAAAAGAGTGTTTCAAATCTGCTCTATGAATGGGAATGTTCTACTCTGTGACTTGAATGCAACATCCCAAAGAAGTTTCTGAGAATGCTTCTGTCTAGAGTTTATCTGAAGACATCCCCGTTTCCAACGAAATCCTCAAAGCTATCCAAATATCCTCTTGCAGATTCTACAAAAAGAGTGTTTCAAAGCTGCTCTTTGCAAAGAAAGGTTCAACTCTGTCAGTTAGAGGGCACACATCAGGAACAAGTTTCTGAGAATGCTTCTGTCTGGTTTTTATGGGAAGATATTTCCTTTTTCACGTTACGCCTGAAAGCACGCCAAATGTTCACTTATAGACACTACAAAAAGAGTGTTTCAAACCTGCTCTGTGAAAGGGAATGTTCAACACTGTGACTTCAATTGAAACATCCCAAAGAAGTTTCTGAGAATGCTTCTGTCTAGAGTTTATCTGAAGACATTCCCGTTTCCCAAGAAATCCTCAAAGCTATCCAAATATCCTCTTGCAGATTCTACAAAAAGAGTGTTTCAAAACTGCTCTTTGCAAAGAAAGGTTCAACTCTGTCAGTAGAGGGCACACATCACAAACAAGTTTCTGAGAATGCTTCTGTCTAGTTTTTATGGGAAGATATTTCCTTTTTCACCTTAGGCCTGAAAGCAATCCAAATGTTCACTTACAGACACTACAAAAAGAGTGTTTCAAACCTGTTCTGTGAAAGGGAGTGTTCAATTCTGTGACTTGAATGTAAACATCACAAAGTAGTTTCTGACAATGCTGCTGTCTGCTTTTTATACGTATTCCCGTTTCCAACGAAATCCTCCAAGCTGGCCTAATACCCACTTGCATATTCCACAAAAAGAGTGTTTCAAAACTGCTCTCTCAAAAGAAAGGTTCAACTCTGTTTGCTGAGTAGATACATCATGAAAAAAGTTCTGACATTGCTTCTATCTAGTTTTTATTGGAAGATATCTCCTTTTTCACCGTAGACCTGAAAGCGCTCCAAATGTCCACTTCCAGATAGTACAAAAAGAGTGTTTCAAACCTGCTCTATGAAAGGGAATGTTCAACACTGGGACTTCAATTGAAACATCCCAAAGCAGTTTCTGAGAATGCTTCTGTCTAGAGTTTACATGAAGACATTCCCGTTTCCAACGAAATCCTCAAAGCTATCCAAATATCCTCTTGCAGATTTTACAAAAAGTGTGTTTCAGAACTGCTCTATCAAAACAAAGGTTCAACACTGTCAGTTGAGGGCACACATCACAAATAAGTTTCTGAGAATGCTTCTGTCTAGTTTTCATGGGAAGATATTTCCTTTTTCACCATAGGCCTGAAAGCGATCCAAATGTCCACATCCAGATACTACAAAAAGAGTGTTTCAAACCTGCTCTATGAAAGGGAATGTTCAACTCTGTGACTTGAATGCAAACATCACAAAGAAGTTTCTGAGAATGCTGCTGTCTGCTTTTTGTATGTAATCCCGTTTCCAACGAAATCCTCCCAGCTAGCCAAATATCCACTTGCAGATTCCGCAAAAAGAGTGTTTCAAAACTGCTCCTTCAAAACGATGGTTTAGTTCTGTTAGTTGAGTACATACATCACAGATAAGTTTCTGAGAATGCTTCTGTCTAGTTTTTATGGGAGGATATTTCCTTTTTCAACACAAGCCTGAATGCGCTCCGAATGGACACTTCCAGATATGACAAAAGGCGTGTTTCAAACCTGCTCTCTCAAAGGGAATGTTCAACTCTGTGACTTCAATGCAAACATCACAAAGAAGTTTCTGAGAATGCTGCTGTCTGCTTTTTACATGTATTCCCGTTTCCAACGAAATCCTCAAAGCTGCCCTAATATCCACTTGCATATTCCACAAAAAGAGTGTTGCAAAACTGCTCTCTCAAAAGAAAGGTTCAACTCTGTTAGCTGAGTAGATCCATCACAGAAAAGTTTCTGACGTTGCTTCTATCTAGATTTTCTTGGAAGATATTTCCATTTTCACCGTCGTCCTGAAAGCGCTCCAAATGTCCACTTCCAGGGAATGCAGAAAGAGTGTTTCCAACCTGCTCTATAAAAGGGAATGTTCAACACTGGGACTTCAATCGAAACATCCCAACGAAGTTTCTGAGAATGCTTCTGTCTAGAGTTTATATGAAGCCATTCCCGTTTGCAACGAAATCCTCAAAGCTATCCAAATATCCTCTTGCAGATTTTACAAAAAGAGTGTTTCAAAACTGCTCTATCAAAAGAAAGGTTCAACTCTGTTAGTTGAGGGCACACATCACAAATAAATTTCTGAGAATGCTTCTGTCTAGTTTTTACGGGAAGATATTTCCTTTTTCACCATACGCCTGAAAGCGCTCCAAATGTCCTCATCCAGATACTACAAAAAGAGTGTTTCCAACCTGCTCTATGAAAGGGAATGCTCAACTCTGTGACTTGAATGCAGACATCACAAAGAAGTTTCTGAGAATGCTGCTGTCTCCTTTTTATATGTAATCCCGTTTCCAACGAAATCCTCAAAGCTAGCCAAATATCCACTTGCAGATTCCACGAAAACAGTGTTTCAAAACTGCTCCTTCAAAACGATGGTTCAATTCTGTTAGTTGAGCAAACACATCACAAGTAAGTTTCTGAGAATGCTTCCGTCTAGTTTTTATGGGAAGATATTTCCTTTTTCAACATAGGCCTGAAAGCGCTCCAAATGTCCACTTCCAGATACTACAAAAAGAGTGTTTCAAATCTGCTCTATGAATGGGAATGTTCTACTCTGTGACTTGAATGCAACATCCCAAAGAAGTTTCTGAGAATGCTTCTGTCTAGAGTTTATCTGAAGACATACCCGTTTCCAACGAAATCCTCAAAGCTATCCAAATATCCTCTTGCAGATTCTACAAAAAGTGTGTTTCAAAGCTGCTCTTTGCAAAGAAAGGTTCAACTCTGTCAGTAGAGGGCACACATCACGAACAAGTTTCTGAGAATGCTTCTGTCTAGTTTTTATGGGAAGATATTTCCTTTTTCACGTTAGGCCTGAAAGCACGCCAAATGTTCACTTATAGACACTACAAAAAGAGTGTTTCAAACCTGCTCTGTGAAAGGGAATGTTCAACACTGTGACTTCAATTGAAACATCCCAAAGAAGTTTCTGAGAATGCTTCTGTCTAGAGTTTATCTGAAGACATTCCCGTTTCCCAAGAAATCCTCAAAGCTATCCAAATATCCTCTTGCAGATTCTACAAAAAGAGTGTTTCAAAACTGCTCTTTGCAAAGAAAGGTTCAACTCTGTCAGTAGAGGGCACACATCACAAACAAGTTTCTGAGAATGCTTCTGTCTAGTTTTTATGGGAAGATATTTCCTTTTTCACCTTAGGCCTGAAAGCAATCCAAATGTTCACTTACAGACACTACAAAAAGAGTGTTTCAAACCTGCTCTGTGAAAGGGAGTGTTCAATTCTGTGACTTGAATGCAAACATCACAAAGTAGTTTCTGACAATGCTGCTGTCTGCTTTTTATACGTATTCCCGTTTCCAACGAAATCCTCCAAGCTGGCCTAATACCCACTTGCATATTCCACAAAAAGAGTGTTTCAAAACTGCTCTCTCAAAAGAAAGGTTCAACTCTGTTTGCTGAGTAGATACATCATGAAAAAAGTTCTGACATTGCTTCTATCTAGTTTTTATTGGAAGATATCTCCTTTTTCACCGTAGACCTGAAAGCGCTCCAAATGTCCACTTCCAGATAGTACAAAAAGAGTGTTTCAAACGTGCTCTATGAAAGGGAATGTTCAACACTGGGACTTCAATTGAAACATCCCAAAGCAGTTTCTGAGAATGCTTCTGTCTAGAGTTTACATGAAGACATTCCCGTTTCCAACGAAATCCTCAAAGCTATCCAAATATCCTCTTGCAGATTTTACAAAAAGTGTGTTTCAGAACTGCTCTATCAAAACAAAGGTTCAACACTGTCAGTTGAGGGCACACATCACAAATAAGTTTCTGAGAATGCTTCTGTCTAGTTTTCATGGGAAGATATTTCCTTTTTCACCATAGGCCTGAATGCGATCCAAATGTCCACATCCAGATACTACAAAAAGAGTGTTTCAAACCTGCTCTATGAAAGGGAATGTTCAACTCTGTGACTTGAATGCAAACATCACAAAGAAGTTTCTGAGAATGCTGCTGTCTGCTTTTTGTATGTAATCCCGTTTCCAACGAAATCCTCCCAGCTAGCCAAATATCCACTTGCAGATTCCGCAAAAAGAGTGTTTCAAAACTGCTCCTTCAAAACGATGGTTTAGTTCTGTTAGTTGAGTACATACATCACAGATAAGTTTCTGAGAATGCTTCTGTCTAGTTTTTATGGGAGGATATTTCCTTTTTCAACACAAGCCTGAATGCGCTCCGAATGGACACTTCCAGATATGACAAAAGGCGTGTTTCAAACCTGCTCTCTCAAAGGGAATGTTCAACTGCTGTGACTTCAATGCAAACATCACAAAGAAGTTTCTGAGAATGCTGCTGTCTGCTTTTTACATGTATTCCCGTTTCCAACGAAATCCTCAAAGCTGCCCTAATATCCACTTGCATATTCCACAAAAAGAATGTTGCAAAACTGCTCTCTCAAAAGAAAGCTTCAACTCTGTTAGCTGAGTAGATCCATCACATAAAAGTTTCTGACATTGCTTCTATCTAGATTTTCTTGGAAGATATTTCCATTTTCACCGTCGTCCTGAAAGCGCTCCAAATGTCCACTTCCAGGGAATGCAGAAAGAGTGTTTCCAACCTGCTCTATAAAAGGGAATGTTCAACACTGGGACTTCAATCGAAACATCCCAATGAAGTTTCTGAGAATGCTTCTGTCTAGAGTTTATATGAAGCCATTCCCGTTTGCAGATAAATCCTCAAAGCTATCCAAATATCCTCTTGCAGATTTTACAAAAAGAGTGTTTCAAAACTGCTCTATCAAAAGAAAGGTTCAACTCTGTTAGTTGAGGGCACACATCACAAATAAATTTCTGAGAATGCTTCAGTCTAGTTTTTACGGGAAGATATTTCCTTTTTCACCATAGGCCTGAAAGCGCTCCAAATGTCCTCATCCAGATACTACAAAAAGAGTGTTTCCAACCTGCTCTATGAAAGGGAATGCTCAACTCTGTGAGTTGAATGCAGACATCACAAAGAAGTTTCTGAGAATGCTGCTGTCTCCTTTGTATATGTAATCCCGTTTCCAACGAAATCCTCAAAGCTAGCCAAATATCCACTTGCAGATTCCACGAAAACAGTGTTTCAAAACTGCTCCTTCAAAACAATGGTTCAATTCTGTTAGTTGAGCAAACACATCACAAGTAAGTTTCTGAGAATGCTTCCGTCTAGTTTTTATGGGAAGATATTTCCTTTTTCAACATAGGCCTGAAAGCGCTCCAAATGTCCACTTCCAGATACTACAAAAAGAGTGTTTCAAATCTGCTCTATGAATGGGAATGTTCTACTCTGTGACTTGAATGCAACATCCCAAAGAAGTTTCTGAGAATGCTTCTGTCTAGAGTTTATCTGAAGACATACCCGTTTCCAACGAAATCCTCCAAGCTATCCAAATATCCTCTTGCAGATTCTACAAAAAGAGTGTTTCAAAGCTGCTCTTTGCAAAGAAAGGTTCAACTCTGTCAGTAGAGGGCACACATCATGAACAAGTTTCTGAGAATGCTTCTGTCTAGTTTTTATGGGAAGATATTTCCTTTTTCACGTTAGGCCTGAAAGCACGCGAAATGTTCACTTATACACACTACAAAAAGAGTGTTTCAAACCTGCTCTGTGAAAGGGAATGTTCAACACTGTGACTTCAATTGAAACATCCCAAAGAAGTTTCTGAGAATGCTTCTGTCTAGAGTTTATCTGAAGACATTCCCGTTTCCCAAGAAATCTTCAAAGCTATCCAAATATCCTCTTGCAGATTCTACAAAAAGAGTGTTTCAAAACTGGTCTTTGCAAAGAAAGGTTCAACTCTGTCAGTAGAGGGCACACATCACAAACAAGTTTCTGAGAATGCTTCTGTCTAGTTTTTATGGGAAGATATTTCCTTTTTCACCTTAGGCCTGAAAGCAATCCATATGTTCACTTACAGACACTACAAAAAGAGTGTTTCAAACCTGCTCTGTGAAAGGGAGTGTTCAATTCTGTGACTTGAATGCAAACATCACAAAGTAGTTTCTGACAATGCTGCTGTCTGCTTTTTATACGTATTCCCGTTTCCAACGAAATCCTCCAAGCTGGCCTAATACCCACTTGCATATTCCACAAAAAGAGTGTTTCAAAACTGCTCTCTCAAAAGAAAGGTTCAACTCTGTTAGCTGAGTAGATACATCATGAAAAAAGTTCTGACATTGCTTCTCTATCTAGTTTTTATTGGAAGATATCTCCTTTTTCACCGTAGACCTGAAAGCGCTCCAAATGTCCACTTCCAGATAGTACAAAAAGAGTGTTTCAAACCTGCTCCTATGAAAGGGAATGTTCAACACTGGGACTTCAATTGAAACATCCCAAAGCAGTTTCTGAGAATGCTTCTGTCTAGAGTTTACATGAAGACATTCCCGTTTCCAACGAAATCCTCAAAGCTATCCAAATATCCTCTTGCAGATTTTACAAAAAGTGTGTTTCAGAACTGCTCTATCAAAACAAAGGTTCAACACTGTCAGTTGAGGGCACACATCACAAATAAGTTTCTGAGAATGCTTCTGTCTAGTTTTCATGGGAAGATATTTCCTTTTTCACCATAGGCCTGAAAGCGATCCAAATGTCCACATCCAGATACTACAAAAAGAGTGTTTCAAACCTGCTCTATGAAAGGGAATGTTCAACTCTGTGACTTGAATGCAAACATCACAAAGAAGTTTCTGAGAATGCTGCTGTCTGCTTTTTGTATGTAATCCCGTTTCCAACGAAATCCTCCCAGCTAGCCAAATATCCACTTGCAGATTCCGCAAAAAGAGTGTTTCAAAACTGCTCCTTCAAAACGATGGTTTAGTTCTGTTAGTTGAGTACATACATCACAGATAAGTTTCTGAGAATGCTTCTGTCTAGTTTTTATGGGAGGATATTTCCTTTTTCAACACAAGCCTGAATGCGCTCCGAATGGACACTTCCAGATATGACAAAAGGCGTGTTTCAAACCTGCTCTCTCAAAGGGAATGTTCAACTCTGTGACTTCAATGCAAACATCACAAAGAAGTTTCTGAGAATGCTGCTGTCTGCTTTTTACATGTATTCCCGTTTCCAACGAAATCCTCAAAGCTGCCCTAATATCCACTTGCATATTCCACAAAAAGAGTGTTGCAAAACTGCTCTCTCAAAAGAAAGGTTCAACTCTGTTAGCTGAGTAGATCCATCACAGAAAAGTTTCTGACGTTGCTTCTATCTAGATTTTCTTGGAAGATATTTCCATTTTCACCGTCGTCCTGAAAGCGCTCCAAATGTCCACTTCCAGGGAATGCAGAAAGAGTGTTTCCAACCTGCTCTATAAAAGGGAATGTTCAACACTGGGACTTCAATCGAAACATCCCAACGAAGTTTCTTGAGAATGCTTCTGTCTAGGAGTTTATATGAAGCCATTCCCGTTTGCAACGAAATCCTCAAAGCTATCCAAATATCCTCTTGCAGATTTTACAAAAAGAGTGTTTCAAAACTGCTCTATCAAAAGAAAGGTTCAACTCTGTTAGTTGAGGGCACACATCACAAATAAATTTCTGAGAATGCTTCTGTCTAGTTTTTACGGGAAGATATTTCCTTTTTCACCATAGGCCTGAAAGCGCTCCAAATGTCCTCATCCAGATACTACAAAAAGAGTGTTTCCAACCTGCTCTATGAAAGGGAATGCTCAACTCTGTGACTTGAATGCAGACATCACAAAGAAGTTTCTGAGAATGCTGCTGTCTCCTTTGTATATGTAATCCCGTTTCCAACGAAATCCTCAAAGCTAGCCAAATATCCACTTGCAGATTCCACGAAAACAGTGTTTCAAAACTGCTCCTTCAAAACGATGGTTCAATTCTGTTAGTTGAGCAAACACATCACAAGTAAGTTTCTGAGAATGCTTCCGTCTAGTTTTTATGGGAAGATATTTCCTTTTTCAACATAGGCCTGAAAGCGCTCCAAATGTCCACTTCCAGATACTACAAAAAGAGTGTTTCAAATCTGCTCTATGAATGGGAATGTTCTACTCTGTGACTTGAATGCAACATCCCAAAGAAGTTTCTGAGAATGCTTCTGTCTAGAGTTTATCTGAAGACATACCCGTTTCCAACGAAATCCTCAAAGCTATCCAAATATCCTCTTGCAGATTCTACAAAAAGAGTGTTTCAAAGCTGCTCTTTGCAAAGAAAGGTTCAACTCTGTCAGTAGAGGGCACACATCATGAACAAGTTTCTGAGAATGCTTCTGTCTAGTTTTTATGGGAAGATATTTCCTTTTTCACGTTAGGCCTGAAAGCACGCCAAATGTTCACTTATAGACACTACAAAAAGAGTGTTTCAAACCTGCTCTGTGAAAGGGAATGTTCAACACTGTGACTTCAGTTGAAACATCCCAAAGAAGTTTCTGAGAATGCTTCTGTCTAGAGTTTATCTGAAGACATACCCGTTTCCAACGAAATCCTCAAAGCTATCCACATATCCTCTTGCAGATTCTACAAAAAGAGTGTTTCAAAGCTGCTCTTTGCAAAGAAAGGTTCAACTCTGTCAGTAGAGGGCACACATCACAAACAAGTTTCTGAGAATGCTTCTGTCTAGTTTTTATGGGAAGATATTTCCTTTTTCACCTTAGGCCTGAAAGCAATCCATATGTTCACTTACAGACACTACAAAAAGAGTGTTTCAAACCTGCTCTGTGAAAGGGAGTGTTCAATTCTGTGACTTGAATGCAAACATCACAAAGTAGTTTCTGACAATGCTGCTGTCTGCTTTTTATACGTATTCCCGTTTCCAACGAAATCCTCCAAGCTGGCCTAATACCCACTTGCATATTCCACAAAAAGAGTGTTTCAAAACTGCTCTCTCAAAAGAAAGGTTCAACTCTGTTTGCTGAGTAGATACATCATGAAAAAAGTTCTGACATTGCTTCTATCTAGTTTTTATTGGAAGATATCTCCTTTTTCACCGTAGACCTGAAAGCGCTCCAAATGTCCACTTCCAGATAGTACAAAAAGAGTGTTTCAAACCTGCTCTATGAATGGGAATGTTCAACACTGGGACTTCAATTGAAACATCCCAAAGCAGTTTCTGAGAATGCTTCTGTCTAGAGTTTACATGAAGACATTCCCGTTTCCAACGAAATCCTCAAAGCTATCCAAATATCCTCTTGCAGATTTTACAAAAAGTGTGTTTCAGAACTGCTCTATCAAAACAAAGGTTCAACACTGTCAGTTGAGTGCACACATCACAAATAAGTTTCTGAGAATGCTTCTGTCTAGTTTTCATGGGAAGATATTTCCTTTTTCACCATAGGCCTGAAAGCGATCCAAATGTCCTCATCCAGATACTACAAAAAGAGTGTTTCCAACCTGCTCTATGAAAGGGAATGCTCAACTCTGTGAATTGAATGCAGACATCACAAAGAAGTTTCTGAGAATGCTGCTGTCTCCTTTTTATATGTAATCCCGTTTCCAACGAAATCCTCAAAGCTAGCCAAATATCCACTTGCAGATTCCACGAAAACAGTGTTTCAAAACTGCTCCTTCAAAACGATGGTTCAATCCTGTTAGTTGAGCAAACACATCACAAATAAGTTTCTGAGAATGCTTCCGTCTAGTTTTTATGGGAAGATATTTCCTTTTTCAACATAGGCCTGAAAGCGCTCCAAATGTCCACTTCCAGATACTACAAAAAGAGTGTTTCAAATCTGCTCTATGAATGGGAATGTTCTACTCTGTGACTTGAATGCAACATCCCAAAGAAGTTTCTGAGAATGCTTCTGTCTAGAGTTTATCTGAAGACATACCCGTTTCCAACGAAATCCTCCAAGCTATCCAAATATCCTCTTGCAGATTCTACAAAAAGAGTGTTTCAAAGCTGCTCTTTGCAAAGAAAGGTTCAACTCTGTCAGTAGAGGGGACACATCAAGAACAAGTTTCTGAGAATGCTTCTGTCTAGTTTTTATGGGAAGATATTTCCTTTTTCACGTTAGGCCTGAAAGCACGCCAAATGTTCACTTATAGACACTACAAAAAGAGTGTTTCAAACCTGCTCTGTGAAAGGGAATGTTCAACACTGTGACTTCAATTGAAACATCCCAAAGAAGTTTCTGAGAATGCTTCTGTCTAGAGTTTATCTGAAGACATTCCCGTTTCCCAAGAAATCCTCAAAGCTATCCAAATATCCTCTTGCAGATTCTACAAAAAGAGTGTTTCAAAACTGCTCTTTGCAAAGAAAGGTTCAACTCTGTCAGTAGAGGGCACACATCAAGAACAAGTTTCTGAGAATGCTTCTGTCTAGTTTTTATGGGAAGATATTTCCTTTTTCACGTTACGCCTGAAAGCACGCCAAATGTTCACTTATAGACACTACAAAAAGAGAGTTTCAAACCTGCTCTGTGAAAGGGAGTGTTCAATTCTGTGACTTGAATGCAAACATCACAAAGTAGTTTCTGACAATGCTGCTGTCTGCTTTTTATACGTATTCCCGTTTCCAACGAAATCCTCCAAGCTGGCCTAATACCCACTTGCATATTCCACAAAAGGAGTGTTTCAAAACTGCTCTCTCAAAAGAAAGGTTCAACTCTGTTTGCTGAGTAGATACATCATGAAAAAAGTTCTGACATTGCTTCTATCTAGTTTTTATTGGAAGATATCTCCTTTTTCATCGTAGACCTGAAAGCGCTCCAAATGTCCACTTCCAGATAGTACAAAAAGAGTGTTTCAAACCTGCTCTATGAATGGGAATGTTCAACACTGGGACTTCAATTGAAACATCCCAAAGCAGTTTCTGAGAATGCTTCTGTCTAGAGTTTACATGAAGACATTCCCGTTTCCAACGAAATCCTCAAAGCTATCCAAATATCCTCTTGCAGATTTTACAAAAAGTGTGTTTCAGAACTGCTCTATCAAAACAAAGGTTCAACACTGTCAGTTGAGGGCACACATCACAAATAAGTTTCTGAGAATGCTTCTGTCTAGTTTTCATGGGAAGATATTTCCTTTTTCACCATAGGCCTGAAAGCGATCCAAATGTCCACATCCAGATACTACAAAAAGAGTGTTTCAAACCTGCTCTATGAAAGGGAATGTTCAACTCTGTGACTTGAATGCAAACATCACAAAGAAGTTTCTGAGAATGCTGCTGTCTGCTTTTTGTATGTAATCCCGTTTCCAACGAAATCCTCCCAGCTAGCCAAATATCCACTTGCAGATTCCGCAAAAAGAGTGTTTCAAAACTGCCCTTCAAAACGATGGTTTAGTTCTGTTAGTTGAGTACATACATCACAGATAAGTTTCTGAGAATGCTTCTGTCTAGTTTTTATGGGAGGATATTTCCTTTTTCAACACAAGCCTGAATGCGCTCCGAATGGACACTTCCAGATATGACAAAAGGCGTGTTTCAAACCTGCTCTCTCAAAGGGAATGTTCAACTCTGTGACTTCAATGCAAACATCACAAAGAAGTTTCTGAGAATGCTGCTGTCTGCTTTTTACATGTATTCCCGTTTCCAACGAAATCCTCAAAGCTGCCCTAATATCCACTTGCATATTCCACAAAAAGAGTGTTGCAAAACTGCTCTCTCAAAAGAAAGGTTCAACTCTGTTAGCTGAGTAGATCCATCACATAAAAGTTTCTGACATTGCTTCTATCCAGATTTTATTGGAAGATATTTCCATTTTCACCGTCGTCCTGAAAGCGCTCCAAATGTCCACTTCCAGGGAATGCAGAAAGAGTGTTTCCAACCTGCTCTATAAAAGGGAATGTTCAACACTGGGACTTCAATCGAAACATCCCGACGAAGTTTCTGAGAATGCTTCTGTCTAGAGTTTATATGAAGCCATTCCCGTTTGCAACGAAATCCTCAAAGCTATCCAAATATCCTCTTGCAGATTTTACAAAATGAGTGTTTCAAAACTGCTCTATCAAAAGAAAGGTTCAACTCTGTTAGTTGAGGGCACACATCACAAATAAACTTCTGAGAATGCTTCTGTCTAGTTTTTACGGGAAGATATTTCCTTTTTCACCATACGCCTGAAAGCGCTCCAAATGTCCTCATCCAGATACTACAAAAAGAGTGTTTCCAACCTGCTCTATGAAAGGGAATGCTCAACTCTGTGAATTGAATGCAGACATCACAAAGAAGTTTCTGAGAATGCTGCTGTCTCCTTTTTATATGTAATCCCGTTTCCAACGAAATCCTCAAAGCTAGCCAAATATCCACTTGCAGATTCCACGAAAACAGTGTTTCAAAACTGCTCCTTCAAAACGATGGTTCAATCCTGTTAGTTGAGCAAACACATCACAAATAAGTTTCTGAGAATGCTTCCGTCTAGTTTTTATGGGAAGATATTTCCTTTTTCAACATAGGCCTGAAAGCGCTCCAAATGTCCACTTCCAGATACTACAAAAAGAGTGTTTCAAATCTGCTCTATGAATGGGAATGTTCTACTCTGTGACTTGAATGCAACATCCCAAAGAAATTTCTGAGAATGCTTCTGTCTAGAGTATATCTGAAGACATACCCGTTTCCAACGAAATCCTCAAAGCTATCCAAATATCCTCTTGCAGATTCTACAAAAAGTGTGTTTCAAAGCTGCTCTTTGCAAAGAAAGGTTCAACTCTGTCAGTAGAGGGCACACATCACGAACAAGTTTCTGAGAATGCTTCTGTCTAGTTTTTATGGGAAGATATTTCCTTTTTCACGTTAGGCCTGAAAGCACGCCAAATGTTCACTTATAGACACTACAAAAAGAGTGTTTCAAACCTGCTCTGTGAAAGGGAATGTTCAACACTGTGACTTCAATTGAAACATCCCAAAGAAGTTTCTGAGAATGCTTCTGTCTAGAGTTTATCTGAAGACATTCCCGTTTCCCAAGAAATCCTCAAAGCTATCCAAATATCCTCTTGCAGATTCTACAAAAAGAGTGTTTCAAAACTGCTCTTTGCAAAGAAAGGTTCAACTCTGTCAGTAGAGGGCACACATCACAAACAAGTTTCTGAGAATGCTTCTGTCTAGTTTTTATGGGAAGATATTTCCTTTTTCACCTTAGGCCTGAAAGCAATCCATATGTTCACTTACAGACACTACAAAAAGAGTGTTTCAAACCTGCTCTGTGAAAGGGAGTGTTCAATTCTGTGACTTGAATGCAAACATCACAAAGTAGTTTCTGACAATGCTGCTGTCTGCTTTTTATACGTATTCCCGTTTCCAACGAAATCCTCCAAGCTGGCCTAATACCCACTTGCATATTCCACAAAAAGAGTGTTTCAAAACTGCTCTCTCAAAAGAAAGGTTCAACTCTGTTAGCTGAGTAGATACATCATGAAAAAAGTTCTGACATTGCTTCTATCTAGTTTTTATTGGAAGATATCTCCTTTTTCACCGTAGACCTGAAAGCGCTCCAAATGTCCACTTCCAGATAGTACAAAAAGAGTGTTTCAAACCTGCTCTATGAATGGGAATGTTCAACACTGGGACTTCAATTGAAACATCCCAAAGCAGTTTCTGAGAATGCTTCTGTGTAGAGTTTACATGAAGACATTCCCGTTTCCAACGAAATCCTCAAAGCTATCCAAATATCCTCTTGCAGATTTTACAAAAAGTGTGTTTCAGAACTGCTCTATCAAAACAAAGGTTCAACACTGTCAGTTGAGGGCACACATCACAAATAAGTTTCTGAGAATGCTTCTGTCTAGTTTTCATGGGAAGATATTTCCTTTTTCACCATAGGCCTGAAAGCGATCCAAATGTCCACATCCAGATACTACAAAAAGAGTGTTTCAAACCTGCTCTATGAAAGGGAATGTTCAACTCTGTGACTTGAATGCAAACATCACAAAGAAGTTTCTGAGAATGCTGCTGTCTGCTTTTTGTATGTAATCCCGTTTCCAACGAAATCCTCCCAGCTAGCCAAATATCCACTTGCAGATTCCGCAAAAAGAGTGTTTCAAAACTGCTCCTTCAAAACGATGGTTTAGTTCTGTTAGTTGAGTACATACATCACAGATAAGTTTCTGAGAATGCTTCTGTCTAGTTTT
Organism: Homo sapiens; assembly: GCF_000001405.40. Taxonomy (NCBI): domain Eukaryota; kingdom Metazoa; phylum Chordata; class Mammalia; order Primates; family Hominidae; genus Homo; species Homo sapiens. The sequence continues at coordinate 26,919,016 of NC_000020.11, read as the reverse complement.
TATGGGAGGATATTTCCTTTTTCAACACAAGCCTGAATGCGCTCCGAATGGACACTTCCAGATATGACAAAAGGCGTGTTTCAAACCTGCTCTCTCAAAGGGAATGTTCAACTCTGTGACTTCAATGCAAACATCACAAAGAAGTTTCTGAGAATGCTGCTGTCTGCTTTTTACATGTATTCCCGTTTCCAACGAAATCCTCAAAGCTGCCCTATTATCCACTTGCATATTCCACAAAAAGAGTGTTGCAAAACTGCTCTCTCAAAACAAAGGTTCAACTCTGTTAGCTGAGTAGATCCATCACAGAAAAGTTTCTGACATTGCTTCTATCTAGATTTTATTGGAAGATATTTCCATTTTCACCGTCGTCCTGAAAGCGCTCCAAATGTCCACTTCCAGGGAATGCAAAAAGAGTGTTTCCAACCTGCTCTATAAAAGGGAATGTTCAACACTGGGACTTCAATCGAAACATCCCAACGAAGTTTCTGAGAATGCTTCTGTCTAGAGTTTATATGAAGCCATTCCCGTTTGCAACGAAATCCTCAAAGCTATCCAAATATCCTCTTGCAGATTTTACAAAAAGAGTGTTTCAAAACTGCTCTATCAAAAGAAAGGTTCAACTCTGTTAGTTGAGGGCACACATCACAAATAAATTTCTGAGAATGCTTCTGTCTAGTTTTTACGGGAAGATATTTCCTTTTTCACCATACGCCTGAAAGCGCTCCAAATGTCCTCATCCAGATACTACAAAAAGAGTGTTTCAAACCTGCTCTATGAAAGGGAATGCTCAACTCTGTGACTTGAATGCAGACATCACAAAGAAGTTTCTGAGAATGCTGCTGTCTCCTTTTTATATGTAATCCCGTTTCCAACGAAATCCTCCAAGCTAGCCAAATATCCACTTGCAGATTCCACGAAAACAGTGTTTCAAAACTGCTCCTTCAAAACGATGGTTCAATTCTGTTAGTTGAGCAAACACATCACAAGTAAGTTTCTGAGAATGCTTCCGTCTAGTTTTTATGGGAAGATATTTCCTTTTTCATCATAGGCCTGAAAGCGCTCCAAATGTCCACTTTCAGATACTACAAAAAGAGTGTTTCAAATCTGCTCTATGAATGGGAATGTTCTACTCTGTGACTTGAATGCAACATCTCAAAGAAGTTTCTGAGAATGCTTCTGTCTAGAGTTTATCTGAAGACATACCCGTTTCCAACGAAATCCTCAAAGCTATCCAAATAGCCTCTTGCAGATTCTACAAAAAGAGTGTGTCAAAGCTGCTCTTTGCAAGGAAAGGTTCAACTCTGTCAGTAGAGGGCACACATCACAAACAAGTTTCTGAGAATGCTTCTGTCTAGTTTTTATGGGAAGATATTTCCTTTTTCACGTTACGCCTGAAAGCACGCCAAATGTTCACTTATAGACACTACAAAAAGAGTGTTTCATACCTGCTCTGTGAAAGGGAATGTTCAACACTGTGACTTCAATTGAAACATCCCAAAGAAGTTTCTGAGAATGCTTCTGTCTAGAGTTTATCTGAAGGCATTCCCGTTTCCCAAGAAATCCTCAAATCTATCCAAATATCTTCTTGCAGATTCTACAAAAAGAGTGTTTCAAAACTGCTCTTTGCAAAGAAAGGTTCAACTCTGTCAGTAGAGGGCACACATCACAAACAAGTTTCTGAGAATGCTTCTGTCTAGTTTTTATGGGAAGATATTTCCTTTTTCACCTTAGGCCTGAAAGCAATCCAAATGTTCACTTACAGACACTACAAAAAGAGTGTTTCAAACCTGCTCTGTGAAAGGGAGTGTTCAATTCTGTGACTTGAATGCAAACATCACAAAGTAGTTTCTGACAATGCTGCTGTCTGCTTTTTATACGTATTCCCGTTTCCAACGAAATCCTCCAAGCTGGCCTAATACCCACTTGCATATTCCACAAAAAGAGTGTTTCAAAACTGCTCTCTCAAAAGAAAGGTTCAACTCTGTTTGCTGAGTAGATACATCATGAAAAAAGTTCTGACATTGCTTCTATCTAGTTTTTATTGGAAGATATCTCCTTTTTCACCGTAGACCTGAAAGCGCTCCAAATGTCCACTTCCAGATAGTACAAAAAGAGTGTTTCAAACCTGCTCTATGAAAGGGAATGTTCAACACTGGGACTTCAATTGAAACATCCCAAAGCAGTTTCTGAGAATGCTTCTGTCTAGAGTTTACATGAAGACATTCCCGTTTCCAACGAAATCCTCAAAGCTATCCAAATATCCTCTTGCAGATTTTACAAAAAGTGTGTTTCAGAACTGCTCTATCAAAACAAAGGTTCAACACTGTCAGTTGAGGGCACACATCACAAATAAGTTTCTGAGAATGCTTCTGTCTAGTTTTCATGGGAAGATATTTCCTTTTTCACCATAGGCCTGAAAGCGATCCAAATGTCCACATCCAGATACTACAAAAAGAGTGTTTCAAACCTGCTCTATGAAAGGGAATGTTCAACTCTGTGACTTGAATGCAAACATCACAAAGAAGTTTCTGAGAATGCTGCTGTCTGCTTTTTGTATGTAATCCCGTTTCCAACGAAATCCTCCCAGCTAGCCAAATATCCACTTGCAGATTCCGCAAAAAGAGTGTTTCAAAACTGCTCCTTCAAAACGATGGTTTAGTTCTGTTAGTTGAGTACATACATCACAGATAAGTTTCTGAGAATGCTTCTGTCTAGTTTTTATGGGAGGATATTTCCTTTTTCAACACAAGCCTGAATGCGCTCCGAATGGACACTTCCAGATATGACAAAAGGCGTGTTTCAAACCTGCTCTCTCAAAGGGAATGTTCAACTCTGTGACTTCAATGCAAACATCACAAAGAAGTTTCTGAGAATGCTGCTGTCTGCTTTTTACATGTATTCCCGTTTCCAACGAAATCCTCAAAGCTGCCCTAATATCCACTTGCATATTCCACAAAAAGAGTGTTGCAAAACTGCTCTCTCAAAAGAAAGGTTCAACTCTGTTAGCTGAGTAGATCCATCACATAAAAGTTTCTGACATTGCTTCTATCTAGATTTTCTTGGAAGATATTTCCATTTTCACCGTCGTCCTGAAAGCGCTCCAAATGTCCACTTCCAGGGAATGCAGAAAGAGTGTTTCCAACCTGCTCTATAAAAGGGAATGTTCAACACTGGGACTTCAATCGAAACATCCCAACGAAGTTTCTGAGAATGCTTCTGTCTAGAGTTTATATGAAGCCATTCCCGTTTGCAACGAAATCCTCAAAGCTATCCAAATATCCTCTTGCAGATTTTACAAAAAGAGTGTTTCAAAACTGCTCTATCAAAAGAAAGGTTCAACTCTGTTAGTTGAGGGCACACATCACAAATAAACTTCTGAGAATGCTTCTGTCTAGTTTTTACGGGAAGATATTTCCTTTTTCACCATACGCCTGAAAGCGCTCCAAATGTCCTCATCCAGATACTACAAAAAGAGTGTTTCCAACCTGCTCTATGAAAGGGAATGCTCAACTCTGTGAATTGAATGCAGACATCACAAAGAAGTTTCTGAGAATGCTGCTGTCTCCTTTGTATATGTAATCCCGTTTCCAACGAAATCCTCAAAGCTAGCCAAATATCCACTTGCAGATTCCATGAAAACAGTGTTTCAAAACTGCTCCTTCAAAACGATGGTTCAATCCTGTTAGTTGAGCAAACACATCACAAATAAGTTTCTGAGAATGCTTCCGTCTAGTTTTTATGGGAAGATATTTCCTTTTTCAACATAGGCCTGAAAGCGCTCCAAATGTCCACTTCCAGATACTACAAAAAGAGTGTTTCAAATCTGCTCTATGAATGGGAATGTTCTACTCTGTGACTTGAATGCAACATCCCAAAGAAGTTTCTGAGAATGCTTCTGTCTAGAGTTTATCTGAAGACATACCCGTTTCCAACGAAATCCTCAAAGCTATCCAAATATCCTCTTGCAGATTCTACAAAAAGTGTGTTTCAAAGCTGCTCTTTGCAAAGAAAGGTTCAACTCTGTCAGTAGAGGGCACACATCACGAACAAGTTTCTGAGAATGCTTCTGTCTAGTTTTTATGGGAAGATATTTCCTTTTTCACGTTAGGCCTGAAAGCATGCCAAATGTTCACTTATAGACACTACAAAAAGAGTGTTTCAAACCTGCTCTGTGAAAGGGAATGTTCAACACTGTGACTTCAATTGAAACATCCCAAAGAAGTTTCTGAGAATGCTTCTGTCTAGAGTTTATCTGAAGACATTCCCGTTTCCCAAGAAATCCTCAAAGCTATCCAAATATCCTCTTGCAGATTCTACAAAAAGAGTGTTTCAAAACTGCTCTTTGCAAAGAAAGGTTCAACTCTGTCAGTAGAGGGCACACATCACAAACAAGTTTCTGAGAATGCTTCTGTCTAGTTTTTATGGGAAGATATTTCCTTTTTCACCTTAGGCCTGAAAGCAATCCAAATGTTCACTTACAGACACTACAAAAAGAGTGTTTCAAACCTGCTCTGTGAAAGGGAGTGTTCAATTCTGTGACTTGAATGCAAACATCACAAAGTAGTTTCTGACAATGCTGCTGTCTGCTTTTTATACGTATTCCCGTTTCCAACGAAATCCTCCAAGCTGGCCTAATACCCACTTGCATATTCCACAAAGACTGTGTCAAAACTGCTCTCTCAAAAGAAAGGTTCAACTCTGTTTGCTGAGTAGATACATCATGAAAAAAGTTCTGACATTGCTTCTATCTAGTTTTTATTGGAAGATATCTCCTTTTTCACCGTAGACCTGAAAGCGCTCCAAATGTCCACTTCCAGATAGTACAAAAAGAGTGTTTCAAACCTGCTCTATGAATGGGAATGTTCAACACTGGGACTTCAATTGAAACATCCCAAAGCAGTTTCTGAGAATGCTTCTGTCTAGAGTTTACATGAAGACATTCCCGTTTCCAACGAAATCCTCAAAGCTATCCAAATATCCTCTTGCAGATTTTACAAAAAGTGTGTTTCAGAACTGCTCTATCAAAACAAAGGTTCAACACTGTCAGTTGAGGGCACACATCACAAATAAGTTTCTGAGAATGCTTCTGTCTAGTTTTCATGGGAAGATATTTCCTTTTTCACCATAGGCCTGAAAGCGATCCAAATGTCCACATCCAGATACTACAAAAAGAGTGTTTCAAACCTGCTCTATGAAAGGGAATGTTCAACTCTGTGACTTGAATGCAAACATCACAAAGAAGTTTCTGAGAATGCTGCTGTCTGCTTTTTGTATGTAATCCCGTTTCCAACGAAATCCTCCCAGCTAGCCAAATATCCACTTGCAGATTCCGCAAAAAGAGTGTTTCAAAACTGCTCCTTCAAAAGGTTGGTTTAGTTCTGTTAGTTGAGTACATACATCACAGATAAGTTTCTGAGAATGCTTCTGTCTAGTTTTTATGGGAGGATATTTCCTTTTTCAACACAAGCCTGAATGCGCTCCGAATGGACACTTCCAGATATGACAAAAGGCGTGTTTCAAACCTGCTCTCTCAAAGGGAATGTTCAACTCTGTGACTTCAATGCAAACATCACAAAGAAGTTTCTGAGAATGCTGCTGTCTGCTTTTTACATGTATTCCCGTTTCCAACGAAATCCTCAAAGCTGCCCTAATATCCACTTGCATATTCCACAAAAAGAGTGTTGCAAAACTGCTCTCTCAAAAGAAAGGTTCAACTCTGTTAGCTGAGTAGATCCATCACATAAAAGTTTCTGACATTGCTTCTATCTAGATTTTCTTGGAAGATATTTCCATTTTCACCGTCGTCCTGAAAGCGCTCCAAATGTCCACTTCCAGGGAATGCAGAAAGAGTGTTTCCAACCTGCTCTATAAAAGGGAATGTTCAACACTGGGACTTCAATCGAAACATCCCAACGAAGTTTCTGAGAATGCTTCTGTCTAGAGTTTATATGAAGCCATTCCCGTTTGCAACGAAATCCTCAAAGCTATCCAAATATCCTCTTGCAGATTTTACAAAAAGAGTGTTTCAAAACTGCTCTATCAAAAGAAAGGTTCAACTCTGTTAGTTGAGGGCACACATCACAAATAAACTTCTGAGAATGCTTCTGTCTAGTTTTTACGGGAAGATATTTCCTTTCTCACCATACGCCTGAAAGCGCTCCAAATGTCCTCATCCAGATACTACAAAAAGAGTGTTTCCAACCTGCTCTATGAAAGGGAATGCTCAACTCTGTGAATTGAATGCAGACATCACAAAGAAGTTTCTGAGAATGCTGCTGTCTCCTTTGTATATGTAATCCCGTTTCCAACGAAATCCTCAAAGCTAGCCAAATATCCACTTGCAGATTCCACGAAAACAGTGTTTCAAAACTGCTCCTTCAAAACGATGGTTCAATCCTGTTAGTTGAGCAAACACATCACAAATAAGTTTCTGAGAATGCTTCCGTCTAGTTTTTATGGGAAGATATTTCCTTTTTCAACATAGGCCTGAAAGCGCTCCAAATGTCCACTTCCAGATACTACAAAAAGAGTGTTTCAAATCTGCTCTATGAATGGGAATGTTCTACTCTGTGACTTGAATGCAACATCCCAAAGAAGTTTCTGAGAATGCTTCTGTCTAGAGTTTATCTGAAGACATACCCGTTTCCAACGAAATCCTCAAAGCTATCCAAATATCCTCTTGCAGATTCTACAAAAAGTGTGTTTCAAAGCTGCTCTTTGCAAAGAAAGGTTCAACTCTGTCAGTAGAGGGCACACATCACGAACAAGTTTCTGAGAATGCTTCTGTCTAGTTTTTATGGGAAGATATTTCCTTTTTCACGTTAGGCCTGAAAGCACGCCAAATGTTCACTTATAGACACTACAAAAAGAGTGTTTCAAACCTGCTCTGTGAAAGGGAATGTTCAACACTGTGACTTCAATTGAAACATCCCAAAGAAGTTTCTGAGAATGCTTCTGTCTAGAGTTTATCTGAAGACATTCCCGTTTCCCAAGAAATCCTCAAAGCTATCCAAATATCCTCTTGCAGATTCTACAAAAAGAGTGTTTCAAAACTGCTCTTTGCAAAGAAAGGTTCAACTCTGTCAGTAGAGGGCACACATCACAAACAAGTTTCTGAGAATGCTTCTGTCTAGTTTTTATGGGAAGATATTTCCTTTTTCACCTTAGGCCTGAAAGCAATCCAAATGTTCACTTACAGACACTACAAAAAGAGTGTTTCAAACCTGCTCTGTGAAAGGGAGTGTTCAATTCTGTGACTTGAATGCAAACATCACAAAGTAGTTTCTGACAATGCTGCTGTCTGCTTTTTATACGTATTCCCGTTTCCAACGAAATCCTCCAAGCTGGCCTAATACCCACTTTCATATTCCACAAAAAGAGTGTTTCAAAACTGCTCTCTCAAAAGAAAGGTTCAACTCTGTTTGCTGAGTAGATACATCATGAAAAAAGTTCTGACATTGCTTCTATCTAGTTTTTATTGGAAGATATCTCCTTTTTCACCGTAGACCTGAAAGCGCTCCAAATGTCCACTTCCAGATAGTACAAAAAGAGTGTTTCAAACCTGCTCTATGAATGGGAATGTTCAACACTGGGACTTCAATTGAAACATCCCAAAGCAGTTTCTGAGAATGCTTCTGTGTAGAGTTTACATGAAGACATTCCCGTTTCCAACGAAATCCTCAAAGCTATCCAAATATCCTCTTGCAGATTTTACAAAAAGTGTGTTTCAGAACTGCTCTATCAAAACAAAGGTTCAACACTGTCAGTTGAGGGCACACATCACAAATAAGTTTCTGAGAATGCTTCTGTCTAGTTTTCATGGGAAGATATTTCCTTTTTCACCATAGGCCTGAAAGCGATCCAAATGTCCACATCCAGATACTACAAAAAGAGTGTTTCAAACCTGCTCTATGAAAGGGAATGTTCAACTCTGTGACTTGAATGCAAACATCACAAAGAAGTTTCTGAGAATGCTGCTGTCTGCTTTTTGTATGTAATCCCGTTTCCAACGAAATCCTCCCAGCTAGCCAAATATCCACTTGCAGATTCCGCAAAAAGAGTGTTTCAAAACTGCTCCTTCAAAACGATGGTTTAGTTCTGTTAGTTGAGTACATACATCACAGATAAGTTTCTGAGAATGCTTCTGTCTAGTTTTTATGGGAGGATATTTCCTTTTTCAACACAAGCCTGAATGCGCTCCGAATGGACACTTCCAGATATGACAAAAGGCGTGTTTCAAACCTGCTCTCTCAAAGGGAATGTTCAACTCTGTGACTTCAATGCAAACATCACAAAGAAGTTTCTGAGAATGCTGCTGTCTGCTTTTTACATGTATTCCCGTTTCCAACGAAATCCTCAAAGCTGCCCTAATATCCACTTGCATATTCCACAAAAAGAGTGTTGCAAAACTGCTCTCTCAAAAGAAAGGTTCAACTCTGTTAGCTGAGTAGATCCATCACAGAAAAGTTTCTGACGTTGCTTCTATCTAGATTTTCTTGGAAGATATTTCCATTTTCACCGTCGTCCTGAAAGCGCTCCAAATGTCCACTTCCAGGGAATGCAGAAAGAGTGTTTCCAACCTGCTCTATAAAAGGGAATGTTCAACACTGGGACTTCAATCGAAACATCCCAACGAAGTTTCTGAGAATGCTTCTGTCTAGAGTTTATATGAAGCCATTCCCGTTTGCAACGAAATCCTCAAAGCTATCCAAATATCCTCTTGCAGATTTTACAAAAAGAGTGTTTCAAAACTGCTCTATCAAAAGAAAGGTTCAACTCTGTTAGTTGAGGGCACACATCACAAATAAACTTCTGAGAATGCTTCTGTCTAGTTTTTACGGGAAGATATTTCCTTTTTCACCATAGGCCTGAAAGCGCTCCAAATGTCCTCATCCAGATACTACAAAAAGAGTGTTTCCAACCTGCTCTATGAAAGGGAATGCTCAACTCTGTGAATTGAATGCAGACATCACAAAGAAGTTTGCTGAGAATGCTGCTGTCTCCTTTTTATATGTAATCCCGTTTCCAACGAAATCCTCAAAGCTAGCCAAATATCCACTTGCAGATTCCATGAAAACAGTGTTTCAAAACTGCTCCTTCAAAACGATGGTTCAATCCTGTTAGTTGAGCAAACACATCACAAATAAGTTTCTGAGAATGCTTCCGTCTAGTTTTTATGGGAAGATATTTCCTTTTTCAACATAGGCCTGAAAGCGCTCCAAATGTCCACTTCCAGATACTACAAAAAGAGTGTTTCAAATCTGCTCTATGAATGGGAATGTTCTACTCTGTGACTTGAATGCAACATCCCAAAGAAGTTTCTGAGAATGCTTCTGTCTAGAGTTTATCTGAAGACATACCCGTTTCCAACGAAATCCTCCAAGCTATCCAAATATCCTCTTGCAGATTCTACAAAAAGTGTGTTTCAAAGCTGCTCTTTGCAAAGAAAGGTTCAACTCTGTCAGTAGAGGGCACACATCACGAACAAGTTTCTGAGAATGCTTCTGTCTGGTTTTTATGGGAAGATATTTCCTTTTTCACGTTACGCCTGAAAGCACGCCAAATGTTCACTTATAGACACTACAAAAAGAGTGTTTCAAACCTGCTCTGTGAAAGGGAATGTTCAACACTGTGACTTCAATTGAAACATCCCAAAGAAGTTTCTGAGAATGCTTCTGTCTAGAGTTTATCTGAAGACATTCCCGTTTCCCAAGAAATCTTCAAAGCTATCCAAATATCCTCTTGCAGATTCTACAAAAAGAGTGTTTCAAAACTGCTCTTTGCAAAGAAAGGTTCAACTCTGTCAGTAGAGGGCACACATCACAAACAAGTTTCTGAGAATGCTTCTGTCTAGTTTTTATGGGAAGATATTTCCTTTTTCACCTTAGGCCTGAAAGCAATCCATATGTTCACTTACAGACACTACAAAAAGAGTGTTTCAAACCTGCTCTGTGAAAGGGAGTGTTCAATTCTGTGACTTGAATGCAAACATCACAAAGTAGTTTCTGACAATGCTGCTGTCTGCTTTTTATACGTATTCCCGTTTCCAACGAAATCCTCCAAGCTGGCCTAATACCCACTTGCATATTCCACAAAAAGAGTGTTTCAAAACTGCTCTCTCAAAAGAAAGGTTCAACTCTGTTAGCTGAGTAGATACATCATGAAAAAAGTTCTGACATTGCTTCTATCTAGTTTTTATTGGAAGATATCTCCTTTTTCACCGTAGACCTGAAAGCGCTCCAAATGTCCACTTCCAGATAGTACAAAAAGTGTGTTTCAAACCTGCTCTATGAATGGGAATGTTCAACACTGGGACTTCAATTGAAACATCCCAAAGCAGTTTCTGAGAATGCTTCTGTGTAGAGTTTACATGAAGACATTCCCGTTTCCAACGAAATCCTCAAAGCTATCCAAATATCCTCTTGCAGATTTTACAAAAAGTGTTTTTCAGAACTGCTCTATCAAAACAAAGGTTCAACACTGTCAGTTGAGGGCACACATCACAAATAAGTTTCTGAGAATGCTTCTGTCTAGTTTTCATGGGAAGATATTTCCTTTTTCACCATAGGCCTGAAAGCGATCCAAATGTCCACATCCAGATACTACAAAAAGAGTGTTTCAAACCTGCTCTATGAAAGGGAATGTTCAACTCTGTGACTTGAATGCAAACATCACAAAGAAGTTTCTGAGAATGCTGCTGTCTGCTTTTTGTATGTAATCCCGTTTCCAACGAAATCCTCCCAGCTAGCCAAATATCCACTTGCAGATTCCGCAAAAAGAGTGTTTCAAAACTGCTCCTTCAAAACGATGGTTTAGTTCTGTTAGTTGAGTACATACATCACAGATATGTTTCTGAGAATGCTTCTGTCTAGTTTTTATGGGAGGATATTTCCTTTTTCAACACAAGCCTGAATGCGCTCCGAATGGACACTTCCAGATATGACAAAAGGCGTGTTTCAAACCTGCTCTCTCAAAGGGAATGTTCAACTCTGTGACTTCAATGCAAACATCACAAAGAAGTTTCTGAGAATGCTGCTGTCTGCTTTTTACATGTATTCCCGTTTCCAACGAAATCCTCAAAGCTGCCCTAATATCCACTTGCATATTCCACAAAAAGAGTGTTGCAAAACTGCTCTCTCAAAAGAAAGGTTCAACTCTGTTAGCTGAGTAGATCCATCACAGAAAAGTTTCTGACGTTGCTTCTATCTAGATTTTCTTGGAAGATATTTCCATTTTCACCGTCGTCCTGAAAGCGCTCCAAATGTCCACTTCCAGGGAATGCAGAAAGAGTGTTTCCAACCTGCTCTATAAAAGGGAATGTTCAACACTGGGACTTCAATCGAAACATCCCAACGAAGTTTCTGAGAATGCTTCTGTCTAGAGTTTATATGAAGCCATTCCCGTTTGCAACGAAATCCTCAAAGCTATCCAAATATCCTCTTGCAGATTTTACAAAAAGAGTGTTTCAAAACTGCTCTATCAAAAGAAAGGTTCAACTCTGTTAGTTGAGGGCACACATCACAAATAAATTTCTGAGAATGCTTCTGTCTAGTTTTTACGGGAAGATATTTCCTTTTTCACCATACGCCTGAAAGCGCTCCAAATGTCCTCATCCAGATACTACAAAAAGAGTGTTTCCAACCTGCTCTATGAAAGGGAATGCTCAACTGCTGTGAATTGAATGCAGACATCACAAAGAAGTTTACTGAGAATGCTGGCTGTCTCCTTTTTATATGTAATCCCGTTTCCAACGAAATCCTCAAAGCTAGCCAAATATCCACTTGCAGATTCCACGAAAACAGTGTTTCAAAACTGCTCCTTCAAAACGATGGTTCAATTCTGTTAGTTGAGCAAACACATCACAAGTAAGTTTCTGAGAATGCTTCCGTCTAGTTTTTATGGGAAGATATTTCCTTTTTCAACATAGGCCTGAAAGCGCTCCAAATGTCCACTTCCAGATACTACAAAAAGAGTGTTTCAAATCTGCTCTATGAATGGGAATGTTCTACTCTGTGACTTGAATGCAACATCCCAAAGAAGTTTCTGAGAATGCTTCTGTCTAGAGTTTATCTGAAGACATACTCGTTTCCAACGAAATCCTCCAAGCTATCCAAATATCCTCTTGCAGATTCTACAAAAAGTGTGTTTCAAAGCTGCTCTTTGCAAAGAAATGTTCAACTCTGTCTGTAGAGGGCACACATCACGAACAAGTTTCTGAGAATGCTTCTGTCTAGTTTTTATGGGAAGATATTTCCTTTTTCACGTTAGGCCTGAAAGCACGCCAAATGTTCACTTATAGACACTACAAAAAGAGTGTTTCAAACCTGCTCTGTGAAAGGGAATGTTCAACACTGTGACTTCAATTGAAACATCCCAAAGAAGTTTCTGAGAATGCTTCTGTCTAGAGTTTATCTGAAGACATTCCCGTTTCCCAAGAAATCTTCAAAGCTATCCAAATATCCTCTTGCAGATTCTACAAAAAGAGTGTTTCAAAACTGCTCTTTGCAAAGAAAGGTTCAACTCTGTCAGTAGAGGGCACACATCACAAACAAGTTTCTGAGAATGCTCTGTCTAGTTTTTATGGGAAGATATTTCCTTTTTCACCTTAGGCCTGAAAGCAATCCAAATGTTCACTTACAGACACTACAAAAAGAGTGTTTCAAACCTGCTCTGTGAAAGGGAGTGTTCAATTCTGTGACTTGAATGCAAACATCACAAAGTAGTTTCTGACAATGCTGGCTGTCTGCTTTTTATACGTATTCCCGTTTCCAACGAAATCCTCCAAGCTGGCCTAATACCCACTTGCATATTCCACAAAAAGAGTGTTTCAAAACTGCTCTCTCAAAAGAAAGGTTCAACTCTGTTTGCTGAGTAGATACATCATGAAAAAAGTTCTGACATTGCTTCTATCTAGTTTTTATTGGAAGATATCTCCTTTTTCACCGTAGACCTGAAAGCGCTCCAAATGTCCACTTCCAGATAGTACAAAAAGAGTGTTTCAAACCTGCTCTATGAATGGGAATGTTCAACACTGGGACTTCAATTGAAACATCCCAAAGCAGTTTCTGAGAATGCTTCTGTCCAGAGTTTACATGAAGACATTCCCGTTTCCAACGAAATCCTCAAAGCTATCCAAATATCCTCTTGCAGATTTTACAAAAAGTGTGTTTCAGAACTGCTCTATCAAAACAAAGGTTCAACACTGTCAGTTGAGGGCACACATCGCAAATAAGTTTCTGAGAATGCTTCTGTCTAGTTTTCATGGGAAGATATTTCCTTTTTCACCATAGGCCTGAAAGCGATCCAAATGTCCACATCCAGATACTACAAAAAGAGTGTTTCAAACCTGCTCTATGAAAGGGAATGTTCAACTCTGTGACTTGAATGCAAACATCACAAAGAAGTTTCTGAGAATGCTGCTGTCTGCTTTTTGTATGTAATCCCGTTTCCAACGAAATCCTCCCAGCTAGCCAAATATCCACTTGCAGATTCCGCAAAAAGAGTGTTTCAAAACTGCTCCTTCAAAACGATGGTTTAGTTCTGTTAGTTGAGTACATACATCACAGATAAGTTTCTGAGAATGCTTCTGTCTAGTTTTTATGGGAGGATATTTCCTTTTTCAACACAAGCCTGAATGCGCTCCGAATGGACACTTCCAGATATGACAAAAGGCGTGTTTCAAACCTGCTCTCTCAAAGGGAATGTTCAACTCTGTGACTTCAATGCAAACATCACAAAGAAGTTTCTGAGAATGCTGCTGTCTGCTTTTTACATGTATTCCCGTTTCCAACGAAATCCTCAAAGCTGCCCTAATATCCACTTGCATATTCCACAAAAAGAGTGTTGCAAAACTGCTCTCTCAAAAGAAAGGTTCAACTCTGTTAGCTGAGTAGATCCATCACATAAAAGTTTCTGACGTTGCTTCTATCTAGATTTTATTGGAAGATATTTCCATTTTCACCGTCGTCCTGAAAGCGCTCCAAATGTCCACTTCCAGGGAATGCAGAAAGAGTGTTTCCAACCTGCTCTATAAAAGGGAATGTTCAACACTGGGACTTCAATCGAAACATCCCAACGAAGTTTCTGAGAATGCTTCTGTCTAGAGTTTATATGAAGCCATTCCCGTTTGCAATGAAATCCTCAAAGCTATCCAAATATCCTCTTGCAGATTTTACAAAAAGAGTGTTTCAAAACTGCTCTATCAAAAGAAAGGTTCAACTCTGTTAGTTGAGGGCACACATCACAAATAAATTTCTGAGAATGCTTCTGTCTAGTTTTTACGGGAAGATATTTCCTTTTTCACCATAGGCCTGAAAGCGCTCCAAATGTCCTCATCCAGATACTACAAAAAGAGTGTTTCCAACCTGCTCTATGAAAGGGAATGCTCAACTCTGTGAATTGAATGCAGACATCACAAAGAAGTTTCTGAGAATGCTGCTGTCTCCTTTTTATATGTAATCCCGTTTCCAACGAAATCCTCAAAGCTAGCCAAATATCCACTTGCAGATTCCACGAAAACAGTGTTTCAAAACTGCTCCTTCAAAACGATGGTTCAATTCTGTTAGTTGAGCAAACACATCACAAGTAAGTTTCTGAGAATGCTTCCGTCTAGTTTTTATGGGAAGATATATCCTTTTTCAACATAGGCCTGAAAGCGTTCCAAATGTCCACTTCCAGATACTACAAAAGAGTGTTTCAAATCTGCTCTATGAATGGGAATGTTCTACTCTGTGACTTGAATGCAACATCCCAAAGAAGTTTCTGAGAATGCTTCTGTCTAGAGTTTATCTGAAGACATACCCGTTTCCAACGAAATCCTCAAAGCTATCCAAATATCCTCTTGCAGATTCTACAAAAAGAGTGTTTCAAAGCTGCTCTTTGCAAAGAAAGGTTCAACTCTGTCAGTAGAGGGCACACATCACGAACAAGTTTCTGAGAATGCTTCTGTCTAGTTTTTATGGGAAGATATTTCCTTTTTCACGTTAGGCCTGAAAGCACGCCAAATGTTCACTTATAGACACTACAAAAAGAGTGTTTCAAACCTGCTCTGTGAAAAGGAATGTTCAACACTGTGACTTCAATTGAAACATCCCAAAGAAGTTTCTGAGAATGCTTCTGTCTAGAGTTTATCTGAAGACATTCCCGTTTCCCAAGAAATCCTCAAAGCTATCCAAATATCCTCTTGCAGATTCTACAAAAAGAGTGTTTCAAAACTGCTCTTTGCAAAGAAAGGTTCAACTCTGTCAGTAGAGGGCACACATCACAAACAAGTTTGCTGAGAATGCTTTCTGTCTAGTTTTTATGGGAAGATATTTCCTTTTTCACCTTAGGCCTGAAAGCAATCCAAATGTACACTTACAGACACTACAAAAAGAGTGTTTCAAACCTGCTCTGTGAAAGGGAGTGTTCAATTCTGTGACTTGAATGCAAACATCACAAAGTAGTTTCTGACAATGCTGCTGTCTGCTTTTTATACGTATTCCCGTTTCCAACGAAATCCTCCAAGCTGGCCTAATACCCACTTGCATATTCCACAAAAATAGTGTTTCAAAACTGCTCCCTCAAAAGAAAGGTTCAACTCTGTTTGCTGAGTAGATACATCATGAAAAAAGTTCTGACATTGCTTCTATCTAGTTTTTATTGGAAGATATCTCCTTTTTCACCGTAGACCTGAAAGCGCTCCAAATGTCCACTTCCAGATAGTACAAAAAGAGTGTTTCAAACCTGCTCTATGAATGGGAATGTTCAACACTGGGACTTCAATTGAAACATCCCAAAGCAGTTTCTGAGAATGCTTCTGTGTAGAGTTTACATGAAGACATTCCCGTTTCCAACGAAATCCTCAAAGCTATCCAAATATCCTCTTGCAGATTTTACAAAAAGTGTGTTTCAGAACTGCTCTATCAAAACAAAGGTTCAACACTGTCAGTTGAGGGCACACATCACAAATAAGTTTCTGAGAATGCTTCTGTCTAGTTTTCATGGGAAGATATTTCCTTTTTCACCATAGGCCTGAAAGCGATCCAAATGTCCACATCCAGATACTACAAAAAGAGTGTTTCAAACCTGCTCTATGAAAGGGAATGTTCAACTCTGTGACTTGAATGCAAACATCACAAAGAAGTTTCTGAGAATGCTGCTGTCTGCTTTTTGTATGTAATCCCGTTTCCAACGAAATCCTCCCAGCTAGCCAAATATCCACTTGCAGATTCCGCAAAAAGAGTGTTTCAAAACTGCTCCTTCAAAAGGATGGTTTAGTTCTGTTAGTTGAGTACATACATCACAGATAAGTTTCTGAGAATGCTTCTGTCTAGTTTTTATGGGAGGATATTTCCTTTTTCAACACAAGCCTGAATGCGCTCCGAATGGACACTTCCAGATATGACAAAAGGCGTGTTTCAAACCTGCTCTCTCAAAGGGAATGTTCAACTCTGTGACTTCAATGCAAACATCACAAAGAAGTTTCTGAGAATGCTGCTGTCTGCTTTTTACATGTATTCCCGTTTCCAACGAAATCCTCAAAGCTGCCCTAATATCCACTTGCATATTCCACAAAAAGAGTGTTGCAAAACTGCTCTCTCAAAAGAAAGGTTCAACTCTGTTAGCTGAGTAGATCCATCACATAAAAGTTTCTGACATTGCTTCTATCTAGATTTTCTTGGAAGATATTTCCATTTTCACCGTCGTCCTGAAAGCGCTCCAAATGTCCACTTCCAGGGAATGCAGAAAGAGTGTTTCCAACCTGCTCTATAAAAGGGAATGTTCAACACTGGGACTTCAATCGAAACATCCCAACGAAGTTTCTGAGAATGCTTCTGTCTAGAGTTTATATGAAGCCATTCCCGTTTGCAACGAAATCCTCAAAGCTATCCAAATATCCTCTTGCAGATTTTACAAAAAGAGTGTTTCAAAACTGCTCTATCAAAAGAAAGGTTCAACTCTGTTAGTTGAGGGCACACATCACAAATAAACTTCTGAGAATGCTTCTGTCTAGTTTTTACGGGAAGATATTTCCTTTTTCACCATACGCCTGAAAGCGCTCCAAATGTCCTCATCCAGATACTACAAAAAGAGTGTTTCCAACCTGCTCTATGAAAGGGAATGCTCAACTCTGTGAATTGAATGCAGACATCACAAAGAAGTTTCTGAGAATGCTGCTGTCTCCTTTTTATATGTAATCCCGTTTCCAACGAAATCCTCAAAGCTAGCCAAATATCCACTTGCAGATTCCATGAAAACAGTGTTTCAAAACTGCTCCTTCAAAACGATGGTTCAATCCTGTTAGTTGAGCAAACACATCACAAATAAGTTTCTGAGAATGCTTCCGTCTAGTTTTTATGGGAAGATATTTCCTTTTTCAACATAGGCCTGAAAGCGCTCCAAATGTCCACTTCCAGATACTACAAAAAGAGTGTTTCAAATCTGCTCTATGAATGGGAATGTTCTACTCTGTGACTTGAATGCAACATCCCAAAGAAGTTTCTGAGAATGCTTCTGTCTAGAGTTTATCTGAAGACATACCCGTTTCCAACGAAATCCTCCAAGCTATCCAAATATCCTCTTGCAGATTCTACAAAAAGAGTGTTTCAAAGCTGCTCTTTGCAAAGAAAGGTTCAACTCTGTCAGTAGAGGGCACACATCATGAACAAGTTTCTGAGAATGCTTCTGTCTAGTTTTTATGGGAAGATATTTCCTTTTTCACGTTAGGCCTGAAAGCACGCCAAATGTTCACTTATAGACACTACAAAAAGAGTGTTTCAAACCTGCTCTGTGAAAGGGAATGTTCAACACTGTGACTTCAATTGAAACATCCCAAAGAAGTTTCTGAGAATGCTTCTGTCTAGAGTTTATCTGAAGACATTCCCGTTTCCCAGGAAATCCTCAAAGCTATCCAAATATCCTCTTGCAGATTCTACAAAAAGAGTGTTTCAAAACTGCTCTTTGCAAAGAAAGGTTCAACTCTGTCAGTAGAGGGCACACATCACAAACAAGTTTCTGAGAATGCTTCTGTCTAGTTTTTATGGGAAGATATTTCCTTTTTCACCTTAGGCCTGAAAGCAATCCAAATGTTCACTTACAGACACTACAAAAAGAGTGTTTCAAACCTGCTCTGTGAAAGGGAGTGTTCAATTCTGTGACTTGAATGCAAACATCACAAAGTAGTTTCTGACAATGCTGCTGTCTGCTTTTTATACGTATTCCCGTTTCCAACGAAATCCTCCAAGCTGGCCTAATACCCACTTGCATATTCCACAAAAAGAGTGTTTCAAAACTGCTCTCTCAAAAGAAAGGTTCAACTCTGTTAGCTGAGTAGATACATCATGAAAAAAGTTCTGACATTGCTTCTATCTAGTTTTTATTGGAAGATATCTCCTTTTTCACCGTAGACCTGAAAGCGCTCCAAATGTCCACTTCCAGATAGTACAAAAAGAGTGTTTCAAACCTGCTCTATGAATGGGAATGTTCAACACTGGGACTTCAATTGAAACATCCCAAAGCAGTTTCTGAGAATGCTTCTGTGTAGAGTTTACATGAAGACATTCCCGTTTCCAACGAAATCCTCAAAGCTATCCAAATATCCTCTTGCAGATTTTACAAAAAGTGTGTTTCAGAACTGCTCTATCAAAACAAAGGTTCAACACTGTCAGTTGAGGGCACACATCACAAATAAGTTTCTGAGAATGCTTCTGTCTAGTTTTCATGGGAAGATATTTCCTTTTTCACCATAGGCCTGAAAGCGATCCAAATGTCCACATCCAGATACTACAAAAAGAGTGTTTCAAACCTGCTCTATGAAAGGGAATGTTCAACTCTGTGACTTGAATGCAAACATCACAAAGAAGTTTCTGAGAATGCTGCTGTCTGCTTTTTGTATGTAATCCCGTTTCCAACGAAATCCTCCCAGCTAGCCAAATATCCACTTGCAGATTCCGCAAAAAGAGTGTTTCAAAACTGCTCCTTCAAAACGATGGTTTAGTTCTGTTAGTTGAGTACATACATCACAGATAAGTTTCTGAGAATGCTTCTGTCTAGTTTTTATGGGAGGATATTTCCTTTTTCAACACAAGCCTGAATGCGCTCCGAATGGACACTTCCAGATATGACAAAAGGCGTGTTTCAAACCTGCTCTCTCAAAGGGAATGTTCAACTCTGTGACTTCAATGCAAACATCACAAAGAAGTTTCTGAGAATGCTGCTGTCTGCTTTTTACATGTATTCCCGTTTCCAACGAAATCCTCAAAGCTGCCCTAATATCCACTTGCATATTCCACAAAAAGAGTGTTGCAAAACTGCTCTCTCAAAAGAAAGGTTCAACTCTGTTAGCTGAGTAGATCCATCACATAAAAGTTTCTGACATTGCTTCTATCTAGATTTTCTTGGAAGATATTTCCATTTTCACCGTCGTCCTGAAAGCGCTCCAAATGTCCACTTCCAGGGAATGCAGAAAGAGTGTTTCCAACCTGCTCTATAAAAGGGAATGTTCAACACTGGGACTTCAATCGAAACATCCCAACGAAGTTTCTGAGAATGCTTCTGTCTAGAGTTTATATGAAGCCATTCCCGTTTGCAACGAAATCCTCAAAGCTATCCAAATATCCTCTTGCAGATTTTACAAAAAGAGTGTTTCAAAACTGCTCTATCAAAAGAAAGGTTCAACTCTGTTAGTTGAGGGCACACATCACAAATAAATTTCTGAGAATGCTTCTGTCTAGTTTTCATGGGAAGATATTTCCTTTTTCACCATAGGCCTGAAAGCGATCCAAATGTCCACATCCAGATACTACAAAAAGAGTGTTTCAAACCTGCTCTATGAAAGGGAATGTTCAACTCTGTGACTTGAATGCTAACATCACAAAGAAGTTTCTGAGAATGCTGCTGTCTGCTTTTTGTATGTAATCCCGTTTCCAACGAAATCCTCCCAGCTAGCCAAATATCCACTTGCAGATTCCGCAAAAAGAGTGTTTCAAAACTGCTCCTTCAAAACGATGGTTTAGTTCTGTTAGTTGAGTACATACATCACAGATAAGTTTCTGAGAATGCTTCTGTCTAGTTTTTATGGGAGGATATTTCCTTTTTCAACACAAGCCTGAATGCGCTCCGAATGGACACTTCCAGATATGACAAAAGGCGTGTTTCAAACCTGCTCTCTCAAAGGGAATGTTCAACTCTGTGACTTCAATGCAAACATCACAAAGAAGTTTCTGAGAATGCTGCTGTCTGCTTTTTACATGTATTCCCGTTTCCAACGAAATCCTCAAAGCTGCCCTAATATCCACTTGCATATTCCACAAAAAGAGTGTTGCAAAACTGCTCTCTCAAAAGAAAGGTTCAACTCTGTTAGCTGAGTACATCCATCACAGAAAAGTTTCTGACGTTGCTTCTATCTAGATTTTCTTGGAAGATATTTCCATTTTCACCGTCGTCCTGAAAGCGCTCCAAATGTCCACTTCCAGGGAATGCAGAAAGAGTGTTTCCAACCTGCTCTATAAAAGGGAATGTTCAACACTGGGACTTCAATCGAAACATCCCAACGAAGTTTCTGAGAATGCTTCTGTCTAGAGTTTATATGAAGCCATTCCCGTTTGCAACGAAATCCTCAAAGCTATCCAAATATCCTCTTGCAGATTTTACAAAAAGAGTGTTTCAAAACTGCTCTATCAAAAGAAAGGTTCAACTCTGTTAGTTGAAGGCACACATCACAAATAAATTTCTGAGAATGCTTCTGTCTAGTTTTTACGGGAAGATATTTCCTTTTTCACCATACGCCTGAAAGCGCTCCAAATGTCCTCATCCAGATACTACAAAAAGAGTGTTTCCAACCTGCTCTATGAAAGGGAATGCTCAACTCTGTGACTTGAATGCAGACATCACAAAGAAGTTTCTGAGAATGCTGCTGTCTCCTTTTTATATGTAATCCCGTTTCCAACGAAATCCTCAAAGCTAGCCAAATATCCACTTGCAGATTCCACGAAAACAGTGTTTCAAAACTGCTCCTTCAAAACGATGGTTCAATTCTGTTAGTTGAGCAAACACATCACAAGTAAGTTTCTAAGAATGCTTCCGTCTAGTTTTTATGGGAAGATATTTCCTTTTTCACGTTACGCCTGAAAGCACGCCAAATGTTCACTTATAGACACTACAAAAAGAGTGTTTCAAACCTGCTCTGTGAAAGGGAATGTTCAACACTGTGACTTCAATTGAAACATCCCAAAGAAGTTTCTGAGAATGCTTCTGTCTAGAGTTTATCTGAAGACATTCCCGTTTCCCAAGAAATCCTCAAAGCTATCCAAATATCCTCTTGCAGATTCTACAAAAAGAGTGTTTCAAAACTGCTCTTTGCAAAGAAAGGTTCAACTCTGTCAGTAGAGGGCACACATCACAAACAAGTTTCTGAGAATGCTTCTGTCTAGTTTTTATGGGAAGATATTTCCTTTTTCACCTTAGGCCTGAAATCAATCCAAATGTTCACTTACAGACACTACAAAAAGAGTGTTTCAAACCTGCTCTGTGAAAGGGAGTGTTCAATTCTGTGACTTGAATGCAAACATCACAAAGTAGTTTCTGACAATGCTGCTGTCTGCTTTTTATACGTATTCCCGTTTCCAACGAAATCCTCCAAGCTGGCCTAATACCCACTTGCATATTCCACAAAAAGAGTGTTTCAAAACTGCTCTCTCAAAAGAAAGGTTCAACTCTGTTTGCTGAGTAGATACATCATGAAAAAAGTTCTGACATTGCTTCTATCTAGTTTTTATTGGAAGATATCTCCTTTTTCACCGTAGACCTGAAAGCGCTCCAAATGTCCACTTCCAGATAGTACAAAAAGAGTGTTTCAAACCTGCTCTATGAAAGGGAATGTTCAACACTGGGACTTCAATTGAAACATCCCAAAGCAGTTTCTGAGAATGCTTCTGTGTAGAGTTTACATGAAGACATTCCCGTTTCCAACGAAATCCTCAAAGCTATCCAAATATCCTCTTGCAGATTTTACAAAAAGTGTGTTTCAGAACTGCTCTATCAAAACAAAGGTTCAACACTGTCAGATGAGGGCACACATCACAAATAAGTTTCTGAGAATGCTTCTGTCTAGTTTTCATGGGAAGATATTTCCTTTTTCACCATAGGCCTGAAAGCGATCCAAATGTCCACATCCAGATACTACAAAAAGAGTGTTTCAAACCTGCTCTATGAAAGGGAATGTTCAACTCTTGTGACTTGAATGCAAACATCACAAAGAAGTTTCTGAGAATGCTGCTGTCTGCTTTTTGTATGTAATCCCGTTTCCAACGAAATCCTCCCAGCTAGCCAAATATCCACTTGCAGATTCCGCAAAAAGAGTGTTTCAAAACTGCTCCTTCAAAACGATGGTTTAGTTCTGTTAGTTGAGTACATACATCACAGATAAGTTTCTGAGAATGCTTCTGTCTAGTTTTTATGGGAGGATATTTCCTTTTTCAACACAAGCCTGAATGCGCTCCGAATGGACACTTCCAGATATGACAAAAGGCGTGTTTCAAACCTGCTCTCTCAAAGGGAATGTTCAACTCTGTGACTTCAATGCAAACATCACAAAGAAGTTTCTGAGAATGCTGCTGTCTGCTTTTTACATGTATTCCCGTTTCCAACGAAATCCTCAAAGCTGCCCTAATATCCACTTGCATATTCCACAAAAAGAGTGTTGCAAAACTGCTCTCTCAAAAGAAAGGTTCAACTCTGTTAGCTGAGTAGATCCATCACAGAAAAGTTTCTGACGTTGCTTCTATCTAGATTTTCTTGGAAGATATTTCCATTTTCACCGTCGTCCTGAAAGCGCTCCAAATGTCCACTTCCAGGGAATGCAGAAAGAGTGTTTCCAACCTGCTCTATAAAAGGGAATGTTCAACACTGGGACTTCAATCGAAACATCCCAACGAAGTTTCTGAGAATGCTTCTGTCTAGAGTTTATATGAAGCCATTCCCGTTTGCAACGAAATCCTCAAAGCTATCCAAATATCCTCTTGCAGATTTTACAAAAAGAGTGTTTCAAAACTGCTCTATCAAAAGAAAGGTTCAACTCTGTTAGTTGAGGGCACACATCACAAATAAATTTCTGAGAATGCTTCTGTCTAGTTTTTACGGGAAGATATTTCCTTTTTCACCATACGCCTGAAAGCGCTCCAAATGTCCTCATCCAGATACTACAAAAAGAGTGTTTCCAACCTGCTCTATGAAAGGGAATGCTCAACTCTGTGACTTGAATGCAGACATCACAAAGAAGTTTCTGAGAATGCTGCTGTCTCCTTTTTATATGTAATCCCGTTTCCAACGAAATCCTCAAAGCTAGCCAAATATCCACTTGCAGATTCCACGAAAACAGTGTTTCAAAACTGCTCCTTCAAAACGATGGTTCAATCCTGTTAGTTGAGCAAACACATCACAAATAAGTTTCTGAGAATGCTTCCGTCTAGTTTTTATGGGAAGATATTTCCTTTTTCAACATAGGCCTGAAAGCGCTCCAAATGTCCACTTCCAGATACTACAAAAAGAGTGTTTCAAATCTGCTCTATGAATGGGAATGTTCTACTCTGTGACTTGAATGCAATATCTCAAAGAAGTTTCTGAGAATGCTTCTGTCTAGAGTTTATCTGAAGACATACCCGTTTCCAACGAAATCCTCAAAGCTATCCAAATATCCTCTTGCAGATTCTACAAAAAGAGTGTTTCAAAGCTGCTCTTTGCAAAGAAAGGTTCAACTCTGTCAGTAGAGGGCACACATCACGAACAAGTTTCTGAGAATGCTTCTGTCTAGTTTTTATGGGAAGATATTTCCTTTTTCACGTTAGGCCTGAAAGCACGCCAAATGTTCACTTATAGACACTACAAAAAGAGTGTTTAAAACCTGCTCTGTGAAAGGGAATGTTCAACACTGTGACTTCAATTGAAACATCCCAAAGAAGTTTCTGAGAATGCTTCTGTCTAGAGTTTATCTGAAGACATTCCCGTTTCCCAAGAAATCCTCAAAGCTATCCAAATATCCTCTTGCAGATTCTACAAAAAGAGTGTTTCAAAACTGCTCTTTGCAAAGAAAGGTTCAACTCTGTCAGTAGAGGGCACACATCACAAACAAGTTTCTGAGAATGCTTCTGTCTAGTTTTTATGGGAAGATATTTCCTTTTTCACCTTAGGCCTGAAAGCAATCCAAATGTTCACTTACAGACACTACAAAAAGAGGGTTTCAAACCTGCTCTGTGAAAGGGAGTGTTCAATTCTGTGACTTGAATGCAAACATCACAAAGTAGTTTCTGACAATGCTGCTGTCTGCTTTTAATACGTATTCCCGTTTCCAACAAAATCCTCCAAGCTGGCCTAATACCCACTTGCATATTCCACAAAAAGAGTGTTTCAAAACTGCTCTCTCAAAAAAAGTTCAACTCTGTTTGCTGAGTAGATACATCATGAAAAAAGTTCTGACATTGTTTCTATCTAGTTTTTATTGGAAGATATCTCCTTTTTCACCGTAGACCTGAAAGCGCTCCAAATGTCCACTTCCAGATAGTACAAAAAGAGTGTTTCAAACCTGCTCTATGAAAGGGAATGTTCAACACTGGGACTTCAATTGAAACATCCCAAAGCAGTTTCTGAGAATGCTTCTGTCTAGAGTTTACATGAAGACATTCCCGTTTCCAACGAAATCCTCAAAGCTATCCAAATATCCTCTTGCAGATTTTACAAAAAGTGTGTTTCAGAACTGCTCTATCAAAACAAAGGTTCAACACTGTCAGTTGAGGGCACACATCACAAATAAGTTTCTGAGAATGCTTCTGTCTAGTTTTCATGGGAAGATATTTCCTTTTTCACCATAGGCCTGAAAGCGATCCAAATGTCCACATCCAGATACTACAAAAAGAGTGTTTCAAACCTGCTCTATGAAAGGGAATGTTCAACTCTGTGACTTGAATGCAAACATCACAAAGAAGTTTCTGAGAATGCTGCTGTCTGCTTTTTGTATGTAATCCCGTTTCCAACGAAATCCTCCCAGCTAGCCAAATATCCACTTGCAGATTCCGCAAAAAGAGTGTTTCAAAACTGCTCCTTCAAAACGATGGTTTAGTTCTGTTAGTTGAGTACATACATCACAGATAAGTTTCTGAGAATGCTTCTGTCTAGTTTTTATGGGAGGATATTTCCTTTTTCAACACAAGCCTGAATGCGCTCCGAATGGACACTTCCAGATATGACAAAAGGCGTGTTTCAAACCTGCTCTCTCAAAGGGAATGTTCAACTGCTGTGACTTCAATGCAAACATCACAAAGAAGTTTCTGAGAATGCTGCTGTCTGCTTTTTACATGTATTCCCGTTTCCAACGAAATCCTCAAAGCTGCCCTAATATCCACTTGCATATTCCACAAAAAGAGTGTTGCAAAACTGCTCTCTCAAAAGAAAGGTTCAACTCTGTTAGCTGAGTAGATCCATCAGATAAAAGTTTCTGACATTGCTTCTATCTAGATTTTCTTGGAAGATATTTCCATTTTCACCGTCGTCCTGAAAGCGCTCCAAATGTCCACTTCCAGGGAATGCAGAAAGAGTGTTTCCAACCTGCTCTATAAAAGGGAATGTTCAACACTGGGACTTCAATCGAAACATCCCAACGAAGTTTCTGAGAATGCTTCTGTCTAGGAGTTTATATGAAGCCATTCCCGTTTGCAACGAAATCCTCAAAGCTATCCAAATATCCTCTTGCAGATTTTACAAAAAGAGTGTTTCAAAACTGCTCTATCAAAAGAAAGGTTCAACTCTGTTAGTTGAGGGCACACATCACAAATAAACTTCTGAGAATGCTTCTGTCTAGTTTTTACGGGAAGATATTTCCTTTTTCACCATACGCCTGAAAGCGCTCCAAATGTCCTCATCCAGATACTACAAAAAGAGTGTTTCCAACCTGCTCTATGAAAGGGAATGCTCAACTCTGTGAATTGAATGCAGACATCACAAAGAAGTTTCTGAGAATGCTGCTGTCTCCTTTTTATATGTAATCCCGTTTCCAACGAAATCCTCAAAGCTAGCCAAATATCCACTTGCAGATTCCACGAAAACAGTGTTTCAAAACTGCTCCTTCAAAACGATGGTTCAATCCTGTTAGTTGAGCAAACACATCACAAATAAGTTTCTGAGAATGCTTCCGTCTAGTTTTTATGGGAAGATATTTCCTTTTTCAACATAGGCCTGAAAGCGCTCCAAATGTCCACTTCCAGATACTACAAAAAGAGTGTTTGAAATCTGCTCTATGAATGGGAATGTTCTACTCTGTGACTTGAATGCAACATCCCAAAGAAGTTTCTGAGAATGCTTCTGTCTAGAGTTTATCTGAAGACATACCCGTTTCCAACGAAATCCTCCAAGCTATCCAAATATCCTCTTGCAGATTCTACAAAAAGAGTGTTTCAAAGATGCTCTTTGCAAAGAAAGGTTCAACTCTGTCAGTAGAGGGCACACATCACGAACAAGTTTCTGAGAATGCTTCTGTCTAGTTTTTATGGGAAGATATTTCCTTTTTCACGTTAGGCCTGAAAGCACGCCAAATGTTCACTTATAGACACTACAAAAAGAGTGTTTCAAACCTGCTCTGTGAAAGGGAATGTTCAACACTGTGACTTCAATTGAAACATCCCAAAGAAGTTTCTGAGAATGCTTCTGTCTAGAGTTTATCTGAAGACATTCCCGTTTCCCAAGAAATCCTCAAAGCTATCCAAATATCCTCTTGCAGATTCTACAAAAAGAGTGTTTCAAAACTGCTCTTTGCAAAGAAAGGTTCAACTCTGTCAGTAGAGGGCACACATCACAAACAAGTTTCTGAGAATGCTTCTGTCTAGTTTTTATGGGAAGATATTTCCTTTTTCACCTTAGGCCTGAAAGCAATCCATATGTTCACTTACAGACACTACAAAAAGAGTGTTTCAAACCTGCTCTGTGAAAGGGAGTGTTCAATTCTGTGACTTGAATGCAAACATCACAAAGTAGTTTCTGACAATGCTGCTGTCTGCTTTTTATACGTATTCCCGTTTCCAACGAAATCCTCCTAGCTGGCCTAATACCCACTTGCATATTCCACAAAAAGAGTGTTTCAAAACTGCTCTCTCAAAAGAAAGGTTCAACTCTGTTTGCTGAGTAGATACATCATGTAAAAAGTTCTGACATTGCTTCTATCTAGTTTTTATTGGAAGATATCTCCTTTTTCACCGTAGACCTGAAAGCGCTCCAAATGTCCACTTCCAGATAGTACAAAAAGAGTGTTTCAAACCTGCTCTATGAATGGGAATGTTCAACACTGGGACTTCAATTGAAACATCCCAAAGCAGTTTCTGAGAATGCTTCTGTCTAGAGTTTACATGAAGACATTCCCGTTTCCAACGAAATCCTCAAAGCTATCCAAATATCCTCTTGCAGATTTTACAAAAAGTGTGTTTCAGAACTGCTCTATCAAAACAAAGGTTCAACACTGTCAGTTGAGGGCACACATCACAAATAAGTTTCTGAGAATGCTTCTGTCTAGTTTTCATGGGAAGATATTTCCTTTTTCACCATAGGCCTGAAAGCGATCCAAATGTCCACATCCAGATACTACAAAAAGAGTGTTTCAAACCTGCTCTATGAAAGGGAATGTTCAACTCTGTGACTTGAATGCAAACATCACAAAGAAGTTTCTGAGAATGCTGCTGTCTGCTTTTTGTATGTAATCCCGTTTCCAACGAAATCCTCCCAGCTAGCCAAATATCCACTTGCAGATTCCGCAAAAAGAGTGTTTCAAAACTGCTCCTTCAAAACGATGGTTTAGTTCTGTTAGTTGAGTACATACATCACAGATAAGTTTCTGAGAATGCTTCTGTCTAGTTTTTATGGGAGGATATTTCCTTTTTCAACACAAGCCTGAATGCGCTCCGAATGGACACTTCCAGATATGACAAAAGGCGTGTTTCAAACCTGCTCTTTCAAAGGGAATGTTCAACTCTGTGACTTCAATGCAAACATCACAAAGAAGTTTCTGAGAATGCTGCTGTCTGCTTTTTACATGTATTCCCGTTTCCAACGAAATCCTCAAAGCTGCCCTAATATCCACTTGCATATTCCACAAAAAGAGTGTTGCAAAACTGCTCTCTCAAAAGAAAGGTTCAACTCTGTTAGCTGAGTAGATCCATCACATAAAAGTTTCTGACGTTGCTTCTATCTAGATTTTCTTGGAAGATATTTCCATTTTCACCGTCGTCCTGAAAGCGCTCCAAATGTCCACTTCCAGGGAATGCAGAAAGAGTGTTTCCAACCTGCTCTATAAAAGGGAATGTTCAACACTGGGACTTCAATCGAAACATCCCAACGAAGTTTCTGAGAATGCTTCTGTCTAGAGTTTATATGAAGCCATTCCCGTTTGCAACGAAATCCTCAAAGCTATCCAAATATCCTCTTGCAGATTTTACAAAAAGAGTGTTTCAAAACTGCTCTATCAAAAGAAAGGTTCAACTCTGTTAGTTGAGGGCACACATCACAAATAAATTTCTGAGAATCTTCTGTCTAGTTTTCATGGGAAGATATTTCCTTTTTCACCATAGGCCTGAAAGCGAACCAAATGTCCACATCCAGATACTACAAAAAGAGTGTTTCCAACCTGCTCTATGAAAGGGAATGCTCAGCTTCTGTGAATTGAATGCAGACATCACAAAGAAGTTTCTCAGAATGCTGCTGTCTGCTTTTTATATGTAATCCCGTTTCCAACGAAATCCTCAAAGCTAGACAAATATCCACTTGCAGATTCCACAAAAGGAGTGTTTCAAAACTGCTCTTTCAAAACGATGGTTCAATTCTGTTAGTTGAGTACACACATCACAAATAAGTTTCTGAGAATGCTTCTGTCTAGTTTTCATGGGAAGATATTTCCTTTTTCACCATAGGCCTGAAAGCGATCCAAATGTCCACATCCAGATACTACAAAAAGAGTGTTTCAAACCTGCTCTATGAAAGGGAATGTTCAACTCTGTGACTTGAATGCAAACATCACAAAGTAGTTTCTGAAAATGCTGCTGTCTCCTTTTTATATGTAATCCCGTTTCCAACGAAATCCTCAAAGCTAGCCAAATATCCACTTGCAGATTCCACGAAAACAGTGTTTCAAAACTGCTCCTTCAAAACGATGGTTCAATCCTGTTAGTTGAGCAAACACATCACAATTAAGTTTACTGAGAATGCTTCCGTCTAGTTTTTATGGGAAGGATATTTCCTTTTTCAACATAGGCCTGAAAGCGCTCCAAATGTCCACTTCCAGATACTACAAAAAGAGTGTTTCAAATCTGCTCTATGAATGGGAATGTTCTACTCTGTGACTTGAATGCAACATCCCAAAGAAGTTTCTGAGAATGCTTCTGTCTAGAGTTTATCTGAAGACATACCCGTTTCCAACGAAATCCTCCAAGCTATCCAAATATCCTCTTGCAGATTCTACAAAAAGAGTGTTTCAAAGCTGCTCTTTGCAAAGAAAGGTTCAACTCTGTCAGTAGAGGGGACACATCAAGAACAAGTTTCTGAGAATGCTTCTGTCTAGTTTTTATGGGAAGATATTTCCTTTTTCACGTTACGCCTGAAAGCACGCCAAATGTTCACTTATAGACACTACAAAAAGAGTGTTTCAAACCTGCTCTGTGAAAGGGAATGTTCAACACTGTGACTTCAATTGAAACATCCCAAAGAAGTTTCTGAGAATGCTTCTGTCTAGAGTTTATCTGAAGACATTCCCGTTTCCCAAGAAATCCTCAAAGCTATCCAAATATCCTCTTGCAGATTCTACAAAAAGAGTGTTTCAAAACTGCTCTTTGCAAAGAAAGGTTCAACTCTGTCAGTAGAGGGCACACATCAAGAACAAGTTTCTGAGAATGCTTCTGTCTAGTTTTTATGGGAAGATATTTCCTTTTTCACGTTACGCCTGAAAGCACGCCAAATGTTCACTTATAGACACTACAAAAAGAGAGTTTCAAACCTGCTCTGTGAAAGGGAGTGTTCAATTCTGTGACTTGAATGCAAACATCACAAAGTAGTTTCTGACAATGCTGCTGTCTGCTTTTTATACGTATTCCCGTTTCCAACGAAATCCTCCAAGCTGGCCTAATACCCACTTGCATATTCCACAAAAATAGTGTTTCAAAACTGCTCCCTCAAAAGAAAGGTTCAACTCTGTTTGCTGAGTAGATACATCATGAAAAAAGTTCTGACATTGCTTCTATCTAGTTTTTATTGGAAGATATCTCCTTTTTCACCGTAGACCTGAAAGCGCTCCAAATGTCCACTTCCAGATAGTACAAAAAGAGGGTTTCAAACCTGCTCTATGAAAGGGAATGTTCAACACTGGGACTTCAATTGAAACATCCCAAAGCAGTTTCTGAGAATGCTTCTGTCTAGAGTTTACATGAAGACATTCCCGTTTCCAACGAAATCCTCAAAGCTATCCAAATATCCTCTTGCAGATTTTACAAAAAGTGTGTTTCAGAACTGCTCTATCAAAACAAAGGTTCAACACTGTCAGTTGAGGGCACACATCACAAATAAGTTTCTGAGAATGCTTCTGTCTAGTTTTCATGGGAAGATATTTCCTTTTTCACCATAGGCCTGAAAGCGATCCAAATGTCCACATCCAGATACTACAAAAAGAGTGTTTCAAACCTGCTCTATGAAAGGGAATGTTCAACTCTGTGACTTGAATGCAAACATCACAAAGAAGTTTCTGAGAATGCTGCTGTCTGCTTTTTGTATGTAATCCCGTTTCCAACGAAATCCTCCCAGCTAGCCAAATATCCACTTGCAGATTCCGCAAAAAGAGTGTTTCAAAACTGCTCCTTCAAAACGATGGTTTAGTTCTGTTAGTTGAGTACATACATCACAGATAAGTTTCTGAGAATGCTTCTGTCTAGTTTTTATGGGAGGATATTTCCTTTTTCAACACAAGCCTGAATGCGCTCCGAATGGACACTTCCAGATATGACAAAAGGCGTGTTTCAAACCTGCTCTCTCAAAGGGAATGTTCAACTCTGTGACTTCAATGCAAACATCACAAAGAAGTTTCTGAGAATGCTGCTGTCTGCTTTTTACATGTATTCCCGTTTCCAACGAAATCCTCAAAGCTGCCCTAATATCCACTTGCATATTCCACAAAAAGAGTGTTGCAAAACTGCTCTCTCAAAAGAAAGGTTCAACTCTGTTAGCTGAGTAGATCCATCACAGAAAAGTTTCTGACGTTGCTTCTATCTAGATTTTCTTGGAAGATATTTCCATTTTCACCGTCGTCCTGAAAGCGCTCCAAATGTCCACTTCCAGGGAATGCAGAAAGAGTGTTTCCAACCTGCTCTATAAAAGGGAATGTTCAACACTGGGACTTCAATCGAAACATCCCAACGAAGTTTCTGAGAATGCTTCTGTCTAGAGTTTATATGAAGCCATTCCCGTTTGCAACGAAATCCTCAAAGCTATCCAAATATCCTCTTGCAGATTTTACAAAAAGAGTGTTTCAAAACTGCTCTATCAAAAGAAAGGTTCAACTCTGTTAGTTGAGGGCACACATCACAAATAAAATTCTGAGAATGCTTCTGTCTAGTTTTTACGGGAAGATATTTCCTTTTTCACCATACGCCTGAAAGCGCTCCAAATGTCCTCATCCAGATACTACAAAAAGAGTGTTTCCAACCTGCTCTATGAAAGGGAATGCTCAACTCTGTGACTTGAATGCAGACATCACAAAGAAGTTTCTGAGAATGCTGCTGTCTCCTTTTTATATGTAATCCCGTTTCCAACGAAATCCTCAAAGCTAGCCAAATATCCACTTGCAGATTCCACGAAAACAGTGTTTCAAAACTGCTCCTTCAAAACGATGGTTCAATTCTGTTAGTTGAGCAAACACATCACAAGTAAGTTTCTGAGAATGCTTCCGTCTAGTTTTTATGGGAAGATATTTCCTTTTTCAACATAGGCCTGAAAGCGCTCCAAATGTCCACTTCCAGATACTACAAAAAGAGTGTTTCAAATCTGCTCTATGAATGGGAATGTTCTACTCTGTGACTTGAATGCAACATCCCAAAGAAGTTTCTGAGAATGCTTCTGTCTAGCAGTTTATCTGAAGACATACCCGTTTCCAACGAAATCCTCCAAGCTATCCAAATATCCTCTTGCAGATTCTACAAAAAGAGTGTTTCAAAGCTGCTCTTTGCAAAGAAAGGTTCAACTCTGTCAGTAGAGGGCACACATCACGAACAAGTTTCTGAGAATGCTTCTGTCTAGTTTTTATGGGAAGATATTTCCTTTTTCACGTTAGGCCTGAAAGCACGCCAAATGTTCACTTATAGACACTACAAAAAGAGTGTTTCAAACCTGCTCTGTGAAAGGGAATGTTCAACACTGTGACTTCAATTGAAACATCCCAAAGAAGTTTCTGAGAATGCTTCTGTCTAGAGTTTATCTGAAGACATTCCCGTTTCCCAGGAAATCCTCAAAGCTATCCAAATATCCTCTTGCAGATTCTACAAAAAGAGTGTTTCAAAACTGCTCTTTGCAAAGAAAGGTTCAACTCTGTCAGTAGAGGGCACACATCACAAACAAGTTTCTGAGAATGCTTCTGTCTAGTTTTTATGGGAAGATATTTCCTTTTTCACCTTAGGCCTGAAAGCAATCCAAATGTTCACTTACAGACACTTCAAAAAGAGTGTTTCAAACCTGCTCTGTGAAAGGGAGTGTTCAATTCTGTGACTTGAATGCAAACATCACAAAGTAGTTTCTGACAATGCTGCTGTCTGCTTTTTATACGTATTCCCGTTTCCAACGAAATCCTCCAAGCTGGCCTAATACCCACTTGCATATTCCACAAAAAGAGTGTTTCAAAACTGCTCTCTCAAAAGAAAGGTTCAACTCTGTTAGCTGAGTAGATACATCATGAAAAAAGTTCTGACATTGCTTCTATCTAGTTTTTATTGGAAGATATCTCCTTTTTCACCGTAGACCTGAAAGCGCTCCAAATGTCCACTTCCAGATAGTACAAAAAGAGTGTTTCAAACCTGCTCTATGAATGGGAATGTTCAACACTGGGACTTCAATTGAAACATCCCAAAGCAGTTTCTGAGAATGCTTCTGTGTAGAGTTTACATGAAGACATTCCCGTTTCCAACGAAATCCTCAAAGCTATCCAAATATCCTCTTGCAGATTTTACAAAAAGTGTGTTTCAGAACTGCTCTATCAAAACAAAGGTTCAACACTGTCAGTTGAGGGCACACATCACAAATAAGTTTCTGAGAATGCTTCTGTCTAGTTTTCATGGGAAGATATTTCCTTTTTCACCATAGGCCTGAAAGCGATCCAAATGTCCACATCCAGATACTACAAAAAGAGTGTTTCAAACCTGCTCTATGAAAGGGAATGTTCAACTCTGTGACTTGAATGCAAACATCACAAAGAAGTTTCTGAGAATGCTGCTGTCTGCTTTTTGTATGTAATCCCGTTTCCAACGAAATCCTCCCAGCTAGCCAAATATCCACTTGCAGATTCCGCAAAAAGAGTGTTTCAAAACTGCTCCTTCAAAACGATGGTTTAGTTCTGTTAGTTGAGTACATACATCACAGATAAGTTTCTGAGAATGCTTCTGTCTAGTTTTTATGGGAGGATATTTCCTTTTTCAACACAAGCCTGAATGCGCTCCGAATGGACACTTCCAGATATGACAAAAGGCGTGTTTCAAACCTGCTCTCTCAAAGGGAATGTTCAACTCTGTGACTTCAATGCAAACATCACAAAGAAGTTTCTGAGAATGCTGCTGTCTGCTTTTTACATGTATTCCCGTTTCCAACGAAATCCTCAAAGCTGCCCTAATATCCACTTGCATATTCCACAAAAAGAGTGTTGCAAAACTGCTCTCTCAAAAGAAAGGTCCAACTCTGTTAGCTGAGTAGATCCATCACATAAAAGTTTCTGACATTGCTTCTATCTAGATTTTCTTGGAAGATATTTCCATTTTCACCGTCGTCCTGAAAGCGCTCCAAATGTCCACTTCCAGGGAATGCAGAAAGAGTGTTTCCAACCTGCTCTATAAAAGGGAATGTTCAACACTGGGACTTCAATCGAAACATCCCAACGAAGTTTCTGAGAATGCTTCTGTCTAGAGTTTATATGAAGCCATTCCCGTTTGCAACGAAATCCTCAAAGCTATCCAAATATCCTCTTGCAGATTTTACAAAAAGAGTGTTTCAAAACTGCTCTATCAAAAGAAAGGTTCAACTCTGTTAGTTGAGGGCACACATCACAAATAAACTTCTGAGAATGCTTCTGTCTAGTTTTTACGGGAAGATATTTCCTTTTTCACCATACGCCTGAAAGCGCTCCAAATGTCCTCATCCAGATACTACAAAAAGAGTGTTTCCAACCTGCTCTATGAAAGGGAATGCTCAACTCTGTGAATTGAATGCAGACATCACAAAGAAGTTTCTGAGAATGCTGCTGTCTCCTTTTTATATGTAATCCCGTTTCCAACGAAATCCTCAAAGCTAGCCAAATATCCACTTGCAGATTCCACGAAAACAGTGTTTCAAAACTGCTCCTTCAAAACGATGGTTCAATCCTGTTAGTTGAGCAAACACATCACAAATAAGTTTCTGAGAATGCTTCCGTCTAGTTTTTATGGGAAGATATTTCCTTTTTCAACATAGGCCTGAAAGCGCTCCAAATGTCCACTTCCAGATACTACAAAAAGAGTGTTTCAAATCTGCTCTATGAATGGGAATGTTCTACTCTGTGACTTGAATGCAACATCCCAAAGAAGTTTCTGAGAATGCTTCTGTCTAGAGTTTATCTGAAGACATACCCGTTTCCAACGAAATCCTCCAAGCTATCCAAATATCCTCTTGCAGATTCTACAAAAAGAGTGTTTCAAAGCTGCTCTTTGCAAAGAAAGGTTCAACTCTGTCAGTAGAGGGGACACATCAAGAACAAGTTTCTGAGAATGCTTCTGTCTAGTTTTTATGGGAAGATATTTCCTTTTTCACGTTACGCCTGAAAGCACGCCAAATGTTCACTTATAGACACTACAAAAAGAGTGTTTCAAACCTGCTCTGTGAAAGGGAATGTTCAACACTGTGACTTGAATTGAAACATCCCAAAGAAGTTTCTGAGAATGCTTCTGTCTAGAGTTTATCTGAAGACATTCCCGTTTCCCAAGAAATCCTCAAAGCTATCCAAATATCCTCTTGCAGATTCTACAAAAAGAGTGTTTCAAAACTGCTCTTTGCAAAGAAAGGTTCAACTCTGTCAGTAGAGGGCACACATCACAAACAAGTTTCTGAGAATGCTTCTGTCTAGTTTTTATGGGAAGATATTTCCTTTTTCACGTTACGCCTGAAAGCACGCCAAATGTTCACTTATAGACACTACAAAAAGAGAGTTTCAAACCTGCTCTGTGAAAGGGAGTGTTCAATTCTGTGACTTGAATGCAAACATCACAAAGTAGTTTCTGACAATGCTGCTGTCTGCTTTTTATACGTATTCCCGTTTCCAACGAAATCCTCCAAGCTGGCCTAATACCCACTTGCATATTCCACAAAAGGAGTGTTTCAAAACTGCTCTCTCAAAAGAAAGGTTCAACTCTGTTTGCTGAGTAGATACATCATGAAAAAAGTTCTGACATTGCTTCTATCTAGTTTTTATTGGAAGATATCTCCTTTTTCACCGTAGACCTGAAAGCGCTCCAAATGTCCACTTCCAGATAGTACAAAAAGAGGGTTTCAAACCTGCTCTATGAAAGGGAATGTTCAACACTGGGACTTCAATTGAAACATCCCAAAGCAGTTTCTGAGAATGCTTCTGTGTAGAGTTTACATGAAGACATTCCCGTTTCCAACGAAATCCTCAAAGCTATCCAAATATCCTCTTGCAGATTTTACAAAAAGTGTGTTTCAGAACTGCTCTATCAAAACAAAGGTTCAACACTGTCAGTTGAGGGCACACATCACAAATAAGTTTCTGAGAATGCTTCTGTCTAGTTTTCATGGGAAGATATTTCCTTTTTCACCATAGGCCTGAAAGCGATCCAAATGTCCACATCCAGATACTACAAAAAGAGTGTTTCAAACCTGCTCTATGAAAGGGAATGTTCAACTCTGTGACTTGAATGCAAACATCACAAAGAAGTTTCTGAGAATGCTGCTGTCTGCTTTTTGTATGTAATCCCGTTTCCAACGAAATCCTCCCAGCTAGCCAAATATCCACTTGCAGATTCCGCAAAAAGAGTGTTTCAAAACTGCCCTTCAAAACGATGGTTTAGTTCTGTTAGTTGAGTACATACATCACAGATAAGTTTCTGAGAATGCTTCTGTCTAGTTTTTATGGGAGGATATTTCCTTTTTCAACACAAGCCTGAATGCGCTCCGAATGGACACTTCCAGATATGACAAAAGGCGTGT
The DNA here is from genome assembly GCF_000001405.40 of Homo sapiens. NCBI lineage: Eukaryota > Metazoa > Chordata > Mammalia > Primates > Hominidae > Homo > Homo sapiens. The sequence goes on along the minus strand of NC_000020.11, from coordinate 26,882,569 downwards.
TTCAAACCTGCTCTCTCAAAGGGAATGTTCAACTCTGTGACTTCAATGCAAACATCACAAAGAAGTTTCTGAGAATGCTGCTGTCTGCTTTTTACATGTATTCCCGTTTCCAACGAAATCCTCAAAGCTGCCCTAATATCCACTTGCATATTCCACAAAAAGAGTGTTGCAAAACTGCTCTCTCAAAAGAAAGGTTCAACTCTGTTAGCTGAGTAGATCCATCACATAAAAGTTTCTGACATTGCTTCTATCTAGATTTTCTTGGAAGATATTTCCATTTTCACCGTCGTCCTGAAAGCGCTCCAAATGTCCACTTCCAGGGAATGCAGAAAGAGTGTTTCCAACCTGCTCTATAAAAGGGAATGTTCAACACTGGGACTTCAATCGAAACATCCCAACGAAGTTTCTGAGAATGCTTCTGTCTAGAGTTTATATGAAGCCATTCCCGTTTGCAACGAAATCCTCAAAGCTATCCAAATATCCTCTTGCAGATTTTACAAAAAGAGTGTTTCAAAACTGCTCTATCAAAAGAAAGGTTCAACTCTGTTAGTTGAGGGCACACATCAGAAATAAACTTCTGAGAATGCTTCTGTCTAGTTTTTACGGGAAGATATTTCCTTTTTCACCATACGCCTGAAAGCGCTCCAAATGTCCTCATCCAGGATACTACAAAAAGAGTGTTTCCAACCTGCTCTATGAAAGGGAATGCCCAACTCTGTGAATTGAATGCAGACATCACAAAGAAGTTTCTGAGAATGCTGCTGTCTCCTTTTTATATGTAATCCCGTTTCCAACGAAATCCTCAAAGCTAGCCAAATATCCACTTGCAGATTCCACGAAAACAGTGTTTCAAAACTGCTCCTTCAAAACGATGGTTCAATCCTGTTAGTTGAGCAAACACATCACAAATAAGTTTCTGAGAATGCTTCCGTCTAGTTTTTATGGGAAGATATTTCCTTTTTCAACATAGGCCTGAAAGCGCTCCAAATGTCCACTTCCAGATACTACAAAAAGAGTGTTTCAAATCTGCTCTATGAATGGGAATGTTCTACTCTGTGACTTGAATGCAACATCCCAAAGAAGTTTCTGAGAATGCTTCTGTCTAGAGTTTATCTGAAGACATACCCGTTTCCAACGAAATCCTCAAAGCTATCCAAATATCCTCTTGCAGATTCTACAAAAAGTGTGTTTCAAAGCTGCTCTTTGCAAAGAAAGGTTCAACTCTGTCAGTAGAGGGCACACATCACGAACAAATTTCTGAGAATGCTTCTGTCTAGTTTTTATGGGAAGATATTTCCTTTTTCACGTTAGGCCTGAAAGCACGCCAAATGTTCACTTATAGACACTACAAAAAGAGTGTTTCAAACCTGCTCTGTGAAAGGGAATGTTCAACACTGTGACTTCAATTGAAACATCCCAAAGAAGTTTCTGAGAATGCTTCTGTCTAGAGTTTATCTGAAGACATTCCCGTTTCCCAAGAAATCCTCAAAGCTATCCAAATATCCTCTTGCAGATTCTACAAAAAGAGTGTTTCAAAACTGCTCTTTGCAAAGAAAGGTTCAACTCTGTCAGTAGAGGGCACACATCACAAACAAGTTTCTGAGAATGCTTCTGTCTAGTTTTTATGGGAAGATATTTCCTTTTTCACCATAGGCCTGAAAGCAATCCAAATGTTCACTTACAGACACTACAAAAAGAGTGTTTCAAACCTGCTCTGTGAAAGGGAGTGTTCAATTCTGTGACTTGAATGCAAACATCACAAAGTAGTTTCTGACAATGCTGCTGTCTGCTTTTTATACGTATTCCCGTTTCCAACGAAATCCTCCAAGCTGGCCTAATACCCACTTGCATATTCCACAAAAAGAGTGTTTCAAAACTGCTCTCTCAAAAGAAAGGTTCAACTCTGTTTGCTGAGTAGATACATCATGAAAAAAGTTCTGACATTGCTTCTATCTAGTTTTTATTGGAAGATATCTCCTTTTTCACCGTAGACCTGAAAGCGCTCCAAATGTCCACTTCCAGATAGTAGAAAAAGAGTGTTTCAAACCTGCTCTATGAATGGGAATGTTCAACACTGGGACTTCAATTGAAACATCCCAAAGCAGTTTCTGAGAATGCTTCTGTCTAGAGTTTACATGAAGACATTCCCGTTTCCAACGAAATCCTCAAAGCTATCCAAATATCCTCTTGCAGATTTTACAAAAAGTGTGTTTCAGAACTGCTCTATCAAAACAAAGGTTCAACACTGTCAGTTGAGTGCACACATCACAAATAAGTTTCTGAGAATGCTTCTGTCTAGTTTTCATGGGAAGATATTTCCTTTTTTACCATAGGCCTGAAAGCGATCCAAATGTCCACATCCAGATACTACAAAAAGAGTGTTTCCAACCTGCTCTATGAAAGGGAATGCTCAACTCTGTGAATTGAATGCAGACATCACAAAGAAGTTTCTGAGAATGCTGCTGTCTCCTTTTTATATGTAATCCCGTTTCCAACGAAATCCTCAAAGCTAGCCAAATATCCACTTGCAGATTCCACGAAAACTGTGTTTCAAAACTGCTCCTTCAAAACGATGGTTCAATCCTGTTAGTTGAGCAAACACATCACAAGTAAGTTTCTGAGAATGCTTCCGTCTAGTTTTTATGGGAAGATATTTCCTTTTTCAACATAGGCCTGAAAGCGCTCCAAATGTCCACTTCCAGATACTACAAAAAGAGTGTTTCAAATCTGCTCTATGAATGGGAATGTTCTACTCTGTGACTTGAATGCAACATCCCAAAGAAGTTTCTGAGAATGCTTCTGTCTAGAGTTTATCTGAAGACATACCCGTTTCCAACGAAATCCTCAAAGCTATCCAAATATCCTCTTGCAGATTCTACAAAAAGAGTGTTTCAAAGCTGCTCTTTGCAAAGAAAGGTTCAACTCTGTCAGTAGAGGGCACACATCATGAACAAGTTTCTGAGAATGCTTCTGTCTAGTTTTTATGGGAAGATATTTCCTTTTTCACGTTAGGCCTGAAAGCACGCCAAATGTTCACTTATAGACACTACAAAAAGAGTGTTTCAAACCTGCTCTGTGAAAGGGAATGTTCAACACTGTGACTTCAATTGAAACATCCCAAAGAAGTTTCTGAGAATGCTTCTGTCTAGAGTTTATCTGAAGACATTCCCGTTTCCCAAGAAATCCTCAGAGCTATCCAAATATCCTCTTGCAGATTCTACAAAAAGAGTGTTTCAAAACTGCTCTTTGCAAAGAAAGGTTCAACTCTGTCAGTAGAGGGCACACATCACAAACAAGTTTCTGAGAATGCTTCTGTCTAGTTTTTATGGGAAGATATTTCCTTTTTCACCTTAGGCCTGAAAGCAATCCATATGTTCACTTACAGACACTACAAAAAGAGTGTTTCAAACCTGCTCTGTGAAAGGGAGTGTTCAATTCTGTGACTTGAATGCAAACATCACAAAGTAGTTTCTGACAATGCTGCTGTCTGCTTTTTATACGTATTCCCGTTTCCAACGAAATCCTCCAAGCTGGCCTAATACCCACTTGCATATTCCACAAAAAGAGTGTTTCAAAACTGCTCTCTCAAAAGAAAGGTTCAACTCTGTTAGCTGAGTAGATACATCATGAAAAAAGTTCTGACATTGCTTCTATCTAGTTTTTATTGGAAGATATCTCCTTTTTCACCGTAGACCTGAAAGCGCTCCAAATGTCCACTTCCAGATAGTACAAAAAGAGTGTTTCAAACCTGCTCTATGAATGGGAATGTTCAACACTGGGACTTCAATTGAAACATCCCAAAGCAGTTTCTGAGAATGCTTCTGTGTAGAGTTTACATGAAGACATTCCCGTTTCCAACGAAATCCTCAAAGCTATCCAAATATCCTCTTGCAGATTTTACAAAAAGTGTGTTTCAGAACTGCTCTATCAAAACAAATGTTCAACACTGTCAGTTGAGGGCACACATCACAAATAAGTTTCTGAGAATGCTTCTGTCTAGTTTTCATGGGAAGATATTTCCTTTTTCACCATAGGCCTGAAAGCGATCCAAATGTCCACATCCAGATACTACAAAAAGAGTGTTTCAAACCTGCTCTATGAAAGGGAATGTTCAACTCTGTGACTTGAATGCAAACATCACAAAGAAGTTTCTGAGAATGCTGCTGTCTGCTTTTTGTATGTAATCCCGTTTCCAACGAAATCCTCCCAGCTAGCCAAATATCCACTTGCAGATTCCGCAAAAAGAGTGTTTCAAAACTGCTCCTTCAAAACGATGGTTTAGTTCTGTTAGTTGAGTACATACATCACAGATAAGTTTCTGAGAATGCTTCTGTCTAGTTTTTATGGGAGGATATTTCCTTTTTCAACACAAGCCTGAATGCGCTCCGAATGGACACTTCCAGATATGACAAAAGGCGTGTTTCAAACCTGCTCTCTCAAAGGGAATGTTCAACTCTGTGACTTCAATGCAAACATCACAAAGAAGTTTCTGAGAATGCTGCTGTCTGCTTTTTACATGTATTCCCGTTTCCAACGAAATCCTCAAAGCTGCCCTAATATCCACTTGCATATTCCACAAAAAGAGTGTTGCAAAACTGCTCTCTCAAAAGAAAGGTTCAACTCTGTTAGCTGAGTAGATCCATCACAGAAAAGTTTCTGACGTTGCTTCTATCTAGATTTTGTTGGAAGATATTTCCATTTTCACCGTCGTCCTGAAAGCGCTCCAAATGTCCACTTCCAGGGAATGCAGAAAGAGTGTTTCCAACCTGCTCTATAAAAGGGAATGTTCAACACTGGGACTTCAATCGAAACATCCCAACGAAGTTTCTGAGAATGCTTCTGTCTAGAGTTTATATGAAGCCATTCCCGTTTGCAATGAAATCCTCAAAGCTATCCAAATATCCTCTTGCAGATTTTACAAAAAGAGTGTTTCAAAACTGCTCTATCAAAAGAAAGGTTCAACTCTGTTAGTTGAGGGCACACATCACAAATAAATTTCTGAGAATGCTTCTGTCTAGTTTTTACGGGAAGATATTTCCTTTTTCACCATAGGCCTGAAAGCGCTCCAAATGTCCTCATCCAGATACTACAAAAAGAGTGTTTCCAACTTGCTCTATGAAAGGGAATGCTCAACTCTGTGACTTGAATGCAGACATCACAAAGAAGTTTCTGAGAATGCTGCTGTCTCCTTTGTATATGTAATCCCGTTTCCAACGAAATCCTCAAAGCTAGCCAAATATCCACTTGCAGATTCCACGAAAACAGTGTTTCAAAACTGCTCCTTCAAAACGATGGTTCAATTCTGTTAGTTGAGCAAACACATCACAAGTAAGTTTCTGAGAATGCTTCCGTCTAGTTTTTATGGGAAGATATTTCCTTTTTCAACATAGGCCTGAAAGCGCTCCAAATGTCCACTTCCAGATACTACAAAAAGAGTGTTTCAAATCTGCTCTATGAATGGGAATGTTCTACTCTGTGACTTGAATGCAACATCCCAAAGAAGTTTCTGAGAATGCTTCTGTCTAGAGTTTATCTGAAGACATACCCGTTTCCAACGAAATCCTCAAAGCTATCCAAATATCCTCTTGCAGATTCTACAAAAAGAGTGTTTCAAAGCTGCTCTTTGCAAAGAAAGGTTCAACTCTGTCAGTAGAGGGCACACATCACGAACAAGTTTCTGAGAATGCTTCTGTCTGGTTTTTATGGGAAGATATTTCCTTTTTCACGTTACGCCTGAAAGCACGCCAAATGTTCACTTATAGACACTACAAAAAGAGTGTTTCAAACCTGCTCTGTGAAAGGGAATGTTCAACACTGTGACTTCAATTGAAACATCCCAAAGAAGTTTCTGAGAATGCTTCTGTCTAGAGTTTATCTGAAGACATTCCCGTTTCCCAAGAAATCCTCAAAGCTATCCAAATATCCTCTTGCAGATTCTACAAAAAGAGTGTTTCAAAACTGCTCTTTGCAAAGAAAGGTTCAACTCTGTCAGTAGAGGGCACACATCACAAACAAGTTTCTGAGAATGCTTCTGTCTAGTTTTTATGGGAAGATATTTCCTTTTTCACCTTAGGCCTGAAAGCAATCCAAATGTTCACTTACAGACACTACAAAAAGAGTGTTTCAAACCTGCTCTGTGAAAGGGAGTGTTCAATTCTGTGACTTGAATGCAAACATCACAAAGTAGTTTCTGACAATGCTGCTGTCTGCTTTTTATACGTATTCCCGTTTCCAACGAAATCCTCCAAGCTGGCCTAATACCCACTTACATATTCCACAAAAAGAGTGTTTCAAAACTGCTCTCTCAAAAGAAAGGTTCAACTCTGTTTGCTGAGTAGATACATCATGAAAAAAGTTCTGACATTGCTTCTATCTAGTTTTTATTGGAAGATATCTCCTTTTTCACCGTAGACCTGAAAGCGCTCCAAATGTCCACTTCCAGATAGTACAAAAAGAGTGTTTCAAACCTGCTCTATGAAAGGGAATGTTCAACACTGGGACTTCAATTGAAACATCCCAAAGCAGTTTCTGAGAATGCTTCTGTGTAGAGTTTACATGAAGACATTCCCGTTTCCAACGAAATCCTCAAAGCTATCCAAATATCCTCTTGCAGATTTTACAAAAAGTGTGTTTCAGAACTGCTCTATCAAAACAAAGGTTCAACACTGTCAGTTGAGGGCACACATCACAAATAAGTTTCTGAGAATGCTTCTGTCTAGTTTTCATGGGAAGATATTTCCTTTTTCACCATAGGCCTGAAAGCGATCCAAATGTCCACATCCAGATACTACAAAAAGAGTGTTTCAAACCTGCTCTATGAAAGGGAATGTTCAACTCTGTGACTTGAATGCAAACATCACAAAGAAGTTTCTGAGAATGCTGCTGTCTGCTATTTGTATGTAATCCCGTTTCCAACGAAATCCTCCCAGCTAGCCAAATATCCACTTGCAGATTCCGCAAAAAGAGTGTTTCAAAACTGCTCCTTCAAAACGATGGTTTAGTTCTGTTAGTTGAGTACATACATCACAGATAAGTTTCTGAGAATGCTTCTGTCTAGTTTTTATGGGAGGATATTTCCTTTTTCAACACAAGCCTGAATGCGCTCCGAATGGACACTTCCAGATATGACAAAAGGCGTGTTTCAAACCTGCTCTCTCAAAGGGAATGTTCAACTCTGTGACTTCAATGCAAACATCACAAAGAAGTTTCTGAGAATGCTGCTGTCTGCTTTTTACATGTATTCCCGTTTCCAACGAAATCCTCAAAGCTGCCCTAATATCCACTTGCATATTCCACAAAAAGAGTGTTGCAAAACTGCTCTCTCAAAAGAAAGGTTCAACTCTGTTAGCTGAGTAGATCCATCACAGAAAAGTTTCTGACGTTGCTTCTATCTAGATTTTCTTGGAAGATATTTCCATTTTCACCGTCGTCCTGAAAGCGCTCCAAATGTCCACTTCCAGGGAATGCAGAAAGAGTGTTTCCAACCTGCTCTATAAAAGGGAATGTTCAACACTGGGACTTCAATCGAAACATCCCAACGAAGTTTCTGAGAATGCTTCTGTCTAGAGTTTATATGAAGCCATTCCCGTTTGCAACGAAATCCTCAAAGCTATCCAAATATCCTCTTGCAGATTTTACAAAAAGAGTGTTTCAAAACTGCTCTATCAAAAGAAAGGTTCAACTCTGTTAGTTGAGGGCACACATCACAAATAAACTTCTGAGAATGCTTCTGTCTAGTTTTTACGGGAAGATATTTCCTTTTTCACCATACGCCTGAAAGCGCTCCAAATGTCCTCATCCAGATACTACAAAAAGAGTGTTTCCAACCTGCTCTATGAAAGGGAATGCTCAACTCTGTGAATTGAATGCAGACATCACAAAGAAGTTTCTGAGAATGCTGCTGTCTCCTTTTTATATGTAATCCCGTTTCCAACGAAATCCTCAAAGCTAGCCAAATATCCACTTGCAGATTCCACGAAAACAGTGTTTCAAAACTGCTCCTTCAAAACGATGGTTCAATCCTGTTAGTTGAGCAAACACATCACAAATAAGTTTCTGAGAATGCTTCCGTCTAGTTTTTATGGGAAGATATTTCCTTTTTCAACATAGGCCTGAAAGCGCTCCAAATGTCCACTTCCAGATACTACAAAAAGAGTGTTTCAAATCTGCTCTATGAATGGGAATGTTCTACTCTGTGACTTGAATGCAACATCCCAAAGAAGTTTCTGAGAATGCTTCTGTCTAGAGTTTATCTGAAGACATACCCGTTTCCAACGAAATCCTCCAAGCTATCCAAATATCCTCTTGCAGATTCTACAAAAAGAGTGTTTCAAAGCTGCTCTTTGCAAAGAAAGGTTCAACTCTGTCAGTAGAGGGGACACATCAAGAACAAGTTTCTGAGAATGCTTCTGTCTAGTTTTTATGGGAAGATATTTCCTTTTTCACGTTAGGCCTGAAAGCACGCCAAATGTTCACTTATAGACACTACAAAAAGAGTGTTTCAAACCTGCTCTGTGAAAGGGAATGTTCAACACTGTGACTTCAATTGAAACATCCCAAAGAAGTTTCTGAGAATGCTTCTGTCTAGAGTTTATCTGAAGACATTCCCGTTTCCCAAGAAATCCTCAAAGCTATCCAAATATCCTCTTGCAGATTCTACAAGAAGAGTGTTTCAAAACTGCTCTTTGCAAAGAAAGGTTCAACTCTGTCAGTAGAGGGCACACATCACAAACAAGTTTCTGAGAATGCTTCTGTCTAGTTTTTATGGGAAGATATTTCCTTTTTCACCTTAGGCCTGAAAGCAATCCATATGTTCACTTACAGACACTACAAAAACAGTGTTTGAAACCTGCTCTGTGAAAGGGGAGTGTTCAATTCTGTGACTTGAATGCAAACATCACAAAGTAGTTTCTGACAATGCTGCTGTCTGCTTTTTATACGTATTCCCGTTTCCAACGAAATCCTCCAAGCTGGCCTAATACCCACTTGCATATTCCACAAAAAGAGTGTTTCAAAACTGCTCTCTCAAAAGAAAGGTTCAACTCTGTTTGCTGAGTAGATACATCATGAAAAAAGTTCTGACATTGCTTCTATCTAGTTTTTATTGGAAGATATCTCCTTTTTCACCGTAGACCTGAAAGCGCTCCAAATGTCCACTTCCAGATAGTACAAAAAGAGTGTTTCAAACCTGCTCTATGAATGGGAATGTTCAACACTGGGACTTCAATTGAAACATCCCAAAGCAGTTTCTGAGAATGCTTCTGTCCAGAGTTTACATGAAGACATTCCCGTTTCCAACGAAATCCTCAAAGCTATCCAAATATCCTCTTGCAGATTTTACAAAAAGTGTGTTTCAGAACTGCTCTATCAAAACAAAGGTTCAACACTGTCAGTTGAGGGCACACATCACAAATAAGTTTCTGAGAATGCTTCTGTCTAGTTTTCATGGGAAGATATTTCCTTTTTCACCATAGGCCTGAAAGCGATCCAAATGTCCACATCCAGATACTACAAAAAGAGTGTTTCAAACCTGCTCTATGAAAGGGAATGTTCAACTCTGTGACTTGAATGCAAACATCACAAAGAAGTTTCTGAGAATGCTGCTGTCTGCTTTTTGTATGTAATCCCGTTTCCAACGAAATCCTCCCAGCTAGCCAAATATCCACTTGCAGATTCCGCAAAAAGAGTGTTTCAAAACTGCTCCTTCAAAACGATGGTTTAGTTCTGTTAGTTGAGTACATACATCACAGATAAGTTTCTGAGAATGCTTCTGTCTAGTTTTTATGGGAGGATATTTCCTTTTTCAACACAAGCCTGAATGCGCTCCGAATGGACACTTCCAGATATGACAAAAGGCGTGTTTCAAACCTGCTCTCTCAAAGGGAATGTTCAACTCTGTGACTTCAATGCAAACATCACAAAGAAGTTTCTGAGAATGCTGCTGTCTGCTTTTTACATGTATTCCCGTTTCCAACGAAATCCTCAAAGCTGCCCTAATATCCACTTGCATATTCCACAAAAAGAGTGTTGCAAAACTGCTCTCTCAAAAGAAAGGTTCAACTCTGTTAGCTGAGTAGATCCATCACAGAAAAGTTTCTGACGTTGCTTCTATCTAGATTTTCTTGGAAGATATTTCCATTTTCACCGTCGTCCTGAAAGCGCTCCAAATGTCCACTTCCAGGGAATGCAGAAAGAGTGTTTCCAACCTGCTCTATAAAAGGGAATGTTCAACACTGGGACTTCAATCGAAACATCCCAACGAAGTTTCTGAGAATGCTTCTGTCTAGAGTTTATATGAAGCCATTCCCGTTTGCAACGAAATCCTCAAAGCTATCCAAATATCCTCTTGCAGATTTTACAAAAAGAGTGTTTCAAAACTGCTCTATCAAAAGAAAGGTTCAACTCTGTTAGTTGAGGGCACACATCACAAATAAATTTCTGAGAATGCTTCTGTCTAGTTTTTACGGGAAGATATTTCCTTTTTCACCATACGCCTGAAAGCGCTCCAAATGTCCTCATCCAGATACTACAAAAAGAGTGTTTCCAACCTGCTCTATGAAAGGGAATGCTCAACTCTGTGACTTGAATGCAGACATCACAAAGAAGTTTCTGAGAATGCTGCTGTCTCCTTTTTATATGTAATCCCGTTTCCAACGAAATCCTCAAAGCTAGCCAAATATCCACTTGCAGATTCCACGAAAACAGTGTTTCAAAACTGCTCCTTTAAAACGATGGTTCAATTCTGTTAGTTGAGCAAACACATCACAAGTAAGTTTCTGAGAATGCTTCCGTCTAGTTTTTATGGGAAGATATTTCCTTTTTCAACATAGGCCTGAAAGCGCTCCAAATGTCCACTTCCAGATACTACAAAAAGAGTGTTTCAAATCTGCTCTATGAATGGGAATGTTCTACTCTGTGACTTGAATGCAACATCCCAAAGAAGTTTCTGAGAATGCTTCTGTCTAGAGTTTATCTGAAGACATACCCGTTTCCAACGAAATCCTCAAAGCTATCCAAATATCCTCTTGCAGATTCTACAAAAAGAGTGTTTCAAAGCTGCTCTTTGCAAAGAAAGGTTCAACTCTGTCAGTAGAGGGCACACATCACGAACAAGTTTCTGAGAATGCTTCTGTCTAGTTTTTATGGGAAGATATTTCCTTTTTCACCTTAGGCCTGAAAGCACGCCAAATGTTCACTTATAGACACTACAAAAAGAGTGTTTCAAACCTGCTCTGTGAAAGGGAGTGTTCAATTCTGTGACTTGAATGCAAACATCACAAAGTAGTTTCTGACAATGCTGCTGTCTGCTTTTTATACGTATTCCCGTTTCCAACGAAATCCTCCAAGCTGGCCTAATACCCACTTGCATATTCCACAAAAGGAGTGTTTCAAAACTGCTCTCTCAAAAGAAAGGTTCAACTCTGTTTGCTGAGTAGATACATCATGAAAAAAGTTCTGACATTGCTTCTATCTAGTTTTTATTGGAAGATATCTCCTTTTTCACCGTAGACCTGAAAGCGCTCCAAATGTCCACTTCCAGATAGTACAAAAAGAGTGTTTCAAACCTGCTCTATGAAAGGGAATGTTCAACACTGGGACTTCAATTGAAACATCCCAAAGCAGTTTCTGAGAATGCTTCTGTCTAGAGTTTACATGAAGACATTCCCGTTTCCAACGAAATCCTCAAAGCTATCCAAATATCCTCTTGCAGATTTTACAAAAAGTGTGTTTCAGAACTGCTCTATCAAAACAAAGGTTCAACACTGTCAGTTGAGGGCACACATCACAAATAAGTTTCTGAGAATGCTTCTGTCTAGTTTTCATGGGAAGATATTTCCTTTTTCACCATAGGCCTGAAAGCGATCCAAATGTCCACATCCAGATACTACAAAAAGAGTGTTTCAAACCTGCTCTATGAAAGGGAATGTTCAACTCTGTGACTTGAATGCAAACATCACAAAGAAGTTTCTGAGAATGCTGCTGTCTGCTTTTTGTATGTAATCCCGTTTCCAACGAAATCCTCCCAGCTAGCCAAATATCCACTTGCAGATTCCGCAAAAAGAGTGTTTCAAAACTGCTCCTTCAAAACGATGGTTTAGTTCTGTTAGTTGAGTACATACATCACAGATAAGTTTCTGAGAATGCTTCTGTCTAGTTTTTATGGGAGGATATTTCCTTTTTCAACACAAGCCTGAATGCGCTCCGAATGGACACTTCCAGATATGACAAAAGGCGTGTTTCAAACCTGCTCTCTCAAAGGGAATGTTCAACTCTGTGACTTCAATGCAAACATCACAAAGAAGTTTCTGAGAATGCTGCTGTCTGCTTTTTACATGTATTCCCGTTTCCAACGAAATCCTCAAAGCTGCCCTAATATCCACTTGCATATTCCACAAAAAGAGTGTTGCAAAACTGCTCTCTCAAAAGAAAGGTTCAACTCTGTTAGCTGAGTAGATCCATCACAGAAAAGTTTCTGACGTTGCTTCTATCTAGATTTTCTTGGAAGATATTTCCATTTTCACCGTCGTCCTGAAAGCGCTCCAAATGTCCACTTCCAGGGAATGCAGAAAGAGTGTTTCCAACCTGCTCTATAAAAGGGAATGTTCAACACTGGGACTTCAATCGAAACATCCCAACGAAGTTTCTGAGAATGCTTCTGTCTAGAGTTTATATGAAGCCATTCCCGTTTGCAACGAAATCCTCAAAGCTATCCAAATATCCTCTTGCAGATTTTACAAAAAGAGTGTTTCAAAACTGCTCTATCAAAAGAAAGGTTCAACTCTGTTAGTTGAGGGCACACATCACAAATAAATTTCTGAGAATGCTTCTGTCTAGTTTTTACGGGAAGATATTTCCTTTTTCACCATACGCCTGAAAGCGCTCCAAATGTCCTCATCCAGATACTACAAAAAGAGTGTTTCCAACCTGCTCTATGAAAGGGAATGCTCAACTCTGTGACTTGAATGCAGACATCACAAAGAAGTTTCTGAGAATGCTGCTGTCTCCTTTGTATATGTAATCCCGTTTCCAACGAAATCCTCAAAGCTAGCCAAATATCCACTTGCAGATTCCACGAAAACAGTGTTTCAAAACTGCTCCTTCAAAACGATGGTTCAATCCTGTTAGTTGAGCAAACACATCACAAATAAGTTTCTGAGAATGCTTCCGTCTAGTTTTTATGGGAAGATATTTCCTTTTTCAACATAGGCCTGAAAGCGCTCCAAATGTCCACTTCCAGATACTACAAAAAGAGTGTTTCAAATCTGCTCTATGAATGGGAATGTTCTACTCTGTGACTTGAATGCAACATCCCAAAGAAGTTTCTGAGAATGCTTCTGTCTAGAGTTTATCTGAAGTCATACCCGTTTCCAACGAAATCCTCAAAGCTATCCAAATATCCTCTTGCAGATTCTACAAAAAGAGTGTTTCAAAGCTGCTCTTTGCAAAGAAAGGTTCAACTCTGTCAGTAGAGGGGACACATCAAGAACAAGTTTCTGAGAATGCTTCTGTCTAGTTTTTATGGGAAGATATTTCCTTTTTCACGTTACGCCTGAAAGCACGCCAAATGTTCACTTATAGACACTACAAAAAGAGTGTTTCAAACCTGCTCTGTGAAAGGGAATGTTCAACACTGTGACTTCAATTGAAACATCCCAAAGAAGTTTCTGAGAATGCTTCTGTCTAGAGTTTATCTGAAGACATTCCCGTTTCCCAAGAAATCCTCAAAGCTATCCAAATATCCTCTTGCAGATTCTACAAAAAGAGTGTTTCAAAACTGCTCTTTGCAAAGAAAGGTTCAACTCTGTCAGTAGAGGGCACACATCACAAACAAGTTTCTGAGAATGCTTCTGTCTAGTTTTTATGGGAAGATATTTCCTTTTTCACCTTAGGCCTGAAAGCAATCCATATGTTCACTTACAGACACTACAAAAAGAGTGTTTCAAACCTGCTCTGTGAAAGGGAGTGTTCAATTCTGTGACTTGAATGCAAACATCACAAAGTAGTTTCTGACAATGCTGCTGTCTGCTTTTTTATACGTATTCCCGTTTCCAACGAAATCCTCCAAGCTGGCCTAATACCCACTTGCATATTCCACAAAGACAGTGTCAAAACTGCTCTCTCAAAAGAAAGGTTCAACTCTGTTTGCTGAGTAGATACATCATGAAAATAGTTCTGACATTGCTTCTATCTAGTTTTTATTGGAAGATATCTCCTTTTTCACCGTAGACCTGAAAGCGCTCCAAATGTCCACTTCCAGATAGTAGAAAAAGAGTGTTTCAAACCTGCTCTATGAATGGGAATGTTCAACACTGGGACTTCAATTGAAACATCCCAAAGCAGTTTCTGAGAATGCTTCTGTGTAGAGTTTACATGAAGACATTCCCGTTTCCAACGAAATCCTCAAAGCTATCCAAATATCCTCTTGCAGATTTTACAAAAAGTGTGTTTCAGAACTGCTCTATCAAAACAAAGGTTCAACACTGTCAGTTGAGGGCACACATCACAAATAAGTTTCTGAGAATGCTTCTGTCTAGTTTTCATGGGAAGATATTTCCTTTTTCACCATAGGCCTGAAAGCGATCCAAATGTCCACATCCAGATACTACAAAAAGAGTGTTTCAAACCTGCTCTATGAAAGGGAATGTTCAACTCTGTGACTTGAATGCAAACATCACAAAGAAGTTTCTGAGAATGCTGCTGTCTCCTTTTTATATGTAATCCCGTTTCCAACGAAATCCTCAAAGCTAGCCAAATATCCACTTGCAGATTCCACGAAAACAGTGTTTCAAAACTGCTCCTTCAAAACGATGGTTCAATCCTGTTAGTTGAGCAAACACATCACAAATAAGTTTCTGAGAATGCTTCCGTCTAGTTTTTATGGGAAGATATTTCCTTTTTCAACATAGGCCTGAAAGCGCTCCAAATGTCCACTTCCAGATACTACAAAAAGAGTGTTTCAAATCTGCTCTATGAATGGGAATGTTCTACTCTGTGACTTGAATGCAACATCCCAAAGAAGTTTCTGAGAATGCTTCTGTCTAGAGTTTATCTGAAGACATACCCGTTTCCAACGAAATCCTCAAAGCTATCCAAATATCCTCTTGCAGATTCTACAAAAAGTGTGTTTCAAAGCTGCTCTTTGCAAAGAAAGGTTCAACTCTATCAGTAGAGGGCACACATCACGAACAAGTTTGCTGAGAATGCTTTCTGTCTAATTTTTATGGGAAGATATTTCCTTTTTCACGTTACGCCTGAAAGCACGCCAAATGTTCACTTATAGACACTACAAAAAGAGTGTTTCAAACCTGCTCTGTGAAAGGGAATGTTCAACACTGTGACTTCAATTGAAACATCCCAAAGAAGTTTCTGAGAATGCTTCTGTCTAGAGTTTATCTGAAGACATTCCCGTTTCCCAAGAAATCCTCAAAGCTATCCAAATATCCTCTTGCAGATTCTACAAAAAGAGTGTTTCAAAACTGCTCTTTGCAAAGAAAGGTTCAACTCTGTCAGTAGAGGGCACACATCACAAACAAGTTTCTGAGAATGCTTCTGTCTAGTTTTTATGGGAAGATATTTCCTTTTTCACCTTAGGCCTGAAAGCAATCCAAATGTTCACTTACAGACACTACAAAAAGAGTGTTTCAAACCTGCTCTGTGAAAGGGAGTGTTCAATTCTGTGACTTGAATGCAAACATCACAAAGTAGTTTCTGACAATGCTGCTGTCTGCTTTTTATACGTATTCCCGTTTCCAACGAAATCCTCCAAGCTGGCCTAATACCCACTTGCATATTCCACAAAGACTGTTTCAAAACTGCTCTCTCAAAAGAAAGGTTCAACTCTGTTTGCTGAGTAGATACATCATGAAAAAAGTTCTGACATTGCTTCTATCTAGTTTTTATTGGAAGATATCTCCTTTTTCACCGTAGACCTGAAAGCGCTCCAAATGTCCACTTCCAGATAGTACAAAAAGAGTGTTTCAAACCTGCTCTATGAATGGGAATGTTCAACACTGGGACTTCAATTGAAACATCCCAAAGCAGTTTCTGAGAATGCTTCTGTCTAGAGTTTACATGAAGACATTCCCGTTTCCAACGAAATCCTCAAAGCTATCCAAATATCCTCTTGCAGATTTTACAAAAAGTGTGTTTCAGAACTGCTCTATCAAAACAAAGGTTCAACACTGTCAGTTGAGGGCACACATCACAAATAAGTTTCTGAGAATGCTTCTGTCTAGTTTTCATGGGAAGATATTTCCTTTTTCACCATAGGCCTGAAAGCGATCCAAATGTCCACATCCAGATACTACAAAAAGAGTGTTTCAAACCTGCTCTATGAAAGGGAATGTTCAACTCTGTGACTTGAATGCAAACATCACAAAGAAGTTTCTGAGAATGCTGCTGTCTGCTTTTTGTATGTAATCCCGTTTCCAACGAAATCCTCCCAGCTAGCCAAATATCCACTTGCAGATTCCGCAAAAAGAGTGTTTCAAAACTGCTCCTTCAAAACGATGGTTTAGTTCTGTTAGTTGAGTACATACATCACAGATAAGTTTCTGAGAATGCTTCTGTCTAGTTTTTATGGGAGGATATTTTCTTTTTCAACACAAGCCTGAATGCGCTCCGAATGGACACTTCCAGATATGACAAAAGGCGTGTTTCAAACCTGCTCTCTCAAAGGGAATGTTCAACTCTGTGACTTCAATGCAAACATCACAAAGAAGTTTCTGAGAATGCTGCTGTCTGCTTTTTACATGTATTCCCGTTTCCAACGAAATCCTCAAAGCTGCCCTAATATCCACTTGCATATTCCACAAAAAGAGTGTTGCAAAACTGCTCTCTCAAAAGAAAGGTTCAACTCTGTTAGCTGAGTAGATCCATCACAGAAAAGTTTCTGACGTTGCTTCTATCTAGATTTTCTTGGAAGATATTTCCATTTTCACCGTCGTCCTGAAAGCGCTCCAAATGTCCACTTCCAGGGAATGCAGAAAGAGTGTTTCCAACCTGCTCTATAAAAGGGAATGTTCAACACTGGGACTTCAATCGAAACATCCCAACGAAGTTTCTGAGAATGCTTCTGTCTAGAGTTTATATGAAGCCATTCCCGTTTGCAACGAAATCCTCAAAGCTATCCAAATATCCTCTTGCAGATTTTACAAAAAGAGTGTTTCAAAACTGCTCTATCAAAAGAAAGGTCCAACTCTGTTAGTTGAGGGCACACATCACAAATAAACTTCTGAGAATGCTTCTGTCTAGTTTTTACGGGAAGATATTTCCCTTTTCACCATACGCCTGAAAGCGCTCCAAATGTCCTCATCCAGATACTACAAAAAGAGTGTTTCCAACCTGCTCTATGAAAGGGAATGCTCAACTCTGTGAATTGAATGCAGACATCACAAAGAAGTTTCTGAGAATGCTGCTGTCTCCTTTTTATATGTAATCCCGTTTCCAACGAAATCCTCAAAGCTAGCCAAATATCCACTTGCAGATTCCACGAAAACAGTGTTTCAAAACTGCTCCTTCAAAACGATGGTTCAATCCTGTTAGTTGAGCAAACTCATCACAATTAAGTTTCTGAGAATGCTTCCGTCTAGTTTTTATGGGAAGATATTTCCTTTTTCAACATAGGCCTGAAAGCGCTCCAAATGTCCACTTCCAGATAGTACAAAAAGAGTGTTTCAAATCTGCTCTATGAATGGGAATGTTCTACTCTGTGACTTGCATGCAACATCCCAAAGAAATTTCTGAGAATGCTTCTGTCTAGAGTTTATCTGAAGACATACCCGTTTCCCAAGAAATCCTCAAAGCTATCCAAATATCCTCTTGCAGATTCTACAAAAAGTGTGTTTCAAAGCTGCTCTTTGCAAAGAAAGGTTCAACTCTGTCAGTAGAGGGCACACATCACGAACAAGTTTCTGAGAATGCTTCTGTCTAGTTTTTATGGGAAGATATTTCCTTTTTCACGTTACGCCTGAAAGCACGCCAAATGTTCACTTATAGACACTACAAAAAGAGTGTTTCAAACCTGCTCTGTGAAAGGGAATGTTCAACACTGTGACTTCAATTGAAACATCCCAAAGAAGTTTCTGAGAATGCTTCTGTCTAGAGTTTATCTGAAGACATTCCCGTTTCCCAAGAAATCCTCAAAGCTATCCAAATATCCTCTTGCAGATTCTACAAAAAGAGTGTTTCAAAACTGCTCTTTGCAAAGAAAGGTTCAACTCTGTCAGTAGAGGGCACACATCACAAACAAGTTTCTGAGAATGCTTCTGTCTAGTTTTTATGGGAAGATATTTCCTTTTTCACCTTAGGCCTGAAATCAATCCAAATGTTCACTTACAGACACTACAAAAAGAGTGTTTCAAACCTGCTCTGTGAAAGGGAGTGTTCAATTCTGTGACTTGAATGCAAACATCACAAAGTAGTTTCTGACAATGCTGCTGTCTGCTTTTTATACGTATTCCCGTTTCCAACGAAATCCTCCAAGCTGGCCTAATACCCACTTGCATATTCCACAAAAAGAGTGTTTCAAAACTGCTCTCTCAAAAGAAAGGTTCAACTCTGTTAGCTGA
Source organism: Homo sapiens (assembly GCF_000001405.40). Classification (NCBI taxonomy): domain Eukaryota; kingdom Metazoa; phylum Chordata; class Mammalia; order Primates; family Hominidae; genus Homo; species Homo sapiens. The sequence goes on along the minus strand of NC_000020.11, from coordinate 26,864,000 downwards.
GTAGATACATCATGAAAAAAGTTCTGACATTGCTTCTATCTAGTTTTTATTGGAAGATATCTCCTTTTTCACCGTAGACCTGAAAGCGCTCCAAATGTCCACTTCCAGATAGTACAAAAAGAGTGTTTCAAACCTGCTCTATGAATGGGAATGTTCAACACTGGGACTTCAATTGAAACATCCCAAAGCAGTTTCTGAGAATGCTTCTGTGTAGAGTTTACATGAAGACATTCCCGTTTCCAACGAAATCCTCAAAGCTATCCAAATATCCTCTTGCAGATTTTACAAAAAGTGTGTTTCAGAACTGCTCTATCAAAACAAAGGTTCAACACTGTCAGTTGAGGGCACACATCACAAATAAGTTTCTGAGAATGCTTCTGTCTAGTTTTCATGGGAAGATATTTCCTTTTTCACCATAGGCCTGAAAGCGATCCAAATGTCCACATCCAGATACTACAAAAAGAGTGTTTCAAACCTGCTCTATGAAAGGGAATGTTCAACTCTGTGACTTGAATGCAAACATCACAAAGAAGTTTCTGAGAATGCTGCTGTCTGCTTTTTGTATGTAATCCCGTTTCCAACGAAATCCTCCCAGCTAGCCAAATATCCACTTGCAGATTCCGCAAAAAGAGTGTTTCAAAACTGCTCCTTCAAAACGATGGTTTAGTTCTGTTAGTTGAGTACATACATCACAGATAAGTTTCTGAGAATGCTTCTGTCTAGTTTTTATGGGAGGATATTTCCTTTTTCAACACAAGCCTGAATGCGCTCCGAATGGACACTTCCAGATATGACAAAAGGCGTGTTTCAAACCTGCTCTCTCAAAGGGAATGTTCAACTCTGTGACTTCAATGCAAACATCACAAAGAAGTTTCTGAGAATGCTGCTGTCTGCTTTTTACATGTATTCCCGTTTCCAACGAAATCCTCAAAGCTGCCCTAATATCCACTTGCATATTCCACAAAAAGAGTGTTGCAAAACTGCTCTCTCAAAAGAAAGGTTCAACTCTGTTAGCTGAGTAGATCCATCTCATAAAAGTTTCTGACATTGCTTCTATCTAGATTTTCTTGGAAGATATTTCCATTTTCACCGTCGTCCTGAAAGCGCTCCAAATGTCCACTTCCAGGGAATGCAGAAAGAGTGTTTCCAACCTGCTCTATAAAAGGGAATGTTCAACACTGGGACTTCAATCGAAACATCCCAACGAAGTTTCTGAGAATGCTTCTGTCTAGAGTTTATATGAAGCCATTCCCGTTTGCAACGAAATCCTCAAAGCTATCCAAATATCCTCTTGCAGATTTTACAAAAAGAGTGTTTCAAAACTGCTCTATCAAAAGAAAGGTTCAACTCTGTTAGTTGAGGGCACACATCACAAATAAATTTCTGAGAATGCTTCTGTCTAGTTTTTACGGGAAGATATTTCCTTTTTCACCATACGCCTGAAAGCGCTCCAAATGTCCTCATCCAGATACTACAAAAAGAGTGTTTCCAACCTTCTCTATGAAAGGGAATGCTCAACTCTGTGACTTGAATGCAGACATCACAAAGAAGTTTCTGAGAATGCTGCTGTCTCCTTTTTATATGTAATCCCGTTTCCAACGAAATCCTCAAAGCTAGCCAAATATCCACTTGCAGATTCCACGAAAACAGTGTTTCAAAACTGCTCCTTCAAAACGATGGTTCAATTCTGTTAGTTGAGCAAACACATCACAAGTAAGTTTCTGAGAATGCTTCCGTCTAGTTTTTATGGGAAGATATTTCCTTTTTCAACATAGGCCTGAAAGCGCTCCAAATGTCCACTTCCAGATACTACAAAAAGAGTGTTTCAAATCTGCTCTATGAATGGGAATGTTCTACTCTGTGACTTGAATGCAACATCCCAAAGAAGTTTCTGAGAATGCTTCTGTCTAGAGTTTATCTGAAGACATACCCGTTTCCAACGAAATCCTCCAAGCTATCCAAATATCCTCTTGCAGATTCTACAAAAAGAGTGTTTCAAAGCTGCTCTTTGCAAAGAAAGGTTCAACTCTGTCAGTAGAGGGCACACATCATGAACAAGTTTCTGAGAATGCTTCTGTCTAGTTTTTATGGGAAGATATTTCCTTTTTCACGTTAGGCCTGAAAGCACGCCAAATGTTCACTTATAGACACTACAAAAAGAGTGTTTCAAACCTGCTCTGTGAAAGGGAATGTTCAACACTGTGACTTCAATTGAAACATCCCAAAGAAGTTTCTGAGAATGCTTCTGTCTGGAGTTTATCTGAAGACATACCCGTTTCCAACGAAATCCTCAAAGCTATCCACATATCCTCTTGCAGATTCTACAAAAAGAGTGTTTCAAAGCTGCTCTTTGCAAAGAAAGGTTCAACTCTGTCAGTAGAGGGCACACATCACGAACAAGTTTCTGAGAATGCTTCTGTCTAGTTTTTATGGGAAGATATTTCCTTTTTCACATTAGGCCTGAAAGCACGCCAAATGTTCACTTATAGACACTACAAAAAGAGTGTTTCAAACCTGCTCTGTGAAAGGAAATGTTCAACACTGTGACTTCAATTGAAACATCCCAAAGAAGTTTGCTGAGAATGCTTCTGTCTAGAGTTTATCTGAAGACATTCCCGTTTCCCAAGAAATCCTCAAAGCTATCCAAATATCCTTTTGCAGATTCTACAAAAAGAGTGTTTCAAAACTGCTCTTTGCAAAGAAAGGTTCAACTCTGTCAGTAGAGGGCACACATCACAAACAAGTTTCTGAGAATGCTTCTGTCTAGTTTTTATGGGAAGATATTTCCTTTTTCACCTTAGGCCTGAAAGCAATCCAAATGTTCACTTACAGACACTACAAAAAGAGTGTTTCAAACCTGCTCTGTGAAAGGGAGTGTTCAATTCTGTGACTTGAATGCAAACATCACAAAGTAGTTTCTGACAATGCTGCTGTCTGCTTTTTATACGTATTCCCGTTTCCAACGAAATCCTCCAAGCTGGCCTAATACCCACTTGCATATTCCACAAAAAGAGTGTTTCAAAACTGCTCTCCCAAAAGAAAGGTTCAACTCTGTTTGCTGAGTAGATACATCATGAAAAAAGTTCTGACATTGCTTCTATCTAGTTTTTATTGGAAGATATCTCCTTTTTCACCGTAGACCTGAAAGCGCTCCAAATGTCCACTTCCAGATAGTACAAAAAGAGTGTTTCAAACCTGCTCTATGAAAGGGAATGTTCAACACTGGGACTTCAATTGAAATATCCCAAAGCAGTTTCTGAGAATGCTTCTGTCTAGAGTTTACATGAAGACATTCCCGTTTCCAACGAAATCCTCAAAGCTATCCAAATATCCTCTTGCAGATTTTACAAAAAGTGTGTTTCAGAACTGCTCTATCAAAACAAAGGTTCAACACTGTCAGTTGAGGGCACACATCACAAATAAGTTTCTGAGAATGCTTCTGTCTAGTTTTCATGGGAAGATATTTCCTTTTTCACCATAGGCCTGAAAGCGATCCAAATGTCCACATCCAGATACTACAAAAAGAGTGTTTCAAACCTGCTCTATGAAAGGGAATGTTCAACTCTGTGACTTGAATGCAAACATCACAAAGAAGTTCTGAGAATGCTGCTGTCTGCTTTTTGTATGTAATCCCGTTTCCAACGAAATCCTCCCAGCTAGCCAAATATCCACTTGCAGATTCCGCAAAAAGAGTGTTTCAAAACTGCTCCTTCAAAACGATGGTTTAGTTCTGTTAGTTGAGTACATACATCACAGATAAGTTTCTGAGAATGCTTCTGTCTAGTTTTTATGGGAGGATATTTCCTTTTTCAACACAAGCCTGAATGCGCTCCGAATGGACACTTCCAGATATGACAAAAGGCGTGTTTCAAACCTGCTCTCTCAAAGGGAATGTTCAACTCTGTGACTTCAATGCAAACATCACAAAGAAGTTTCTGAGAATGCTGCTGTCTGCTTTTTACATGTATTCCCGTTTCCAACGAAATCCTCAAAGCTGCCCTAATATCCACTTGCATATTCCACAAAAAGAGTGTTGCAAAACTGCTCTCTCAAAAGAAAGGTTCAACTCTGTTAGCTGAGTAGATCCATCACATAAAAGTTTCTGACATTGCTTCTATCTAGATTTTCTTGGAAGATATTTCCATTTTCACCGTCGTCCTGAAAGCGCTCCAAATGTCCACTTCCAGGGAATGCAGAAAGAGTGTTTCCAACCTGCTCTATAAAAGGGAATGTTCAACACTGGGACTTCAATCGAAACATCCCAACGACGTTTCTGAGAATGCTTCTGTCTAGAGTTTATATGAAGCCATTCCCGTTTGCAACGAAATCCTCAAAGCTATCCAAATATCCTCTTGCAGATTTTACAAAAAGAGTGTTTCAAAACTGCTCTATCAAAAGAAAGGTTCAACTCTGTTAGTTGAGGGCACACATCACAAATAAATTTCTGAGAATGCTTCTGTCTAGTTTTTACGGGAAGATATTTCCTTTTTCACCATAGGCCTGAAAGCGCTCCAAATGTCCTCATCCAGATACTACAAAAAGAGTGTTTCCAACCTGCTCTATGAAAGGGAATGCTCAACTCTGTGACTTGAATGCAGACATCACAAAGAAGTTTCTGAGAATGCTGCTGTCTCCTTTTTATATGTAATCCCGTTTCCAACGAAATCCTCAAGGCTAGCCAAATATCCACTTGCAGATTCCACGAAAACAGTGTTTCAAAACTGCTCCTTCAAAACGATGGTTCAATTCTGTTAGTTGAGCAAACACATCACAAGTAAGTTTCTGAGAATGCTTCCGTCTAGTTTTTATGGGAAGATATTTCCTTTTTCAACATAGGCCTGAAAGCGCTCCAAATGTCCACTTCCAGATACTACAAAAAGAGTGTTTCAAATCTGCTCTATGAATGGGAATGTTCTACTCTGTAACTTGAATGCAACATCCCAAAGAAGTTTCTGAGAATGCTTCTGTCTAGAGTTTATCTGAAGACATACCCGTTTCCAACGAAATCCTCCAAGCTATCCAAATATCCTCTTGCAGATTCTACAAAAAGAGTGTTTCAAAGCTGCTCTTTGCAAAGAAAGGTTCAACTCTGTCAGTAGAGGGCACACATCACGAACAAGTTTCTGAGAATGCTTCTGTCTAGTTTTTATGGGAAGATATTTCCTTTTTCACGTTAGGCCTGAAAGCACGCCAAATGTTCACTTATAGACACTACAAAAAGAGTGTTTCAAACCTGCTCTGTGAAAGGGAATGTTCAACACTGTGACTTCAATTGAAACATCCCAAAGAAGTTTCTGAGAATGCTTCTGTCTAGAGTTTATCTGAAGACATTCCTGTTTCCCAAGAAATCCTCAAAGCTATCCAAATATCCTCTTGCAGATTCTACAAAAAGAGTGTTTCAAAACTGCTCTTTGCAAAGAAAGGTTCAACTCTGTCAGTAGAGGGCACACATCACAAACAAGTTTCTGAGAATGCTTCTGTCTAGTTTTTATGGGAAGATATTTCCTTTTTCACCTTAGGCCTGAAAGCAATCCAAATGTTCACTTACAGACACTACAAAAAGAGTGTTTCAAACCTGCTCTGTGAAAGGGAGTGTTCAATTCTGTGACTTGAATGCAAACATCACAAAGTAGTTTCTGACAATGCTGCTGTCTGCTTTTTATACGTATTCCCGTTTCCAACGAAATCCTCCAAGCTGGCCTAATACCCACTTGCATATTCCACAAAAAGAGTGTTTCAAAACTGCTCTCTCAAACGAAAGGTTCAACTCTGTTTGCTGAGTAGATACATCATGAAAAAAGTTCTGACATTGCTTCTATCTAGTTTTTATTGGACGATATCTCCTTTTTCACCGTAGACCTGAAAGCGCTCCAAATGTCCACTTCCAGATAGTACAAAAAGAGTGTTTCAAACCTGCTCTATGAAAGGGAATGTTCAACACTGGGACTTCAATTGAAACATCCCAAAGCAGTTTCTGAGAATGCTTCTGTCCAGAGTTTACATGAAGACATTCCCGTTTGCAACGAAATCCTCAAAGCTATCCAAATATCCTCTTGCAGATTTTACAAAAAGTGTGTTTCAGAACTGCTCTATCAAAACAAAGGTTCAACACTGTCAGTTGAGGGCACACATCACAAATAAGTTTCTGAGAATGCTTCTGTCTAGTTTTCATGGGAAGATATTTCCTTTTTCACCATAGGCCTGAAAGCGATCCAAATGTCCACATCCAGATACTACAAAAAGAGTGTTTCAAACCTGCTCTATGAAAGGGAATGTTCAACTCTGTGACTTGAATGCAAACATCACAAAGAAGTTTCTGAGAATGCTGCTGTCTGCTTTTTGTATGTAATCCCGTTTCCAACGAAATCCTCCCAGCTAGCCAAATATCCACTTGCAGATTCCGCAAAAAGAGTGTTTCAAAACTGCTCCTTCAAAACGATGGTTTAGTTCTGTTAGTTGAGTACATACATCACAGATAAGTTTCTGAGAATGCTTCCGTCCTAGTTTTTATGGGAGGATATTTCCTTTTTCAACACAAGCCTGAATGCGCTCCGAATGGACACTTCCAGATATGACAAAAGGCGTGTTTCAAACCTGCTCTCTCAAAGGGAATGTTCAACTCTGTGACTTCAATGCAAACATCACAAAGAAGTTTCTGAGAATGCTGCTGTCTGCTTTTTACATGTATTCCCGTTTCCAACGAAATCCTCAAAGCTGCCCTAATATCCACTTGCATATTCCACAAAAAGAGTGTTGCAAAACTGCTCTCTCAAAAGAAAGCTTCAACTCTGTTAGCTGAGTAGATCCATCACATAAAAGTTTCTGACATTGCTTCTATCTAGATTTTCTTGGAAGATATTTCCATTTTCACCGTCGTCCTGAAAGCGCTCCAAATGTCCACTTCCAGGGAATGCAGAAAGAGTGTTTCCAACCTGCTCTATAAAAGGGAATGTTCAACACTGGGACTTCAATCGAAACATCCCAACGAAGTTTCTGAGAATGCTTCTGTCTAGAGTTTATATGAAGCCATTCCCGTTTGCAACGAAATCCTCAAAGCTATCCAAATATCCTCTTGCAGATTTTACAAAAAGAGTGTTTCAAAACTGCTCTATCAAAAGAAAGGTTCAACTCTGTTAGTTGAGGGCACACATCACAAATAAACTTCTGAGAATGCTTCTGTCTAGTTTTTACAGGAAGATATTTCCTTTTTCACCATAGGCCAGAAAGCGCTCCAAATGTCCTCATCCAGATACTACAAAAAGAGTGTTTCCAACCTGCTCTATGAAAGGGAATGCTCAACTCTGTGAATTGAATGCAGACATCACAAAGAAGTTTCTGAGAATGCTGCTGTCTCCTTTGTATATGTAATCCCGTTTCCAACGAAATCCTCAAAGCTAGCCAAATATCCACTTGCAGATTCCACGAAAACAGTGTTTCAAAACTGCTCCTTCAAAACGATGGTTCAATCCTGTTAGTTGAGCAAACACATCACAAAGAAGTTTCTGAGAATGCTTCCGTCTAGTTTTTATGGGAAGATATTTCGTTTTTCCACATAGACCTGAAAGCGCTCCAAATGTCCACTTCCAGATACTACAAAAAGAGTGTTTCAAATCTGCTCTGTGAATGGGAATGTTCTACTCTGTGACTTGAATGCAACATCCCAAAGAAGTTTCTGAGAATGCTTCTGTCTAGAGTTTATCTGAAGACATACCCGTTTCCAACGAAATCCTCAAAGCTATCCAAATATCCTCTTGCAGATTCTACAAATGAGTGTTTCAAAGCTGCTCTTTGCAAAGAAAGGTTCAACTCTGTCAGTAGAGGGCACACATCACAAACAAGTTTCTGAGAATGCTTCTGTCTAGTTTTTATGGGAAGATATTTCCTTTTTCACGTTGGGCCTGAAAGCACACCAAATGTTCACTTATAGACACTACAAAAAGAGTGTTTCAAACCTGCTCTGTGAAAGGGAATGTTCAACACTGTGACTTCAATTGAAACATCCCAAAGAAGTTTCTGAGAATGCTTCTGTCTAGAGTTTATCTGAAGACATAACCGTTTCCAACGAAATCCTCAAAGCTATCCAAATAGCCTCTTGCAGATTCTACAAAAAGAGTGTTTCAAAGCTGCTCTTTGCAAGGAAAGGTTCAACTCTGTCAGTAGAGGGCACACATCACAAACAAGTTTCTGAGAATGCTTCTGTCTAGTTTTTATGGGAAGATATTTCCTTTTTCACCTTAGGCCTGTAAGCAATCCAAATGTTCACTTACAGACACTACAAAAAGAGTGTTTCGAACCTGCTCTGTGAAAGGGAGTGTTCAATTCTGTGACTTGAATGCAAACATCACAAAGTAGTTTCTGACAATGCTGCTGTCTGCTTTTTATACGTATTCCCGTTTCCAACGAAATCCTCCAAGCCGGCCTAATACCCACTTTCATATTCCACAAAAAGAGTGTTTCAAAACTGCTCTCTCAAAAGAAAGGTTCAACTCTGTTTGCTGAGTAGATACATCATGAAAAAAGTTCTGACATTGCTTCTATCTAGTTTTTATTGGAAGATATCCCCTTTTTCACCGTAGACCTGAAAGCGCTCCAAATGTCCACTTCCAGATAGTACAAAAAGAGTGTTTCAAACCTGCTCTATGAAAGGGAATGTTCAACACTGGGACTTCAATTGAAACATCCCAAAGCAGTTTCTGAGAATGCTTCTGTCTAGAGTTTACATGAAGACATTCCCGTTTCCAACGAAATCCTCAAAGCTATCCAAATATCCTCTTGCAGATTTTACAAAAAGTGTGTTTCAGAACTGCTCTATCAAAACAAAGGTTCAACACTGTCAGTTGAGGGCACACATCACAAATAAGTTTCTGAGAATGCTTCTGTCTAGTTTTCATGGGAAGATATTTCCTTTTTCACCATAGGCCTGAAAGCGATCCAAATGTCCACATCCAGATACTACAAAAAGAGTGTTTCAAACCTGCTCTATGAAAGGGAATGTTCAACTCTGTGACTTGAATGCAAACATCACAAAGAAGTTTCTGAGAATGCTGCTGTCTGCTTTTTGTATGTAATCCCGTTTCCAACGAAATCCTCCCAGCTAGCCAAATATCCACTTGCAGATTCCGCAAAAAGAGTGTTTCAAAACTGCTCCTTCAAAACGATGGTTTAGTTCTGTTAGTTGAGTACATACATCACTGATAAGTTTCTGAGAATGCTTCTGTCTAGTTTTTATGGGAGGATATTTCCTTTTTCAACACAAGCCTGAATGCGCTCCGAATGGACACTTCCAGATATGACAAAAGGCGTGTTTCAAACCTGCTCTCTCAAAGGGAATGTTCAACTCTGTGACTTCAATGCAAACATCACAAAGAAGTTTTCTGAGAATGCTTGCTGTCTGCTTTTTACATGTATTCCCGTTTCCAACGAAATCCTCAAAGCTGCCCTAATATCCACTTGCATATTCCACAAAAAGAGTGTTGCAAAACTGCTCTCTCAAAAGAAAGGTTCAACTCTGTTAGCTGAGTAGATCCATCACAGAAAAGTTTCTGACGTTGCTTCTATCTAGATTTTCTTGGAAGATATTTCCATTTTCACCGTCGTCCTGAAAGCGCTCCAAATGTCCACTTCCAGGGAATGCAGAAAGAGTGTTTCCAACCTGCTCTATAAAAGGGAATGTTCAACACTGGGACTTCAATCGAAACATCCCAACGAAGTTTCTGAGAATGCTTCTGTCTAGAGTTTATATGAAGCCATTCCCGTTTGCAACGAAATCCTCAAAGCTATCCAAATATCCTCTTGCAGATTTTACAAAAAGAGTGTTTCAAAACTGCTCTATCAAAAGAAAGGTTCAACTCTGTTAGTTGAGGGCACACATCACAAATAAATTTCTGAGAATGCTTCTGTCTAGTTTTTACGGGAAGATATTTCCTTTTTCACCATACGCCTGAAAGCGCTCCAAATGTCCTCATCCAGATACTACAAAAAGAGTGTTTCCAACCTGCTCTATGAAAGGGAATGCTCAACTCTGTGACTTGAATGCAGACATCACAAAGAAGTTTCTGAGAATGCTGCTGTCTCCTTTTTATATGTAATCCCGTTTCCAACGAAATCCTCAAAGCTAGCCAAATATCCACTTGCAGATTCCACGAAAACAGTGTTTCAAAACTGCTCCTTCAAAACGATGGTTCAATTCTGTTAGTTGAGCAAACACATCACAAGTAAGTTTCTGAGAATGCTTCCGTCTAGTTTTTATGGGAAGATATTTCCTTTTTCAACATAGGCCTGAAAGCGCTCCAAATGTCCACTTCCAGATACTACAAAAAGAGTGTTTCAAATCTGCTCTATGAATGGGAATGTTCTACTCTGTGACTTGAATGCAACATCCCAAAGAAGTTTCTGAGAATGCTTCTGTCTAGAGTTTATCTGAAGACATACCCGTTTCCAACGAAATCCTCAAAGCTATCCAAATATCCTCTTGCAGATTCTACAAAAAGAGTGTTTCAAAGCTGCTCTTTGCAAAGAAAGGTTCAACTCTGTCAGTAGAGGGCACACATCATGAACAAGTTTCTGAGAATGCTTCTGTCTAGTTTTTATGGGAAGATATTTCCTTTTTCACGTTAGGCCTGAAAGCACGCCAAATGTTCACTTATAGACACTATAAAAAGAGTGTTTCAAACCTGCTCTGTGAAAGGGAATGTTCAACACTGTGACTTCAATTGAAACATCCCAAAGAAGTTTCTGAGAATGCTTCTGTCTAGAGTTTATCTGAAGACATACCCGTTTCCAACGAAATCCTCAAAGCTATCCACATATCCTCTTGCAGATTCTACAAAAAGAGTGTTTCAAAGCTGCTCTTTGCAAAGAAAGGTTCAACTCTGTCAGTAGAGGGCACACATCACAAACAAGTTTCTGAGAATGCTTCTGTCTAGTTTTTATGGGAAGATATTTCCTTTTTCACGTTAGGCCTGAAAGCACGCCAAATGTTCACTTATAGACACTACAAAAAGAGTGTTTCAAACCTGCTCTGTGAAAGGGAATGTTCAACACTGTGACTTCAATTGAAACATCCCAAAGAAGTTTCTGAGAATGCTTCTGTCTAGAGTTTATCTGAAGACATTCCCGTTTCCCAAGAAATCTTCAAAGCTATCCAAATATCCTCTTGCAGATTCTACAAAAAGAGTGTTTCAAAACTGCTCTTTGCAAAGAAAGGTTCAACTCTGTCAGTAGAGGGCACACATCACAAACAAGTTTCTGAGAATGCTTCTGTCTAGTTTTTATGGGAAGATATTTCCTTTTTCACCTTAGGCCTGAAAGCAATCCATATGTTCACTTACAGACACTACAAAAAGAGTGTTTCAAACCTGCTCTGTGAAAGGGAGTGTTCAATTCTGTGACTTGAATGCAAACATCACAAAGTAGTTTCTGACAATGCTGCTGTCTGCTTTTTATACGTATTCCCGTTTCCAACGAAATCCTCCAAGCTGGCCTAATACCCACTTGCATATTCCACAAAAAGAGTGTTTCAAAACTGCTCTCTCAAAAGAAAGGTTCAACTCTGTGTGCTGAGTAGATACATCATGAAAAAAGTTCTGACATTGCTTCTATCTAGTTTTTATTGGAAGATATCTCCTTTTTCACCGTAGACCTGAAAGCGCTCCAAATGTCCACTTCCAGATAGTACAAAAAGAGTGTTTCAAACCTGCTCCTATGAAAGGGAATGTTCAACACTGGGACTTCAATTGAAACATCCCAAAGCAGTTTCTGAGAATGCTTCTGTGTAGAGTTTACATGAAGACATTCCCGTTTCCAACGAAATCCTCAAAGCTATCCAAATATCCTCTTGCAGATTTTACAAAAAGTGTGTTTCAGAACTGCTCTATCAAAACAAAGGTTCAACACTGTCAGTTGAGGGCACACATCACAAATAAGTTTCTGAGAATGCTTCTGTCTAGTTTTCATGGGAAGATATTTCCTTTTTCACCATAGGCCTGAAAGCGATCCAAATGTCCACATCCAGATACTACAAAAAGAGTGTTTCAAACCTGCTCTATGAAAGGGAATGTTCAACTCTGTGACTTGAATGCAAACATCACAAAGAAGTTTCTGAGAATGCTGCTGTCTGCTTTTTGTATGTAATCCCGTTTCCAACGAAATCCTCCCAGCTAGCCAAATATCCACTTGCAGATTCCGCAAAAAGAGTGTTTCAAAACTGCTCCTTCAAAACGATGGTTTAGTTCTGTTAGTTGAGTACATACATCACAGATAAGTTTCTGAGAATGCTTCTGTCTAGTTTTTATGGGAGGATATTTCCTTTTTCAACACAAGCCTGAATGCGCTCCGAATGGACACTTCCAGATATGACAAAAGGCGTGTTTCAAACCTGCTCTCTCAAAGGGAATGTTCAACTCTGTGACTTCAATGCAAACATCACAAAGAAGTTTCTGAGAATGCTGCTGTCTGCTTTTTACATGTATTCCCGTTTCCAACGAAATCCTCAAAGCTGCCCTAATATCCACTTGCATATTCCACAAAAAGAGTGTTGCAAAACTGCTCTCTCAAAAGAAAGGTTCAACTCTGTTAGCTGAGTAGATCCATCACATAAAAGTTTCTGACGTTGCTTCTATCTAGATTTTCTTGGAAGATATTTCCATTTTCACCGTCGTCCTGAAAGCGCTCCAAATGTCCACTTCCAGGGAATGCAGAAAGAGTGTTTCCAACCTGCTCTATAAAAGGGAATGTTCAACACTGGGACTTCAATCGAAACATCCCAACGAAGTTTCTGAGAATGCTTCTGTCTAGAGTTTATATGAAGCCATTCCCGTTTGCAACGAAATCCTCAAAGCTATCCAAATATCCTCTTGCAGATTTTACAAAAAGAGTGTTTCAAAACTGCTCTATCAAAAGAAAGGTTCAACTCTGTTAGTTGAGGGCACACATCACAAATAAATTTCTGAGAATGCTTCTGTCTAGTTTTTACGGGAAGATATTTCCTTTTTCACCATACGCCTGAAAGCGCTCCAAATGTCCTCATCCAGATACTACAAAAAGAGTGTTTCCAACCTGCTCTATGAAAGGGAATGCTCAACTCTGTGAATTGAATGCAGACATCACAAAGAAGTTTCTGAGAATGCTGCTGTCTCCTTTGTATATGTAATCCCGTTTCCAACGAAATCCTCAAAGCTAGCCAAATATCCACTTGCAGATTCCACGAAAACAGTGTTTCAAAACTGCTCCTTCAAAACGATGGTTCAATCCTGTTAGTTGAGCAAACACATCACAAATAAGTTTCTGAGAATGCTTCCGTCTAGTTTTTATGGGAAGACATTTCCTTTTTCAACATAGGCCTGAAAGCGCTCCAAATGTCCACTTCCAGATACTACAAAAAGAGTGTTTCAAATCTGCTCTATGAATGGGAATGTTCTACTCTGTGACTTGAATGCAACATCCCAAAGAAGTTTCTGAGAATGCTTCTGTCTAGAGTTTATCTGAAGACATACCCGTTTCCAACGAAATCCTCCAAGCTATCCAAATATCCTCTTGCAGATTCTACAAAAAGTGTGTTTCAAAGCTGCTCTTTGCAAAGAAAGGTTCAACTCTGTCAGTAGAGGGCACACATCACGAACAAGTTTCTGAGAATGCTTCTGTCTAGTTTTTATGGGAAGATATTTCCTTTTTCACGTTAGGCCTGAAAGCACGCCAAATGTTCACTTATAGACACTACAAAAAGAGTGTTTCAAACCTGCTCTGTGAAAGGGAATGTTCAACACTGTGACTTCAATTGAAACATCCCAAAGAAGTTTCTGAGAATGCTTCTGTCTAGAGTTTATCTGAAGACATTCCCGTTTCCCAAGAAATCCTCAAAGCTATCCAAATATCCTCTTGCAGATTCTACAAAAAGAGTGTTTCAAAACTGCTCTTTGCAAAGAAAGGTTCAACTCTGTCAGTAGAGGGCACACATCACAAACAAGTTTCTGAGAATGCTTCTGTCTAGTTTTTATGGGAAGATATTTCCTTTTTCACCTTAGGCCTGAAAGCAATCCAAATGTTCACTTACAGACACTACAAAAAGAGTGTTTCAAACCTGCTCTGTGAAAGGGAGTGTTCAATTCTGTGACTTGAATGCAAACATCACAAAGTAGTTTCTGACAATGCTGCTGTCTGCTTTTTATACGTATTCCCGTTTCCAACGAAATCCTCCAAGCTGGCCTAATACCCACTTGCATATTCCACAAAAAGAGTGTTTCAAAACTGCTCTCTCAAAAGAAAGGTTCAACTCTGTTTGCTGAGTAGATACATCATGAAAAAAGTTCTGACATTGCTTCTATCTAGTTTTTATTGGAAGATATCTCCTTTTTCACCGTAGACCTGAAAGCGCTCCAAATGTCCACTTCCAGATAGTACAAAAAGAGTGTTTCAAACCTGCTCTATGAAAGGGAATGTTCAACACTGGGACTTCAATTGAAACATCCCAAAGCAGTTTCTGAGAATGCTTCTGTCTAGAGTTTACATGAAGACATTCCCGTTTCCAACGAAATCCTCAAAGCTATCCAAATATCCTCTTGCAGATTTTACAAAAAGTGTGTTTCAGAACTGCTCTATCAAAACAAAGGTTCAACACTGTCAGTTGAGGGCACACATCACAAATAAGTTTCTGAGAATGCTTCTGTCTAGTTTTCATGGGAAGATATTTCCTTTTTCACCATAGGCCTGAAAGCGATCCAAATGTCCACATCCAGATACTACAAAAAGAGTGTTTCAAACCTGCTCTATGAAAGGGAATGTTCAACTCTGTGACTTGAATGCAAACATCACAAAGAAGTTTCTGAGAATGCTGCTGTCTGCTTTTTGTATGTAATCCCGTTTCCAACGAAATCCTCCCAGCTAGCCAAATATCCACTTGCAGATTCCGCAAAAAGAGTGTTTCAAAACTGCTCCTTCAAAACGATGGTTTAGTTCTGTTAGTTGAGTACATACATCACAGATAAGTTTCTGAGAATGCTTCTGTCTAGTTTTTATGGGAGGATATTTCCTTTTTCAACACAAGCCTGAATGCGCTCCGAATGGACACTTCCAGATATGACAAAAGGCGTGTTTCAAACCTGCTCTCTCAAAGGGAATGTTCAACTCTGTGACTTCAATGCAAACATCACAAAGAAGTTTCTGAGAATGCTGCTGTCTGCTTTTTACATGTATTCCCGTTTCCAACGAAATCCTCAAAGCTGCCCTAATATCCACTTGCATATTCCACAAAAAGAGTGTTGCAAAACTGCTCTCTCAAAAGAAAGGTTCAACTCTGTTAGCTGAGTAGATCCATCACATAAAAGTTTCTGACATTGCTTCTATCTAGATTTTCTTGGAAGATATTTCCATTTTCACCGTCGTCCTGAAAGCGCTCCAAATGTCCACTTCCAGGGAATGCAGAAAGAGTGTTTCCAACCTGCTCTATAAAAGGGAATGTTCAACACTGGGACTTCAATCGAAACATCCCAACGAAGTTTCTGAGAATGCTTCTGTCTAGAGTTTATATGAAGCCATTCCCGTTTGCAACGAAATCCTCAAAGCTATCCAAATATCCTCTTGCAGATTTTACAAAAAGAGTGTTTCAGAACTGCTCTATCAAAAGAAAGGTTCAACTCTGTTAGTTGAGGGCACACATCACAAATAAATTTCTGAGAATGCTTCTGTCTAGTTTTTACGGGAAGATATTTCCTTTTTCACCATACGCCTGAAAGCGCTCCAAATGTCCTCATCCAGATACTACAAAAAGAGTGTTTCCAACCTGCTCTATGAAAGGGAATGCTCAATTCTGTGAATTGAATGCAGACATCACAAAGAAGTTTCTGAGAATGCTGCTGTCTCCTTTGTATATGTAATCCCGTTTCCAACGAAATCCTCAAAGCTAGCCAAATATCCACTTGCAGATTCCACGAAAACAGTGTTTCAAAACTGCTCCTTCAAAACGATGGTTCAATCCTGTTAGTTGAGCAAACACATCACAAGTAAGTTTCTGAGAATGCTTCCATCTAGTTTTTATGGGAAGATATTTCCTTTTTCAACATAGGCCTGAAAGCGCTCCAAATGTCCACTTCCAGATACTACAAAAAGAGTGTTTCAAATCTGCTCTATGCATGGGAATGTTCTACTCTGTGACTTGAATGCAACATCCCAAAGAAGTTTCTGAGAATGTTTCTGTCTAGAGTTTATCTGAAGACATACCCGTTTCCAACGAAATCCTCAAAGCTATCCAAATATCCTCTTGCAGATTCTACAAAAAGAGTGTTTCAAAGCTGCTCTTTGCAAAGAAAGGTTCAACTCTGTCAGTAGAGGGCACACATCACGAACAAGTTTCTGAGAATGCTTCTGTCTAGTTTTTATGGGAAGATATTTCCTTTTTCACGTTAGGCCTGAAAGCACGCCAAATGTTCACTTATAGACACTACAAAAAGAGTGTTTCAAACCTGCTCTGTGAAAGGGAATGTTCAACACTGTGACTTCAATTGAAATATCCCAAGAAGTTTCTGAGAATGCTTCTGTCTAGAGTTTATCTGAAGACATTCCCGTTTCCCAAGAAATCCTCAAAGCTATCCAAATATCCTCTTGCAGATTCTACAAAAAGAGTGTTTCAAAACTGCTCTTTGCAAAGAAAGGTTCAACTCTGTCAGTAGAGGGCACACATCACAAACAAGTTTCTGAGAATGCTTCTGTCTAGTTTTTATGGGAAGATATTTCCTTTTTCACCTTAGGCATGAAAGCAATCCAAATGTTCACTTACAGACACTACAAAAAGAGTATTTCAAACCTGCTCTGTGAAAGGGAGTGTTCAATTCTGTGACTTGAATGCAAACATCACAAAGTAGTTTCTGACAATGCTGCTGTCTGCTTTTTATGCGTATTCCCGTTTCCAACGAAATCCTCCAAGCTGGCCTAATACCCACTTGCATATTCCACAAAAAGAGTGTTTCAAAACTGCTCTCTCAAAAGAAAGGTTCAACTCTGTTTGCTGAGTAGATACATCATGAAAAAAGTTCTGACATTGCTTCTATCTAGTTTTTATTGGAAGATATCTCCTTTTTCACCGTAGACCTGAAAGCGCTCCAAATGTCCACTTCCAGATAGTACAAAAAGAGTGCTTCAAACCTGCTCTATGAATGGGAATGTTCAACACTGGGACTTCAATTGAAACATCCCAAAGCAGTTTCTGAGAATGCTTCTGTGTAGAGTTTACATGAAGACATTCCCGTTTCCAACGAAATCCTCAAAGCTATCCAAATATCCTCTTGCAGATTTTACAAAAAGTGTGTTTCAGAACTGCTCTATCAAAACAAAGGTTCAACACTGTCAGTTGAGGGCACACATCACAAATAAGTTTCTGAGAATGCTTCTGTCTAGTTTTCATGGGAAGATATTTCCTTTTTCACCATAGGCCTGAAAGCGATCCAAATGTCCACATCCAGATACTACAAAAAGAGTGTTTCAAACCTGCTCTATGAAAGGGAATGTTCAACTCTGTGACTTGAATGCAAACATCACAAAGAAGTTTCTGAGAATGCTGCTGTCTCCTTTTTGTATGTAATCCCGTTTCCAACGAAATCCTCCCAGCTAGCCAAATATCCACTTGCAGATTCCGCAAAAAGAGTGTTTCAAAACTGCTCCTTCAAAAGGATGGTTTAGTTCTGTTAGTTGAGTACATACATCACAGATAAGTTTCTGAGAATGCTTCTGTCTAGTTTTTATGGGAGGATATTTCCTTTTTCAACACAAGCCTGAATGCGCTCCGAATGGACACTTCCAGATATGACAAAAGGCGTGTTTCAAACCTGCTCTCTCAAAGGGAATGTTCAACTCTGTGACTTCAATGCAAACATCACAAAGAAGTTTCTGAGAATGCTGCTGTCTGCTTTTTACATGTATTCCCGTTTCCAACGAAATCCTCAAAGCTGCCCTAATATCCACTTGCATATTCCACAAAAAGAGTGTTGCAAAACTGCTCTCTCAAAAGAAAGGTTCAACTCTGTTAGCTGAGTAGATCCATCACAGAAAAGTTTCTGACGTTGCTTCTATCTAGATTTTCTTGGAAGATATTTCCATTTTCACCGTCGTCCTGAAAGCGCTCCAAATGTCCACTTCCAGGGAATGCAGAAAGAGTGTTTCCAACCTGCTCTATAAAAGGGAATGTTCAACACTGGGACTTCAATCGAAACATCCCAACGAAGTTTCTGAGAATGCTTCTGTCTAGAGTTTATATGAAGCCATTCCCGTTTGCAACGAAATCCTCAAAGCTATCCAAATATCCTCTTGCAGATTTTACAAAAAGAGTGTTTCAAAACTGCTCTATCAAAAGAAAGGTTCAACTCTGTTAGTTGAGGGCACACATCACAAATAAATTTCTGAGAATGCTTCTGTCTAGTTTTTACGGGAAGATATTTCCTTTTTCACCATACGCCTGAAAGCGCTCCAAATGTCCTCATCCAGATACTACAAAAAGAGTGTTTCCAACCTGCTCTATGAAAGGGAATGCTCAACTCTGTGACTTGAATGCAGACATCACAAAGAAGTTTCTGAGAATGCTGCTGTCTCCTTTGTATATGTAATCCCGTTTCCAACGAAATCCTCAAAGCTAGCCAAATATCCACTTGCAGATTCCACGAAAACAGTGTTTCAAAACTGCTCCTTCAAAACGATGGTTCAATTCTGTTAGTTGAGCAAACACATCACAAGTAAGTTTCTGAGAATGCTTCCGTCTAGTTTTTATGGGAAGATATTTCCTTTTTCAACATAGGCCTGAAAGCGCTCCAAATGTCCACTTCCAGATACTACAAAAAGAGTGTTTCAAATCTGCTCTATGAATGGGAATGTTCTACTCTGTGACTTGAATGCAACATCCCAAAGAAGTTTCTGAGAATGCTTCTGTCTAGAGTTTATCTGAAGACATACCCGTTTCCAACGAAATCCTCCAAGCTATCCAAATATCCTCTTGCAGATTCTACAGAAAGAGTGTTTCAAAGCTGCTCTTTGCAAAGAAAGGTTCAACTCTGTCAGTAGAGGGCACACATCACGAACAAGTTTCTGAGAATGCTTCTGTCTAGTTTTTATGGGAAGATATTTCCTTTTTCACGTTAGGCCTGAAAGCACGCCAAATGTTCACTTATAGACACTACAAAAAGAGTGTTTCAAACCTGCTCTGTGAAAGGGAATGTTCAACACTGTGACTTCAATTGAAACATCCCAAAGAAGTTTCTGAGAATGCTTCTGTCTAGAGTTTATCTGAAGACATACCCGTTTCCAACGAAATCCTCAAAGCTATCCAAATATCCTCTTGCAGATTCTACAAAAAGAGTGTTTCAAAGCTGCTCTTTGCAAAGAAAGGTTCAACTCTGTCAGTAGAGGGCACACATCACGAACAAGTTTCTGAGAATGCTTCTGTCTAGTTTTTATGGGAAGATATTTCCTTTTTCACGTTAGGCCTGAAAGCACGCCAAATGTTCACTTACAGACACTACAAAAAGAGTGTTTCAAACCTGCTCTGTGAAAGGGAATGTTCAACACTGTGACTTCAATTGAAACATCCCAAAGAAGTTTCTGAGAATGCTTCTGTCTAGAGTTTATCTGAAGACATTCCCGTTTCCCAAGAAATCCTCAAAGCTATCCAAATATCCTCTTGCAGATTCTACAAAAAGAGTGTTTCAAAACTGCTCTTTGCAAAGAAAGGTTCAACTCTGTCAGTAGAGGGCACACATCACAAACAAGTTTCTGAGAATGCTTCTGTCTAGTTTTTATGGGAAGATATTTCCTTTTTCACCTTAGGCCTGAAAGCAATCCAAATGTTCACTTACAGACACTACAAAAAGAGTGTTTCAAACCTGCTCTGTGAAAGGGAGTGTTCAATTCTGTGACTTGAATGCAAACATCACAAAGTAGTTTCTGACAATGCTGCTGTCTGCTTTTTATACGTAATCCCGTTTCCAACGAAATCCTTCAAGCTGGCCTAATACCCACTTGCATATTCCACAAAAAGAGTGTTTCAAAACTGCTCTCTCAAAAGAAAGGTTCAACTCTGTTTGCTGAGTAGATACATCATGAAAAAAGTTCTGACATTGCTTCTATCTAGTTTTTATTGGAAGATATCTCCTTTTTCACCGTAGACCTGAAAGCGCTCCAAATGTCCACTTCCAGATAGTACAAAAAGAGTGTTTCAAACCTGCTCTATGAAAGGGAATGTTCAACACTGGGACTTCAATTGAAACATCCCAAAGCAGTTTCTGAGAATGCTTCTGTCTAGAGTTTACATGAAGACATTCCCGTTTCCAACGAAATCCTCAAAGCTATCCAAATATCCTCTTGCAGATTTTACAAAAAGTGTGTTTCAGAACTGCTCTATCAAAACAAAGGTTCAACACTGTCAGTTGAGGGCACACATCACAAATAAGTTTCTGAGAATGCTTCTGTCTAGTTTTCATGGGAAGATATTTCCTTTTTCACCATAGGCCTGAAAGCGATCCAAATGTCCACATCCAGATACTACAAAAAGAGTGTTTCAAACCTGCTCTATGAAAGGGAATGTTCAACTCTGTGACTTGAATGCAAACATCACAAAGAAGTTTCTGAGAATGCTGCTGTCTGCTTTTTGTATGTAATCCCGTTTCCAACGAAATCCTCCCAGCTAGCCAAATATCCACTTGCAGATTCCGCAAAAAGAGTGTTTCAAAACTGCTCCTTCAAAACGATGGTTTAGTTCTGTTAGTTGAGTACATACATCACAGATAAGTTTCTGAGAATGCTTCTGTCTAGTTTTTATGGGAGGATATTTCCTTTTTCAACACAAGCCTGAATGCGCTCCGAATGGACACTTCCAGATATGACAAAAGGCGTGTTTCAAACCTGCTCTCTCAAAGGGAATGTTCAACTCTGTGACTTCAATGCAAATATCACAAAGAAGTTTCTGAGAATGCTGCTGTCTGCTTTTTACATGTATTCCCGTTTCCAACGAAATCCTCAAAGCTGCCCTAATATCCACTTGCATATTCCACAAAAAGAGTGTTGCAAAACTGCTCTCTCAAAAGAAAGGTTCAACTCTGTTAGCTGAGTAGATCCATCACAGAAAAGTTTCTGACGTTGCTCTATCTAGATTTTCTTGGAAGATATTTCCATTTTCACCGTCGTCCTGAAAGCGCTCCAAATGTCCACTTCCAGGGAATGCAGAAAGAGTGTTTCCAACCTGCTCTATAAAAGGGAATGTTCAACACTGGGACTTCAATCGAAACATCCCAACGAAGTTTCTGAGAATGCTTTCTGTCTAGAGTTTATATGAAGCCATTCCCGTTTGCAACGAAATCCTCAAAGCTATCCAAATATCCTCTTGCAGATTTTACAAAAAGAGTGTTTCAAAACTGCTCTATCAAAAGAAAGGTTAAACTCTGTTAGTTGAGGGCACACATCACAAATAAACTTCTGAGAATGCTTCTGTCTAGTTTTTACGGGAAGATATTTCCTTTTTCACCATACGCCTGAAAGCGCTCCAAATGTCCTCATCCAGATACTACAAAAAGAGTGTTTCCAACCTGCTCTATGAAAGGGAATGCTCAACTCTGTGAATTGAATGCAGACATCACAAAGAAGTTTCTGAGAATGCTGCTGTCTCCTTTTTATATGTAATCCCGTTTCCAACGAAATCCTCCCAGCTAGCCAAATATCCACTTGCAGATTCCACGAAAACAGTGTTTCAAAACTGCTCCTTCAAAACGATGGTTCAATCCTGTTAGTTGAGCAAACACATCACAATTAAGTTTCTGAGAATGCTTCCGTCTAGTTTTTATGGGAAGATATTTCCTTTTTCAACATAGGCCTGAAAGCGCTCCAAATGTCCACTTCCAGATACTACAAAAAGAGTGTTTCAAATCTGCTCTATGAATGGGAATGTTCTACTCTGTGACTTGAATGCAACATCCCAAAGAAGTTTCTGAGAATGCTTCTGTCTAGAGTTTATCTGAAGACATACCCGTTTCCAACGAAATCCTCCAAGCTATCCAAATATCCTCTTGCAGATTCTACAAAAAGAGTGTTTCAAAGCTGCTCTTTGCAAAGAAAGGTTCAACTCTGTCAGTAGAGGGCACACATCAAGAACAAGTTTCTGAGAATGCTTCTGTCTAGTTTTTATGGGAAGATATTTCCTTTTTCACGTTACGCCTGAAAGCACGCCAAATGTTCACTTATAGATACTACAAAAAGAGTGTTTCAAACCTGCTCTGTGAAAGGGAATGTTCAACACTGTGACTTCAATTGAAACATCCCAAAGAAGTTTCTGAGAATGCTTCTGTCTAGAGTTTATCTGAAGACATTCCCGTTTCCCAAGAAATCCTCAAAGCTATCCAAATATCCTCTTGCAGATTCTACAAAAAGAGTGTTTCAAAACTGCTCTTTGCAAAGAAAGGTTCAACTCTGTCAGTAGAGGGCACACATCACAAACAAGTTTCTGAGAATGCTTCTGTCTAGTTTTTATGGGAAGATATTTCCTTTTTCACCTTAGGCCTGAAAGCAATCCAAATGTTCACTTACAGACACTACAAAAAGAGTGTTTCAAACCTGCTCTGTGAAAGGGAGTGTTCAATTCTGTGACTTGAATGCAAACATCACAAAGTAGTTTCTGACAATGCTGCTGTCTGCTTTTTATACGTATTCCCGTTTCCAACGAAATCCTCCAAGCTGGCCTAATACCCACTTGCATATTCCACAAAAAGAGTGTTTCAAAACTGCTCTCTCAAAAGAAAGGTTCAACTCTGTTTGCTGAGTAGATACATCATGAAAAAAGTTCTGACATTGCTTCTATCTAGTTTTTATTGGAAGATATCTCCTTTTTCACCGTAGACCTGAAAGCGCTCCAAATGTCCACTTCCAGATAGTACAAAAAGAGTGTTTCAAACCTGCTCTATGAAAGGGAATGTTCAACACTGGGACTTCAATTGAAACATCCCAAAGCAGTTTCTGAGAATGCTTCTGTCTAGAGTTTACATGAAGACATTCCCGTTTCCAACGAAATCGTCAAAGCTATCCAAATATCCTCTTGCAGATTTTACAAAAAGTGTGTTTCAGAACTGCTCTATCAAAACAAAGGTTCAACACTGTCAGTTGAGTGCACACATCACAAATAAGTTTCTGAGAATGCTTCTGTCTAGTTTTCATGGGAAGATATTTCCTTTTTCACCATAGGCCTGAAAGCGATCCAAATGTCCACATCCAGATACTACAAAAAGAGTGTTTCCAACCTGCTCTATGAAAGGGAATGCTCAACTCTGTGAATTGAATGCAGACATCACAAAGAAGTTTCTGAGAATGCTGCTGTCTCCTTTTTATATGTAATCCCGTTTCCAACGAAATCCTCAAAGCTAGCCAAATATCCACTTGCAGATTCCACGAAAACAGTGTTTCAAAACTGCTCCTTCAAAACGATGGTTCAATCCTGTTAGTTGAGCAAACACATCACAATTAAGTTTCTGAGAATGCTTCCGTCTAGTTTTTATGGGAAGATATTTCCTTTTTCAACATAGGCCTGAAAGCGCTCCAAATGTCCACTTCCAGATACTACAAAAAGAGTGTTTCAAATCTGCTCTATGAATGGGAATGTTCTACTCTGTGACTTGAATGCAACATCCCAAAGAAGTTTCTGAGAATGCTTCTGTCTAGAGTTTATCTGAAGACATTCCCGTTTCCCAAGAAATCCTCAGAGCTATCCAAATATCCTCTTGCAGATTCTACAAAAAGAGTGTTTCAAAACTGCTCTTTGCAAAGAAAGGTTCAACTCTGTCAGTAGAGGGCACACATCACAAACAAGTTTACTGAGAATGCTTCTATCTAGTTTTTATGGGAAGATATTTCCTTTTTCACCTTAGGCCTGAAAGCAATCCAAATGTTCACTTACAGACACTACAAAAAGAGTGTTTCAAACCTGCTCTGTGAAAGGGAGTGTTCAATTCTGTGACTTGAATGCAAACATCACAAAGTAGTTTCTGACAATGCTGCTGTCTGCTTTTTATACGTATTCCCGTTTCCAACGAAATCCTCCAAGCTGGCCTAATACCCACTTGCATATTCCACAAAAAGAGTGTTTCAAAACTGCTCTCTCAAAAGAAAGGTTCAACTCTGTTTGCTGAGTAGATACATCATGAAAAAAGTTCTGACATTGCTTCTATCTAGTTTTTATTGGAAGATATCTCCTTTTTCACCGTAGACCTGAAAGCGCTCCAAATGTCCACTTCCAGATAGTACAAAAAGAGTGTTTCAAACCTGCTCTATGAAAGGGAATGTTCAACACTGGGACTTCAATTGAAACATCCCAAAGCAGTTTCTGAGAATGCTTCTGTCTAGAGTTTACATGAAGACATTCCCGTTTCCAACGAACTCCTCAAAGCTATCCAAATATCCTCTTGCAGATTTTACAAAAAGTGTGTTTCAGAACTGCTCTATCAAAACAAAGGTTCAACACTGTCAGTTGAGGGCACACATCACAAATAAGTTTCTGAGAATGCTTCTGTCTAGTTTTCATGGGAAGATATTTCCTTTTTCACCATAGGCCTGAAAGCGATCCAAATGTCCACATCCAGATACTACAAAAAGAGTGTTTCAAACCTGCTCTATGAAAGGGAATGTTCAACTCTGTGACTTGAATGCAAACATCACAAAGAAGTTTCTGAGAATGCTGCTGTCTGCTTTTTGTATGTAATCCCGTTTCCAACGAAATCCTCCCAGCTAGCCAAATATCCACTTGCAGATTCCGCAAAAAGAGTGTTTCAAAACTGCTCCTTCAAAACGATGGTTTAGTTCTGTTAGTTGAGTACATACATCACAGATAAGTTTCTGAGAATGCTTCTGTCTAGTTTTTATGGGAGGATATTTCCTTTTTCAACACAAGCCTGAATGCGCTCCGAATGGACACTTCCAGATATGACAAAAGGCGTGTTTCAAACCTGCTCTCTCAAAGGGAATGTTCAACTCTGTGACTTCAATGCAAACATCACAAAGAAGTTTCTGAGAATGCTGCTGTCTGCTTTTTACATGTATTCCCGTTTCCAACGAAATCCTCAAAGCTGCCTTAATATCCACTTGCATATTCCACAAAAAGAGTGTTGCAAAACTGCTCTCTCAAAAGAAAGGTTCAACTCTGTTAGCTGAGTAGATCCATCACAGAAAAGTTTCTGACATTGCTTCTATCCAGATTTTATTGGAAGATATTTCCATTTTCACCGTCGTCCTGAAAGCGCTCCAATTGTCCACTTCCAGGGAATGCAGAAAGAGTGTTTCCAACCTGCTCTATAAAAGGGAATGTTCAACACTGGGAGTTCAATCGAAACATCCCAACGAAGTTTCTGAGAATGCTTCTGTCTAGAGTTTATATGAAGCCATTCCCGTTTGCAACGAAATCCTCAAAGCTATCCAAATATCCTCTTGCAGATTTTACAAAAAGAGTGTTTCAAAACTGCTCTATCAAAAGAAAGGTTCAACTCTGTTAGTTGAGGGCACACATCACAAATAAATTTCTGAGAATGCTTCTGTCTAGTTTTTACGGGAAGATATTTCCTTTTTCACCATACGCCTGAAAGCGCTCCAAATGTCCTCATCCAGATACTACAAAAAGAGTGTTTCCAACCTGCTCTATGAAAGGGAATGCTCAACTCTGTGACTTGAATGCAGACATCACAAAGAAGTTTCTGAGAATGTTGCTGTCTCCTTTTTATATGTAATCCCGTTTCCAACGAAATCCTCAAAGCTAGCCAAATATCCACTTGCAGATTCCACGAAAACAGTGTTTCAAAACTGCTCCTTCAAAACGATGGTTCAATTCTGTAAGTTGAGCAAACACATCACAAGTAAGTTTCTGAGAATGCTTCCGTCTAGTTTTTATGGGAAGATATTTCCTTTTTCAACATAGGCCTGAAAGCGCTCCAAATGTCCACTTCCAGATACTACAAAAAGAGTGTTTCAAATCTGCTCTATGAATGGGAATGTTCTACTCTGTGACTTGAATGCAACATCCCAAAGAAGTTTCTGAGAATGCTTCTGTCTAGAGTTTATCTGAAGACATACCCGTTTCCAACGAAATCCTCAAAGCTATCCAAATATCCTCTGGCAGATTCTACAAAAAGAGTGTTTCAAAGCTGCTCTTTGCAAAGAAAGGTTCAACTCTGTCAGTAGAGGGCACACATCACGAACAAGTTTCTGAGAATGCTTCTGTGCTAGTTTTTATGGGAAGATATTTCCTTTTTCACGTTAGGCCTGAAAGCACGCCAAATGTTCACTTATAGACACTACAAAAAGAGTGTTTCAAACCTGCTCTGTGAAAGGGAATGTTCAACACTGTGACTTCAATTGAAACATCCCAAAGAAGTTTCTGAGAATGCTTCTGTCTAGAGTTTATCTGAAGACATTCCCGTTTCCCAAGAAATCCTCAAAGCTATCCAAATATCCTCTTGCAGATTCTACAAAAAGAGTGTTTCAAAACTGCTCTTTGCAAAGAAAGGTTCAACTCTGTCAGTAGAGGGCACACATCACAAACAAGTTTCTGAGAATGCTTCTGTCTAGTTTTTATGGGAAGATATTTCCTTTTTCACCTTAGGCCTGAAAGCAATCCAAATGTTCACTTACAGACACTACAAAAAGAGTGTTTCAAACCTGCTCTGTGAAAGGGAGTGTTCAATTCTGTGACTTGAATGCAAACATCACAAAGTAGTTTCTGACAATGCTGCTGTCTGCTTTTTATACGTATTCCCGTTTCCAACGAAATCCTCCAAGCTGGCCTAATACCCACTTGCATATTCCACAAAAAGAGTGTTTCAAAACTGCTCTCTCAAAAGAAAGGTTCAACTCTGTTAGCTGAGTAGATACATCATGAAAAAAGTTCTGACATTGCTTCTATCTAGTTTTTATTGGAAGATATCTCCTTTTTCACCTTAGACCTGAAAGCGCTCCAAATGTCCACTTCCAGATAGTACAAAAAGAGTGTTTCAAACCTGCTCTATGAAAGGGAATGTTCAACACTGGGACTTCAATTGAAACATCCCAAAGCAGTTTCTGAGAATGCTTCTGTCTAGAAGTTTACATGAAGACATTCCCGTTTCCAACGAAATCCTCAAAGCTATCCAAATATCCTCTTGCAGATTTTACAAAAAGTGTGTTTCAGAACTGCTCTATCAAAACAAAGGTTCAACACTGTCAGTTGAGGGCACACATCACAAATAAGTTTCTGAGAATGCTTCTGTCTAGTTTTCATGGGAAGATATTTCCTTTTTCACCATAGGCCTGAAAGCGATCCAAATGTCCACATCCAGATACTACAAAAAGAGTGTTTCAAACCTGCTCTATGAAAGGGAATGTTCAACTCTGTGACTTGAATGCAAACATCACAAAGAAGTTTCTGAGAATGCTGCTGTCTGCTTTTTGTATGTAATCCCGTTTCCAACGAAATCCTCCCAGCTAGCCAAATATCCACTTGCAGATTCCGCAAAAAGAGTGCTTCAAAACTGCTCCTTCAAAACGATTTTTTAGTTCTGTTAGTTGAGTACATACATCACAGATAAGTTTCTGAGAATGCTTCTGTCTAGTTTTTCTGGGAGGATATTTCCTTTTTCAACACAAGCCTGAATGCGCTCCGAATGGACACTTCCAGATATGACAAAAGGCGTGTTTCAAACCTGCTCTCTCAAAGGGAATGTTCAACTCTGTGACTTCAATGCAAACATCACAAAGAAGTTTCTGAGAATGCTGCTGTCTGCTTTTTACATGTATTCCCGTTTCCAACGAAATCCTCAAAGCTGCCCTAATATCCACTTGCATATTCCACAAAAAGAGTGTTGCAAAACTGCTCTCTCAAAAGAAAGCTTCAACTCTGTTAGCTGAGTAGATCCATCACATAAAAGTTTCTGACATTGCTTCTATCTAGATTTTCTTGGAAGATATTTCCATTTTCACCGTCGTCCTGAAAGCGCTCCAAATGTCCACTTCCAGGGAATGCAGAAAGAGTGTTTCCAACCTGCTCTATAAAAGGGAATGTTCAACACTGGGACTTCAATCGAAACATCCCAACGAAGTTTCTGAGAATGCTTCTGTCTAGAGTTTATATGAAGCCATTCCCGTTTGCAATGAAATCCTCCAAGCTATCCAAATATCCTCTTGCAGATTTTACAAAAAGAGTGTTTCAAAACTGCTCTATCAAAAGAAAGGTTCAACTCTGTTAGTTGAGGGCACACATCACAAATAAATTTCTGAGAATGCTTCTGTCTAGTTTTTACGGGAAGATATTTCCTTTTTCACCATACGCCTGAAAGCGCTCCAAATGTCCTCATCCAGATACTACAAAAAGAGTGTTTCCAACCTGCTCTATGAAAGGGAATGCTCAACTCTGTGACTTGAATGCAGACATCACAAAGAAGTTTCTGAGAATGCTGCTGTCTCCTTTTTATATGTAATCCCGTTTCCAACGAAATCCTCAAAGCTAGCCAAATATCCACTTGCAGATTCCACGAAAACAGTGTTTCAAAACTGCTCCTTCCAAACGATGGTTCAATTCTGTTAGTTGAGCAAACACATCACAAGTAAGTTTCTGAGAATGCTTCCGTCTAGTTTTTATGGGAAGATATTTCCTTTTTCAACATAGGCCTGAAAGCGCTCCAAATGTCCACTTCCAGATACTACAAAAAGAGTGTTTCAAATCTGCTCTATGAATGGGAATGTTCTACTCTGTGACTTGAATGCAACATCCCAAAGAAGTTTCTGAGAATGCTTCTGTCTAGAGTTTATCTGAAGACATACCCGTTTCCAACGAAATCCTCAAAACTATCCAAATATCCTCTTGCAGATTCTACAAAAAGTGTGTTTCAAAGCTGCTCTTTGCAAAGAAAGGTTCAACTCTGTCAGTAGAGGGCACACATCACGAACAAGTTTCTGAGAATGCTTCTGTCTAGTTTTTATGGGAAGATATTTCCTTTTTCACGTTACGCCTGAAAGCACGCCAAATGTTCACTTATAGACACTACAAAAAGAGTGTTTCAAACCTGCTCTGTGAAAGGGAATGTTCAACACTGTGACTTCAATTGAAACATCCCAAAGAAGTTTCTGAGAATGCTTCTGTCTAGAGTTTATCTGAAGACATTCCCGTTTCCCAAGAAATCCTCAAAGCTATCCAAGTATCCTCTTGCAGATTCTACAAAAAGAGTGTTTCAAAACTGCTCTTTGCAAAGAAAGGTTCAACTCTGTCAGTAGAGGGCACACATCACAAACAAGTTTCTGAGAATGCTTCTGTCTAGTTTTTATGGGAAGATATTTCCTTTTTCACCTTAGGCCTGAAATCAATCCAAATGTTCACTTACAGACACTACAAAAAGAGTGTTTCAAACCTGCTCTGTGAAAGGGTGTGTTCAATTCTGTGACTTGAATGCAAACATCACAAAGTAGTTTCTGACAATGCTGCTGTCTGCTTTTTATACGTATTCCCGTTTCCAACGAAATCCTCCAAGCTGGCCTAATACCCACTTGCATATTCCACAAAAGGAGTGTTTCAAAACTGCTCTCTCAAAAGAAAGGTTCAACTCTGTTTGCTGAGTAGATACATCATGAAAAAAGTTCTGACATTGCTTCTATCTAGTTTTTATTGGAAGATATCTCCTTTTTCACCGTAGACCTGAAAGCGCTCCAAATGTCCACTTCCAGATAGTACAAAAAGAGTGTTTCAAACCTGCTCTATGAAAGGGAATGTTCAACACTGGGACTTCAATTGAAACATCCCAAAGCAGTTTCTGAGAATGCTTCTGTCTAGAGTTTACATGAAGACATTCCCGTTTCCAACGAAATCCTCAAAGCTATCCAAATATCCTCTTGCAGATTTTACAAAAAGTGTGTTTCAGAACTGCTCTATCAAAACAAAGGTTCAACACTGTCAGTTGAGGGCACACATCACAAATAAGTTTCTGAGAATGCTTCTGTCTAGTTTTCATGGGAAGATATTTCCTTTTTCACCATAGGCCTGAAAGCGATCCAAATGTCCACATCCAGATACTACAAAAAGAGTGTTTCAAACCTGCTCTATGAAAGGGAATGCTCAACTCTGTGAATTGAATGCAGACATCACAAAGAAGTTTCTCAGAATGCTGCTGTCTCCTTTTTATATGTAATCCCGTTTCCAACGAAATCCTCCCAGCTAGCCAAATATCCACTTGCAGATTCCACGAAAACAGTGTTTCAAAACTGCTCCTTCAAAACGATGGTTCAATCCTGTTAGTTGAGCAAACACATCACAAATAAGTTTCTGAGAATGCTTCCGTCTAGTTTTTATGGGAAGATATTTCCTTTTTCAACATAGGCCTGAAAGCGCTCCAAATGTCCACTTCCAGATACTACAAAAAGAGTGTTTCAAATCTGCTCTATGAATGGGAATGTTCTACTCTGTGACTTGCATGCAACATCCCAAAGAAGTTTCTGAGAATGCTTCTGTCTAGAGTTTATCTGAAGACATACCCGTTTCCAACGAAATCCTCAAAGCTATCCAAATATCCTCTTGCAGATTCTACAAAAAGTGTGTTTCAAAGCTGCTCTTTGCAAAGAAAGGTTCAACTCTGTCAGTAGAGGGCACACATCACGAACAAGTTTCTGAGAATGCTTCTGTCTAGTTTTTATGGGAAGATATTTCCTTTTTCACGTTACGCCTGAAAGCACGCCAAATGTTCACTTATAGACACTACAAAAAGAGTGTTTCAAACCTGCTCTGTGAAAGGGAATGTTCAACACTGTGACTTCAATTGAAACATCCCAAAGAAGTTTCTGAGAATGCTTCTGTCTAGAGTTTATCTGAAGACATTCCCGTTTCCCAAGAAATCCTCAAAGCTATCCAAATATCCTCTTGCAGATTCTACAAAAAGAGTGTTTCAAAACTGCTCTTTGCAAAGAAAGGTTCAACTCTGTCAGTAGAGGGCACACATCACAAACAAGTTTCTGAGAATGCTTCTGTCTAGTTTTTATGGGAAGATATTTCCTTTTTCACCTTAGGCCTGAAAGCAATCCAAATGTTCACTTACAGACACTACAAAAAGAGTGTTTCAAACCTGCTCTGTGAAAGGGAGTGTTCAATTCTGTGACTTGAATGCAAACATCACAAAGTAGTTTCTGACAATGCTGCTGTCTGCTTTTTATACGTATTCCCGTTTCCAACGAAATCCTCCAAGCTGGCCTAATACCCACTTGCATATTCCACAAAAAGAGTGTTTCAAAACTGCTCTCTCAAAAGAAAGGTTCAACTCTGTTTGCTGAGTAGATACATCATGAAAAAAGTTCTGACATTGCTTCTATCTAGTTTTTATTGGAAGATATCTCCTTTTTCACCGTAGACCTGAAAGCGCTCCAAATGTCCACTTCCAGATAGTACAAAAAGAGTGTTTCAAACCTGCTCTATGAATGGGAATGTTCAACACTGGGACTTCAATTGAAACATCCCAAAGCAGTTTCTGAGAATGCTTCTGTGTAGAGTTTACATGAAGACATTCCCGTTTCCAACGAAATCCTCAAAGCTATCCAAATATCCTCTTGCAGATTTTACAAAAAGTGTGTTTCAGAACTGCTCTATCAAAACAAAGGTTCAACACTGTCAGTTGAGGGCACACATCACAAATAAGTTTCTGAGAATGCTTCTGTCTAGTTTTCATGGGAAGATATTTCCTTTTTCACCATAGGCCTGAAAGCGATCCAAATGTCCACATCCAGATACTACAAAAAGAGTGTTTCAAACCTGCTCTATGAAAGGGAATGTTCAACTCTGTGACTTGAATGCCAACATCACAAAGAAGTTTCTGAGAATGCTGCTGTCTGCTTTTTGTATGTAATCCCGTTTCCAACGAAATCCTCCCAGCTAGCCAAATATCCACTTGCAGATTCCGCAAAAAGAGTGTTTCAAAACTGCTCCTTCAAAACGATGGTTTAGTTCTGTTAGTTGAGTACATACATCACAGATAAGTTTCTGAGAATGCTTCTGTCTAGTTTTTATGGGAGGATATTTCCTTTTTCAACACAAGCCTGAATGCGCTCCGAATGGACACTTCCAGATATGACAAAAGGCGTGTTTCAAACCTGCTCTCTCAAAGGGAATGTTCAACTCTGTGACTTCAATGCAAACATCACAAAGAAGTTTCTGAGAATGCTGCTGTCTGCTTTTTACATGTATTCCCGTTTCCAACGAAATCCTCAAAGCTGCCCTAATATCCACTTGCATATTCCACAAAAAGAGTGTTGCAAAACTGCTCTCTCAAAAGAAAGGTTCAACTCTGTTAGCTGAGTAGATCCATCACATAAAAGTTTCTGACGTTGCTTCTATCTAGATTTTCTTGGAAGATATTTCCATTTTCACCGTCGTCCTGAAAGCGCTCCAAATGTCCACTTCCAGGGAATGCAGAAAGAGTGTTTCCAACCTGCTCTATAAAAGGGAATGTTCAACACTGGGACTTCAATCGAAACATCCCAACGAAGTTTCTGAGAATGCTTCTGTCTAGAGTTTATATGAAGCCATTCCCGTTTGCAACGAAATCCTCAAAGCTATCCAAATATCCTCTTGCAGATTTTACAAAAAGAGTGTTTCAAAACTGCTCTATCAAAAGAAAGGTTCAACTCTGTTAGTTGAGGGCACACATCACAAATAAATTTCTGAGAATGCTTCTGTCTAGTTTTTACGGGAAGATATTTCCTTTTTCACCATAGGCCTGAAAGCGCTCCAAATGTCCTCATCCAGATACTACAAAAAGAGTGTTTCCAACCTGCTCTATGAAAGGGAATGCTCAACTCTGTGACTTGAATGCAGACATCACAAAGAAGTTTCTGAGAATGCTGCTGTCTCCTTTTTATATGTAATCCCGTTTCCAACGAAATCCTCAAAGCTAGCCAAATATCCACTTGCAGATTCCACGAAAACAGTGTTTCAAAACTGCTCCTTCAAAACGATGGTTCAATTCTGTTAGTTGAGCAAACACATCACAAGTAAGTTTCTGAGAATGCTTCCGTCTAGTTTTTATGGGAAGATATTTCCTTTTTCAACATAGGCCTGAAAGCGCTCCAAATGTCCACTTCCAGATACTACAAAAAGAGTGTTTCAAATCTGCTCTATGAATGGGAATGTTCTACTCTGTGACTTGAATGCAACATCCCAAAGAAGTTTCTGAGAATGCTTCTGTCTAGAGTTTATCTGAAGACATACCCGTTTCCAACGAAATCCTCCAAGCTATCCAAATATCCTCTTGCAGATTCTACAAAAAGAGTGTTTCAAAGCTGCTCTTTGCAAAGAAAGGTTCAACTCTGTCAGTAGAGGGCACACATCATGAACAAGTTTCTGAGAATGCTTCTGTCTAGTTTTTATGGGAAGATATTTCCTTTTTCACGTTAGGCCTGAAAGCACGCCAAATGTTCACTTATAGACACTACAAAAAGAGTGTTTCAAACCTGCTCTGTGAAAGGGAATGTTCAACACTGTGACTTCAATTGAAACATCCCAAAGAAGTTTCTGAGAATGCTTCTGTCTAGAGTTTATCTGAAGACATTCCCGTTTCCCAAGAAATCCTCAAAGCTATCCAAATATCCTCTTGCAGATTCTACAAAAAGAGTGTTTCAAAACTGCTCTTTGCAAAGAAAGGTTCAACTCTGTCAGTAGAGGGCACACATCACAAACAAGTTTCTGAGAATGCTTCTGTCTAGTTTTTATGGGAAGATATTTCCTTTTTCACCATAGGCCTGAAAGCAATCCAAATGTTCACTTACAGACACTACAAAAAGAGTGTTTCAAACCTGCTCTGTGAAAGGGAGTGTTCAATTCTGTGACTTGAATGCAAACATCACAAAGTAGTTTCTGACAATGCTGCTGTCTGCTTTTTATACGTATTCCCGTTTCCAACGAAATCCTCCAAGCTGGCCTAATACCCACTTGCATATTCCACAAAGACTGTGTCAAAACTGCTCTCTCAAAAGAAAGGTTCAACTCTGTTTGCTGAGTAGATACATCATGAAAAAAGTTCTGACATTGCTTCTATCTAGTTTTTATTGGAAGATATCTCCTTTTTCACCGTAGACCTGAAAGCGCTCCAAATGTCCACTTCCAGATAGTACAAAAAGAGTGTTTCAAACCTGCTCTATGAATGGGAATGTTCAACACTGGGACTTCAATTGAAACATCCCAAAGCAGTTTCTGAGAATGCTTCTGTCTAGAGTTTACATGAAGACATTCCCGTTTCCAACGAAATCCTCAAAGCTATCCAAATATCCTCTTGCAGATTTTACAAAAAGTGTGTTTCAGAACTGCTCTATCAAAACAAAGGTTCAACACTGTCAGTTGAGTGCACACATCACAAATAAGTTTCTGAGAATGCTTCTGTCTAGTTTTCATAGGAAGATATTTCCTTTTTCACCATAGGCCTGAAAGCGATCCAAATGTCCACATCCAGATACTACAAAAAGAGTGTTTCCAACCTGCTCTATGAAAGGGAATGCTCAACTCTGTGAATTGAATGCAGAAATCACAAAGAAGTTTCTGAGAATGCTGCTGTCTCCTTTTTATATGTAATCCCGTTTCCAACGAAATCCTCAAAGCTAGCCAAATATCCACTTGCAGATTCCACGAAAACAGTGTTTCAAAACTGCTCCTTCAAAAGGATGGTTCAATCCTGTTAGTTGAGCAAACACATCACAAATAAGTTTCTGAGAATGCTTCCGTCTAGTTTTTATGGGAAGATATTTCCTTTTTCAACATAGGCCTGAAAGCGCTCCAAATGTCCACTTCCAGATACTACAAAAAGAGTGTTTCAAATCTGCTCTATGAATGGGAATGTTCTACTCTGTGACTTGCATGCAACATCCCAAAGAAGTTTCTGAGAATGCTTCTGTCTAGAGTTTATCTGAAGACATACCCGTTTCCAACGAAATCCTCAAAGCTATCCAAATATCCTCATGCAGATTCTACAAAAAGTGTGTTTCAAAGCTGCTCTTTGCAAAGAAAGGTTCAACTCTGTCAGTAGAGGGCACACATCACGAACAAGTTTCTGAGAATGCTTCTGTCTAGTTTTTATGGGAAGATATTTCCTTTTTCACGTTACGCCTGAAAGCACGCCAAATGTTCACTTATAGACACTACAAAAAGAGTGTTTCAAACCTGCTCTGTGAAAGGGAATGTTCAACACTGTGACTTCAACTGAAACATCCCAAAGAAGTTTCTGAGAATGCTTCTGTCTAGAGTTTATCTGAAGACATTCCTGTTTCCCAAGAAATCCTCAAAGCTATCCAAATATCCTCTTGCAGATTCTACAAAAAGGGTGTTTCAAAACTGCTCTTTGCAAAGAAAGGTTCAACTCTGTCAGTAGAGGGCACACATCACAAACAAGTTTCTGAGAATGCTTCTGTCTAGTTTTTATGGGAAGATATTTCCTTTTTCACCTTAGGCCTGAAAGCAATCCAAATGTTCACTTACAGACACTACAAAAAGAGTGTTTCAAACCTGCTCTGTGAAAGGGAGTGTTCAATTCTGTGACTTGAATGCAAACATCACAAAGTAGTTTCTGACAATGCTGCTGTCTGCTTTTTATACGTATTCCCGTTTCCAACGAAATCCTCCAAGCTGGCCTAATACCCACTTGCATATTCCACAAAAAGAGTGTTTCAAAACTGCTCTCTCAAAAGAAAGGTTCAACTCTGTTTGCTGAGTAGATACATCATGAAAAAAGTTCTGACATTGCTTCTATCTAGTTTTTATTGGAAGATATCTCCTTTTTCACCGTAGACCTGAAAGCGCTCCAAATGTCCACTTCCAGATAGTACAAAAAGAGTGTTTCAAACCTGCTCTATGAAAGGGAATGTTCAACACTGGGACTTCAATTGAAACATCCCAAAGCAGTTTCTGAGAATGCTTCTGTCTAGAGTTTACATGAAGACATTCCCGTTTCCAACGAAATCCTCAAAGCTATCCAAATATCCTCTTGCAGATTTTACAAAAAGTGTGTTTCAGAACTGCTCTATCAAAACAAAGGTTCAACACTGTCAGTTGAGGGCACACATCACAAATAAGTTTCTGAGAATGCTTCTGTCTAGTTTTCATGGGAAGATATTTCCTTTTTCACCATAGGCCTGAAAGCGATCCAAATGTCCACATCCAGATACTACAAAAAGAGTGTTTCAAACCTGCTCTATGAAAGGGAATGTTCAACTCTGTGACTTGAATGCAAACATCACAAAGAAGTTTCTGAGAATGCTGCTGTCTGCTTTTTGTATGTAATCCCGTTTCCAACGAAATCCTCCCAGCTAGCCAAATATCCACTTGCAGATTCCGCAAAAAGAGTGTTTCAAAACTGCTCCTTCAAAACGATGGTTTAGTTCTGTTAGTTGAGTACATACATCACAGATAAGTTTCTGAGAATGCTTCTGTCTAGTTTTTATGGGAGGATATTTCCTTTTTCAACACAAGCCTGAATGCGCTCCGAATGGACACTTCCAGATATGACAAAAGGCGTGTTTCAAACCTGCTCTCTCAAAGGGAATGTTCAACTCTGTGACTTCAATGCAAACATCACAAAGAAGTTTCTGAGAATGCTGCTGTCTGCTTTTTACATGTATTCCCGTTTCCAACGAAATCCTCAAAGCTGCCCTAATATCCACTTGCATATTCCACAAAAAGAGTGTTGCAAAACTGCTCTCTCAAAAGAAAGGTTCAACTCTGTTAGCTTGAGTAGATCCATCACAGAAAAGTTTCTGACGTTGCTTCTATCTAGATTTTCTTGGAAGATATTTCCATTTTCACCGTCGTCCTGAAAGTGCTCCAAATGTCCACTTCCAGGGAATGCAGAAAGAGTGTTTCCAACCTGCTCTATAAAAGGGAATGTTCAACACTGGGACTTCAATCGAAACATCCCAACGAGGTTTCTGAGAATGCTTCTGTCTAGAGTTTATATGAAGCCATTCCCGTTTGCAACGAAATCCTCAAAGCTATCCAAATATCCTCTTGCAGATTTTACAAAAAGAGTGTTTCAAAACTGCTCTATAAAAAGAAAGGTTCAACTCTGTTAGTTGAGGGCACACATCACAAATAAATTTCTGAGAATGCTTCTGTGTAGTTTTCAGGGGAAGATATATCCTTTTTCACCATAGGCCTGAAAGCGCTCCAAATGTCCACATCCAGATACTACAAAAAGAGTGTTTCAAACCTGCTCTATGAAAGGGAATGTTCAACTCTGTGACTTGAATGCAAACATCACAAAGAAGATTCTGGGAATGCTGCTGTCTGCTTTTTATATGTAATCCCGTTTCGAACGAAATCCTCAAAGCTAGACAAATATCCACTTGCAGATTCCACAAAAAGAGTGTTTCAAAACTGCTCTCTCAAAAGAAAGGTTCAACTCTCTTAGTTGAGTACTCACATCACAAATAAGTTTCTGAGAATGCTTCTATCTAGTTTTTATGGGAGGATATTTCCTTTTTCAACACAAGCCGGAATGCGCTCCAAATGGACAACTTCCAGATATGACAAAAGGCGTGTTTCAAACCTGCTCTATGAAAGGGAATGTTCAAATCTGGGACTTCAATGCAAACATCACAAAGAAGTTTCTGAGAATGCTGCTGTCTGCTTTTTATACGTATTCCCGTTTCCAAGGGAAATCCTCCAAGCTGGCCTAATACCCACTTGCATATTCCACAAAAAGAGTGTTTCAAAACTGCTCTCTCAAAAGAAAGGTTCAACTCTGTTTGCTGAGTAGATACATCATGAAAAAAGTTCTGACATTGCTTCTATCTAGTTTTTATTGGAAGATATCTCCTTTTTCACCGTAGACCTGAAAGCGCTCCAAATGTCCACTTCCAGATAGTACAAAAAGAGTGTTTCAAACCTGCTCTATGAATGGGAATGTTCAACACTGGGACTTCAATTGAAACATCCCAAAGCAGTTTCTGAGAATGCTTCTGTGTAGAGTTTACATGAAGACATTCCCGTTTCCAACGAAATCCTCAAAGCTATCCAAATATCCTCTTGCAGATTTTACAAAAAGTGTGTTTCAGAACTGCTCTATCAAAACAAAGGTTCAACACTGTCAGTTGAGGGCACACATCACAAATAAGTTTCTGAGAATGCTTCTGTCTAGTTTTCATGGGAAGATATTTCCTTTTTCACCATAGGCCTGAAAGCGATCCAAATGTCCACATCCAGATACTACAAAAAGAGTGTTTCAAACCTGCTCTATGAAAGGGAATGTTCAACTCTGTGACTTGAATGCAAACATCACAAAGAAGTTTCTGAGAATGCTGCTCTCTGCTTTTTGTATGTAATCCCGTTTCCAACGAAATCCTCCCAGCTAGCCAAATATCCACTTGCAGATTCCGCAAAAAGAGTGTTTCAAAACTGCTCCTTCAAAACGATGGTTTAGTTCCTGTTAGTTGAGTACATACATCACAGATAAGTTTCTGAGAATGCTTATCTGTCTAGTTTTTATGGGAGGATATTTCCTTTTTCAACACATGCCTGAATGCGCTCCGAATGGACACTTCCAGATATGACAAAAGGCGTGTTTCAAACCTGCTCTCTCAAAGGGAATGTTCAACTCTGTGACTTCAATGCAAACATCACAAAGAAGTTTCTGAGAATGCTGCTGTCTGCTTTTTACATGTATTCCCGTTTCCAACGAAATCCTCAAAGCTGCCCTAATATCCACTTGCATATTCCACAAAAAGAGTGTTGCAAAACTGCTCTCTCAAAAGAAAGGTTCAACTCTGTTAGCTGAGTAGATCCATCACATAAAAGTTTCTGACATTGCTTCTATCTAGATTTTCTTGGAAGATATTTCCATTTTCACCGTCGTCCTGAAAGCGCTCCAAATGTCCACTTCCAGGGAATGCAGAAAGAGTGTTTCCAACCTGCTCTATAAAAGGGAATGTTCAACACTGGGACTTCAATCGAAACATCCCAACGAAGTTTCTGAGAATGCTTCTGTCTAGAGTTTATATGAAGCCATTCCCGTTTGCAACGAAATCCTCAAAGCTATCCAAATATCCTCTTGCAGATTTTACAAAAAGAGTGTTTCAAAACTGCTCTATCAAAAGAAAGGTTCAACTCTGTTAGTTGAGGGCACACATCACAAATAAACTTCTGAGAATGCTCTGTCTAGTTTTTACGGGAAGATATTTCCTTTTTCACCATACGCCTGAAAGCGCTCCAAATGTCCTCATCCAGATACTACAAAAAGAGTGTTTCCAACCTGCTCTATGAAAGGGAATGCTCAACTCTGTGAATTGAATGCAGACATCACAAAGAAGTTTCTGAGAATGCTGGCTGTCTCCTTTTTATATGTAATCCCGTTTCCAACGAAATCCTCAAAGCTAGCCAAATATCCACTTGCAGATTCCACGAAAACAGTGTTTCAAAACTGCTCCTTCAAAACGATGGTTCAATTCTGTTAGTTGAGCAAACACATCACAAGTAAGTTTCTGAGAATGCTTCCGTCTAGTTTTTATGGGAAGATATTTCCTTTTTCAACATAGGCCTGAAAGCGCTCCAAATGTCCACTTCCAGATACTACACAAAGAGTGTTTCAAATCTGCTCTATGAATGGGAATGTTCTACTCTGTGACTTGAATGCAACATCCCAAAGAAGTTTCTGAGAATGCTTCTGTCTAGTAGTTTATCTGAAGACATACCCGTTTCCAACGAAATCCTCAAAGCTATCCAAATATCCTCTTGCAGATTCTACAAAAAGTGTGTTTCAAAGCTGCTCTTTGCAAAGAAAGGTTCAACTCTGTCAGTAGAGGGCACACATCACGAACAAGTTTCTGAGAATGCTTCTGTCTGGTTTTTATGGGAAGATATTTCCTTTTTCACGTTACGCCTGAAAGCACGCCAAATGTTCACTTATAGACACTACAAAAAGAGTGTTTCAAACCTGCTCTGTGAAAGGGAATGTTCAACACTGTGACTTCAATTGAAACATCCCAAAGAAGTTTCTGAGAATGCTTCTGTCTAGAGTTTATCTGAAGACATACCCGTTTCCAACGAAATCCTCAAAGCTATCCACATATCCTCTTGCAGATTCTACAAAAAGAGTGTTTCAAAACTGCTCTTTGCAAAGAAAGGTTCAACTCTGTCAGTAGAGGGCACACATCACAAACAAGTTTCTGAGAATGCTTCTGTCTAGTTTTTATGGGAAGATATTTCCTTTTTCACCTTAGGCCTGAAAGCAATCCATATGTTCACTTACAGACACTACAAAAAGAGTGTTTCAAACCTGCTCTGTGAAAGGGAGTGTTCAATTCTGTGACTTGAATGCAAACATCACAAAGTAGTTTCTGACAATGCTGCTGTCTGCTTTTTATACGTATTCCCGTTTCCAACGAAATCCTCCAAGCTGGCCTAATACCCACTTGCATATTCCACAAAAAGAGTGTTTCAAAACTGCTCTCTCAAAAGAAAGGTTCAACTCTGTTTGCTGAGTAGATACATCATGAAAAAAGTTCTGACATTGCTTCTATCTAGTTTTTATTGGAAGATATCTCCTTTTTCACCTTAGACCTGAAAGCGCTCCAAATGTCCACTTCCAGATAGTACAAAAAGAGTGTTTCAAACCTGCTCTATGAAAGGGAATGTTCAACACTGGGACTTCAATTGAAACATCCCAAAGCAGTTTCTGAGAATGCTTCTGTCTAGAAGTTTACATGAAGACATTCCCGTTTCCAACGAAATCCTCAAAGCTATCCAAATATCCTCTTGCAGATTTTACAAAAAGTGTGTTTCAGAACTGCTCTATCAAAACAAAGGTTCAACACTGTCAGTTGAGGGCACACATCACAAATAAGTTTCTGAGAATGCTTCTGTCTAGTTTTCATGGGAAGATATTTCCTTTTTCACCATAGGCCTGAAAGCGATCCAAATGTCCACATCCAGATACTACAAAAAGAGTGTTTCAAACCTGCTCTATGAAAGGGAATGTTCAACTCTGTGACTTGAATGCAAACATCACAAAGAAGTTTCTGAGAATGCTGCTGTCTGCTTTTTGTATGTAATCCCGTTTCCAACGAAATCCTCCCAGCTAGCCAAATATCCACTTGCAGATTCCGCAAAAAGAGTGTTTCAAAACTGCTCCTTCAAAACGATGGTTTAGTTCTGTTAGTTGAGTACATACATCACAGATAAGTTTCTGAGAATGCTTCTGTCTAGTTTTTATGGGAGGATATTTCCTTTTTCAACACAAGCCTGAATGCGCTCCGAATGGACACTTCCAGATATGACAAAAGGCGTGTTTCAAACCTGCTCTCTCAAAGGGAATGTTCAACTCTGTGACTTCAATGCAAACATCACAAAGAAGTTTCTGAGAATGCTGCTGTCTGCTTTTTACATGTATTCCCGTTTCCAACGAAATCCTCAAAGCTGCCCTAATATCCACTTGCATATTCCACAAAAAGAGTGTTGCAAAACTGCTCTCTCAAAAGAAAGGTTCAACTCTGTTAGCTGAGTAGATCCATCACAGAAAAGTTTCTGACGTTGCTTCTATCTAGATTTTCTTGGAAGATATTTCCATTTTCACCGTCGTCCTGAAAGCGCTCCAAATGTCCACTTCCAGGGAATGCAGAAAGAGTGTTTCCAACCTGCTCTATAAAAGGGAATGTTCAACACTGGGACTTCAATCGAAACATCCCAACGAAGTTTCTGAGAATGCTTCTGTCTAGAGTTTATATGAAGCCATTCCCGTTTGCAACGAAATCCTCAAAGCTATCCAAATATCCTCTAGCAGATTTTACAAAAAGAGTGTTTCAAAACTGCTGTATCAAAAGAAAGGTTCAACTCTGTTAGTTGAGGGCACACATCACAAATAAACTTCTGAGAATGCTTCTGTCTAGTTTTTACGGGAAGATATTTCCTTTTTCACCATAGGCCTGAAAGCGCTCCAAATGTCCTCATCCAGATACTACAAAAAGAGTGTTTCCAACCTGCTCTATGAAACGGAATGCTCAACTCTGTGACTTGAATGCAGACATCACAAAGAAGTTTCTGAGAATGCTGCTGTCTCCTTTTTATATGTAATCCCGTTTCCAACGAAATCCTCAAAGCTAGCCAAATATCCACTTGCAGATTCCACGAAAACAGTGTTTCAAAACTGCTCCTTCAAAACGATGGTTCAATTCTGTTAGTTGAGCAAACACATCACAAGTAAGTTTCTGAGAATGCTTCCGTCTAGTTTTTATGGGAAGATATTTCCTTTTTCAACATAGGCCTGAAAGCGCTCCAAATGTCCACTTCCAGATACTACAAAAAGAGTGTTTCAAATCTGCTCTATGAATGGGAATGTTCTACTCTGTGACTTGAATGCAACATCCCAAAGAAGTTTCTGAGAATGCTTCTGTCTAGAGTTTATCTGAAGACATACCCGTTTCCAACGAAATCCTCAAAGCTATCCAAATATCCTCTTGCAGATTCTACAAAAAGAGTGTTTCAAAGCTGCTCTTTGCAAAGAAAGGTTCAACTCTGTCAGTAGAGGGCACACATCACGAACAAGTTTCTGAGAATGCTTCTGTCTAGTTTTTATGGGAAGATATTTCCTTTTTCACCTTAGGCCTGAAAGCACGCCAAATGTTCACTTATAGACACTACAAAAAGAGTGTTTCAAACCTGCTCTGTGAAAGGGAGTGTTCAATTCTGTGACTTGAATGCAAACATCACAAAGTAGTTTCTGACAATGCTGCTGTCTGCTTTTTATACGTATTCCCGTTTCCAACGAAATCCTCCAAGCTGGCCTAATACCCACTTGCATATTCCACAAAAAGAGTGTTTCAAAACTGCTCTCTCAAAAGAAAGGTTCAACTCTGTTAGCTGAGTAGATACATCATGAAAAAAGTTCTGACATTGCTTCTATCTAGTTTTTATTGGAAGATATCTCCTTTTTCACCGTAGACCTGAAAGCGCTCCAAATGTCCACTTCCAGATAGTACAAAAAGAGTGTTTCAAACCTGCTCTATGAATGGGAATGTTCAACACTGGGACTTCAATTGAAACATCCCAAAGCAGTTTCTGAGAATGCTTCTGTCTAGAGTTTACATGAAGACATTCCCGTTTCCAACGAAATCCTCAAAGCTATCCAAATATCCTCTTGCAGATTTTACAAAAAGTGTGTTTCAGAACTGCTCTATCAAAACAAAGGTTCAACACTGTCAGTTGAGGGCACACATCACAAATAAGTTTCTGAGAATGCTTCTGTCTAGTTTTCATGGGAAGATATTTCCTTTTTCACCATAGGCCTGAAAGCGATCCAAATGTCCACATCCAGATACTACAAAAAGAGTGTTTCCAACCTGCTCTATGAAAGGGAATGCTCAACTCTGTGAATTGAATGCAGACATCACAAAGAAGTTTCTCAGAATGCTGCTGTCTCCTTTTTATATGTAATCCCGTTTCCAACAAAATCCTCAAAGCTAGCCAAATATCCACTTGCAGATTCCACGAAAACAGTGTTTCAAAACTGCTCCTTCAAAACGATGGTTCAATCCTGTTAGTTGAGCAAACACATCACAAATAAGTTTCTGAGAATGCTTCCGTCTAGTTTTTATGGGAAGATATTTCCTTTTTCAACATAGGCCTGAAAGCGCTCCAAATGTCCACTTCCAGATACTACAAAAAGAGTGTTTCAAATCTGATTTATGAATGGGAATGTTCTACTCTGTGACTTGCATGCAACATCCCAAAGAAGTTTCTGAGAATGCTTCTGTCTAGAGTTTATCTGAAGACATACCCGTTTCCAACGAAATCCTCAAAGCTATCCAAATATCCTCTTGCAGATTCTACAAAAAGTGTGTTTCAAAGCTGCTCTTTGCAAAGAAAGGTTCAACTCTGTCAGTAGAGGGCACACATCACGAACAAGTTTCTGAGAATGCTTCTGTCTAGTTTTTATGGGAAGATATTTCCTTTTTCACGTTAGGCCTGAAAGCACGCCAAATGTTCACTTATAGACACTACAAAAAGAGTGTTTCAAACCTGCTCTGTGAAAGGGAATGTTCAACACTGTGACTTCAATTGAAACATCCCAAAGAAGTTTCTGAGAATGCTTCTGTCTAGAGTTTATCTGAAGACATTCCCGTTTCCCAAGAAATCCTCAAAGCTATCCAAATATCCTCTTGCAGATTCTACAAAAAGAGTGTTTCAAAACTGCTCTTTGCAAAGAAAGGTTCAACTCTGTCAGTAGAGGGCACACATCACAAACAAGTTTCTGAGAATGCTTCTGTCTAGTTTTTATGGGAAGATATTTCCTTTTTCACCTTAGGCCTGAAAGCAATCCAAATGTTCACT
Source organism: Homo sapiens (assembly GCF_000001405.40). NCBI lineage: Eukaryota > Metazoa > Chordata > Mammalia > Primates > Hominidae > Homo > Homo sapiens. Next base: position 26,819,695 of record NC_000020.11, on the reverse strand, counting down.
TACAGACACTACAAAAAGAGTGTTTCAAACCTGCTCTGTGAAAGGGAGTGTTCAATTCTGTGACTTGAATGCAAACATCACAAAGTAGTTTCTGACAATGCTGCTGTCTGCTTTTTATACGTATTCCCGTTTCCAACGAAATCCTCCAAGCTGGCCTAATACCCACTTGCATATTCCACAAAAATAGTGTTTCAAAACTGCTCCCTCAAAAGAAAGGTTCAACTCTGTTTGCTGAGTAGATACATCATGAAAAAAGTTCTGACATTGCTTCTATCTAGTTTTTATTGGAAGATATCTCCTTTTTCACCGTAGACCTGAAAGCGCTCCAAATGTCCACTTCCAGATAGTACAAAAAGAGTGTTTCAAACCTGCTCTATGAAAGGGAATGTTCAACACTGGGACTTCAATTGAAACATCCCAAAGCAGTTTCTGAGAATGCTTCTGTCTAGAGTTTACATGAAGACATTCCCGTTTCCAACGAAATCCTCAAAGCTATCCAAATATCCTCTTGCAGATTTTACAAAAAGTGTGTTTCAGAACTGCTCTATCAAAACAAAGGTTCAACACTGTCAGTTGAGGGCACACATCACAAATAAGTTTCTGAGAATGCTTCTGTCTAGTTTTCATGGGAAGATATTTCCTTTTTCACCATAGGCCTGAAAGCGATCCAAATGTCCACATCCAGATACTACAAAAAGAGTGTTTCAAACCTGCTCTATGAAAGGGAATGTTCAACTCTGTGACTTGAATGCAAACATCACAAAGAAGTTTCTGAGAATGCTGCTCTCTGCTTTTTGTATGTAATCCCGTTTCCAACGAAATCCTCCCAGCTAGCCAAATATCCACTTGCAGATTCCGCAAAAAGAGTGTTTCAAAACTGCTCCTTCAAAACGATGGTTTAGTTCTGTTAGTTGAGTACATACATCACAGATAAGTTTCTGAGAATGCTTCTGTCTAGTTTTTATGGGAGGATATTTCCTTTTTCAACACAAGCCTGAATGCGCTCCGAATGGACACTTCCAGATATGACAAAAGGCGTGTTTCAAACCTGCTCTCTCAAAGGGAATGTTCAACTCTGTGACTTCAATGCAAACATCACAAAGAAGTTTCTGAGAATGCTGCTGTCTGCTTTTTACATGTATTCCCGTTTCCAACGAAATCCTCAAAGCTGCCCTAATATCCACTTGCATATTCCACAAAAAGAGTGTTGCAAAACTGCTCTCTCAAAAGAAAGCTTCAACTCTGTTAGCTGAGTAGATCCATCACATAAAAGTTTCTGACATTGCTTCTATCTAGATTTTCTTGGAAGATATTTCCATTTTCACCGTCGTCCTGAAAGCGCTCCAAATGTCCACTTCCAGGGAATGCAGAAAGAGTGTTTCCAACCTGCTCTATAAAAGGGAATGTTCAACACTGGGACTTCAATCGAAACATCCCAACGAAGTTTCTGAGAATGCTTCTGTCTAGAGTTTATATGAAGCCATTCCCGTTTGCAACGAAATCCTCAAAGCTATCCAAATATCCTCTTGCAGATTTTACAAAAAGAGTGTTTCAAAACTGCTCTATCAAAAGAAAGGTTCAACTCTGTTAGTTGAGGGCACACATCACAAATAAATTTCTGAGAATGCTTCTGTCTAGTTTTTACGGGAAGATATTTCCTTTTTCACCATACGCCTGAAAGCGCTCCAAATGTCCTCATCCAGATACTACAAAAAGAGTGTTTCCAACCTGCTCTATGAAAGGGAATGCTCAACTCTGTGACTTGAATGCAGACATCACAAAGAAGTTTCTGAGAATGCTGCTGTCTCCTTTTTATATGTAATCCCGTTTCCAACGAAATCCTCAAAGCTAGCCAAATATCCACTTGCAGATTCCACGAAAACAGTGTTTCAAAACTGCTCCTTCAAAACGATGGTTCAATTCTGTTAGTTGAGCAAACACATCACAAGTAAGTTTCTGAGAATGCTTCCGTCTAGTTTTTATGGGAAGATATTTCCTTTTTCAACATAGGCCTGAAAGCGCTCCAAATGTCCACTTCCAGATACTACAAAAAGAGTGTTTCAAATCTGCTCTATGAATGGGAATGTTCTACTCTGTGACTTGAATGCAACATCCCAAAGAAGTTTCTGAGAATGCTTCTGTCTAGAGTTTATCTGAAGACATACCCGTTTCCAACGAAATCCTCCAAGCTATCCAAATATCCTCTTGCAGATTCTACAAAAAGAGTGTTTCAAAGATGCTCTTTGCAAAGAAAGGTTCAACTCTGTCAGTAGAGGGCACACATCACGAACAAGTTTCTGAGAATGCTTCTGTCTGGTTTTTATGGGAAGATATTTCCTTTTTCACGTTACGCCTGAAAGCACGCCAAATGTTCACTTATAGACACTACAAAAAGAGTGTTTCAAACCTGCTCTGTGAAAGGGAATGTTCAACACTGTGACTTCAATTGAAACATCCCAAAGAAGTTTCTGAGAATGCTTCTGTCTAGAGTTTATCTGAAGACATTCCCGTTTCCCAAGAAATCCTCAAAGCTATCCAAATATCCTCTTGCAGATTCTACAAAAGGAGTGTTTCAAAACTGCTCTTTGCAAAGAAAGGTTCAACTCTGTCAGTAGAGGGCACACATCACAAACAAGTTTCTGAGAGTGCTTCTGTCTAGTTTTTATGGGAAGATATTTCCTTTTTCACCTTAGGCCTGAAAGCAATCCAAATGTTCACTTACAGACACTACAAAAAGAGTGTTTCAAACCTGCTCTGTGAAAGGGAGTGTTCAATTCTGTGACTTGAATGCAAACATCACAAAGTAGTTTCTGACAATGCTGCTGTCTGCTTTTTATACGTATTACCCGTTTCCAACGAAATCCTCCAAGCTGGCCTAATACCCACTTGCATATTCCACAAAAGGAGTGTTTCAAAACTGCTCTCTCAAAAGAAAGGTTCAACTCTGTTTGCTGAGTAGATACATCATGAAAAAAGTTCTGACATTGCTTCTATCTAGTTTTTATTGGAAGATATCTCCTTTTTCACCGTAGACCTGAAAGCGCTCCAAATGTCCACTTCCAGATAGTACAAAAAGAGTGTTTCAAACCTGCTCTATGAAAGGGAATGTTCAACACTGGGACTTCAATTGAAACATCCCAAAGCAGTTTCTGAGAATGCTTCTGTCTAGAGTTTACATGAAGACATTCCCGTTTCCAACGAAATCCTCAAAGCTATCCAAATATCCTCTTGCAGATTTTACAAAAAGTGTGTTTCAGAACTGCTCTATCAAAACAAAGGTTCAACACTGTCAGTTGAGGGCACACATCACAAATAAGTTTCTGAGAATGCTTCTGTCTAGTTTTCATGGGAAGATATATTTCCTTTTTCACCATAGGCTTGAAAGCGATCCAAATGTCCACATCCAGATACTACAAAAAGAGTGTTTCAAACCTGCTCTATGAAAGGGAATGTTCAACTCTGTGACTTGAATGCAAACATCACAAAGAAGTTTCTGAGAATGCTGCTGTCTGCTTTTTGTATGTAATCCCGTTTCCAACGAAATCCTCCCAGCTAGCCAAATATCCACTTGCAGATTCCGCAAAAAGAGTGTTTCAAAACTGCTCCTTCAAAACGATGGTTTAGTTCTGTTAGTTGAGTACATACATCACAAATAAGTTTCTGAGAATGCTTCTGTCTAGTTTTTATGGGAGGATATTTCCTTTTTCAACACAAGCCTGAATGCGCTCCGAATGGACACTTCCAGATATGACAAAAGGCGTGTTTCAAACCTGCTCTCTCAAAGGGAATGTTCAACTCTGTGACTTCAATGCAAACATCACAAAGAAGTTTCTGAGAATGCTGCTGTCTGCTTTTTACATGTATTCCCGTTTCCAACGAAATCCTCAAAGCTGCCCTAATATCCACTTGCATATTCCACAAAAAGAGTGTTGCAAAACTGCTCTCTCAAAAGAAAGGTTCAACTCTGTTAGCTGAGTAGATCCATCACATAAAAGTTTCTGACGTTGCTTCTATCTAGATTTTCTTGGAAGATATTTCCATTTTCACCGTCGTCCTGAAAGCGCTCCAAATGTCCACTTCCAGGGAATGCAGAAAGAGTGTTTCCAACCTGCTCTATAAAAGGGAATGTTCAACACTGGGACTTCAATCGAAACATCCCAACGAAGTTTCTGAGAATGCTTCTGTCTAGAGTTTATATGAAGCCATTCCCGTTTGCAACGAAATCCTCAAAGCTATCCAAATATCCTCTTGCAGATTTTACAAAAAGAGTGTTTCAAAACTGCTCTATCAAAAGAAAGGTTCAACTCTGTTAGTTGAGGGCACACATCACAAATAAATTTCTGAGAATGCTTCTGTCTAGTTTTTACGGGAAGATATTTCCTTTTTCACCATACGCCTGAAAGCGCTCCAAATGTCCTCATCCAGATACTACAAAAAGAGTGTTTCCAACCTGCTCTATGAAAGGGAATGCTCAACTCTGTGACTTGAATGCAGACATCACAAAGAAGTTTCTGAGAATGCTGCTGTCTCCTTTTTATATGTAATCCCGTTTCCAACGAAATCCTCAAAGCTAGCCAAATATCCACTTGCAGATTCCACGAAAACAGTGTTTCAAAACTGCTCCTTCAAAACGATGGTTCAATTCTGTTAGTTGAGCAAACACATCACAAGTAAGTTTCTGAGAATGCTTCCGTCTAGTTTTTATGGGAAGATATTTCCTTTTTCAACATAGGCCTGAAAGCGCTCCAAATGTCCACTTCCAGATACTACAAAAAGAGTGTTTCAAATCTGCTCTATGAATGGGAATGTTCTACTCTGTGACTTGAATGCAACATCCCAAAGAAGTTTCTGAGAATGCTTCTGTCTAGAGTTTATCTGAAGACATACCCGTTTCCAACGAAATCCTCAAAGCTATCCAAATATCCTCTTGCAGATTCTACAAACAGAGTGTTTCAAAGCTGCTCTTTGCAAAGAAAGGTTCAACTCTGTCAGTAGAGGGCACACATCACGAACAAATTTCTGAGAATGCTTCTGTCTAGTTTTTATGGGAAGATATTTCCTTTTTCACGTTAGGCCTGAAAGCACGCCAAATGTTCACTTATAGACACTACAAAAAGAGTGTTTCAAACCTGCTCTGTGAAAGGGAATGTTCAACACTGTGACTTCAATTGAAACATCCCAAAGAAGTTTCTGAGAATGCTTCTGTCTAGAGTTTATCTGAAGACATACCCGTTTCCAACGAAATCCTCAAAGCTATCCACATATCCTCTTGCAGATTCTACAAAAAGAGTGTTTCAAAGCTGCTCTTTGCAAAGAAAGGTTCAACTCTGTCAGTAGAGGGCACACATCACGAACAAGTTTCTGAGAATGCTTCTGTCTAGTTTTTATGGGAAGATATTTCCTTTTTCACGTTAGGCCTGAAAGCACGCCAAATGTTCAATTATAGACACTACAAAAAGAGTGTTTCAAACCTGCTCTGTGAAAGGGAATGTTCAACACTGTGACTTCAATTGAAACATCCCAAAGAAGTTTCTGAGAATGCTTCTGTCTAGAGTTTATCTGAAGACATTCCCGTTTCCCAAGAAATCCTCAAAGCTATCCAAATATCCTCTTGCAGATTCTACAAAAAGAGTGTTTCAAAACTGCTCTTTGCAAAGAAAGGTTCAACTCTGTCAGTAGAGGGCACACATCACAAACAAGTTTCTGAGAATGCTTCTGTCTAGTTTTTATGGGAAGATATTTCCTTTTTCACCTTAGGCCTGAAAGCAATCCAAATGTTCACTTACAGACACTACAAAAAGAGTGTTTCAAACCTGCTCTGTGAAAGGGAGTGTTCAATTCTGTGACTTGAATGCAAACATCACAAAGTAGTTTCTGACAATGCTGCTGTCTGCTTTTTATACGTATTCCCGTTTCCAACGAAATCCTCCAAGCTGGCCTAATACCCACTTGCATATTCCACAAAAAGAGTGTTTCAAAACTGCTCTCTCAAAAGAAAAGTTCAACTCTGTTTGCTGAGTAGATACATCATGAAAAAAGTTCTGACATTGCTTCTATCTAGTTTTTATTGGAAGATATCTCCTTTTTCACCATAGACCTGAAAGCGCTCCAAATGTCCACTTCCAGATAGTACAAAAAGAGTGTTTCAAACCTGCTCTATGAAAGGGAATGTTCAACACTGGGACTTCAATTGAAACATCCCAAAGCAGTTTCTGAGAATGCTTCTGTCTAGAGTTTACATGAAGACATTCCCGTTTCCAACGAAATCCTCAAAGCTATCCAAATATCCTCTTGCAGATTTTACAAAAAGTGTGTTTCAGAACTGCTCTATCAAAACAAAGGTTCAACACTGTCAGTTGAGGGCACACATCACAAATAAGTTTCTGAGAATGCTTCTGTCTAGTTTTCATGGGAAGATATTTCCTTTTTCACCATAGGCCTGAAAGCGATCCAAATGTCCACATCCAGATACTACAAAAAGAGTGTTTCAAACCTGCTCTATGAAAGGGAATGTTCAACTCTGTGACTTGAATGCAAACATCACAAAGAAGTTTCTGAGAATGCTGCTGTCTGCTTTTTGTATGTAATCCCGTTTCCAACGAAATCCTCCCAGCTAGCCAAATATCCACTTGCAGATTCCGCAAAAAGAGTGTTTCAAAACTGCTCCTTCAAAACGATGGTTTAGTTCTGTTAGTTGAGTACATACATCACAGATAAGTTTCTGAGAATGCTTCTGTCTAGTTTTTCTGGGAGGATATTTCCTTTTTCAACACAAGCCTGAATGCGCTCCGAATGGACACTTCCAGATATGACAAAAGGCGTGTTTCAAACCTGCTCTCTCAAAGGGAATGTTCAACTCTGTGACTTCAATGCAAACATCACAAAGAAGTTTCTGAGAATGCTGCTGTCTGCTTTTTACATGTATTCCCGTTTCCAACGAAATCCTCAAAGCTGCCCTAATATCCACTTGCATATTCCACAAAAAGAGTGTTGCAAAACTGCTCTCTCAAAAGAAAGGTTCAACTCTGTTAGCTGAGTAGATCCATCACAGAAAAGTTTCTGACGTTGCTTCTATCTAGATTTTCTTGGAAGATATTTCCATTTTCACCGTCGTCCTGAAAGCGCTCCAAATGTCCACTTCCAGGGAATGCAGAAAGAGTGTTTCCAACCTGCTCTATAAAAGGGAATGTTCAACACTGGGACTTCAATCGAAACATCCCAACGAAGTTTCTGAGAATGCTTCTGTCTAGAGTTTATATGAAGCCATTCCCGTTTGCAATGAAATCCTCAAAGCTATCCAAATATCCTCTTGCAGATTTTACAAAAAGAGTGTTTCAAAACTGCTCTATCAAAAGAAAGGTTCAACTCTGTTAGTTGAGGGCACACATCACAAATAAATTTCTGAGAATGCTTCTGTCTAGTTTTTACGGGAAGATATTTCCTTTTTCACCATAGGCCTGAAAGCGCTCCAAATGTCCTCATCCAGATACTACAAAAAGAGTGTTTCCAACCTGCTCTATGAAAGGGAATGCTCAACTCTGTGACTTGAATGCAGACATCACAAAGAAGTTTCTGAGAATGCTGCTGTCTCCTTTTTATATGTAATCCCGTTTCCAACGAAATCCTCAAAGCTAGCCAAATATCCACTTGCAGATTCCACGAAAACAGTGTTTCAAAACTGCTCCTTCAAAACGATGGTTCAATCCTGTTAGTTGAGCAAACACATCACAAATAAGTTTCTGAGAATGCTTCCGTCTAGTTTTTATGGGAAGATATTTCCTTTTTCAACATAGGCCTGAAAGCGCTCCAAATGTCCACTTCCAGATACTACAAAAAGAGTGTTTCAAATCTGCTCTATGAATGGGAATGTTCTACTCTGTGACTTGCATGCAACATCCCGAAGAAGTTTCTGAGAATGCTTCTGTCTAGAGTTTATCTGAAGACATACCCGTTTCCAACGAAATCCTCCAAGCTATCCAAATATCCTCTTGCAGATTCTACAAAAAGTGTGTTTCAAAGCTGCTCTTTGAAAAGAAAGGTTCAACTCTGTCAGTAGAGGGCACACATCACGAACAAGTTTCTGAGAATGCTTCTGTCTAGTTTTTATGGGAAGATATTTCCTTTTTCACGTTACGCCTGAAAGCACGCCAAATGTTCACTTATAGACACTACAAAAAGAGTGTTTCAAACCTGCTCTGTGAAAGGGAATGTTCAACACTGTGACTTCAATTGAAACATCCCAAAGAAGTTTCTGAGAATGCTTCTGTCTAGAGTTTATCTGAAGACATTCCCGTTTCCCAAGAAATCCTCAAAGCTATCCAAATATCCTCTTGCAGATTCTACAAAAAGAGTGTTTCAAAACTGCTCTTTGCAAAGAAAGGTTCAACTCTGTCAGTAGAGGGCACACATCACAAACAAGTTTCTGAGAATGCTTCTGTCTAGTTTTTATGGGAAGATATTTCCTTTTTCACCTTAGGCCTGAAAGCAATCCAAATGTACACTTACAGACACTACAAAAAGAGTGTTTCAAACCTGCTCTGTGAAAGGGAGTGTTCAATTCTGTGACTTGAATGCAAACATCACAAAGTAGTTTCTGACAATGCTGCTGTCTGCTTTTTATACGTATTCCCGTTTCCAACGAAATCCTCCAAGCTGGCCTAATACCCACTTGCATATTCCACAAAAAGAGTGTTTCAAAACTGCTCTCTCAAAAGAAAGGTTCAACTCTGTTTGCTGAGTAGATACATCATGAAAAAAGTTCTGACATTGCTTCTATCTAGTTTTTATTGGAAGATATCTCCTTTTTCACCGTAGACCTGAAAGCGCTCCAAATGTCCACTTCCAGATAGTACAAAAAGAGTGTTTCAAACCTGCTCTATGAAAGGGAATGTTCAACACTGGGACTTCAATTGAAACATCCCAAAGCAGTTTCTGAGAATGCTTCTGTCTAGAGTTTACATGAAGACATTCCCGTTTCCAACGAAATCCTCAAAGCTATCCAAATATCCTCTTGCAGATTTTACAAAAAGTGTGTTTCAGAACTGCTCTATCAAAACAAAGGTTCAACACTGTCAGTTGAGGGCACACATCACAAATAAGTTTCTGAGAATGCTTCTGTCTAGTTTTCATGGGAAGATATTTCCTTTTTCACCATAGGCCTGAAAGCGATCCAAATGTCCACATCCAGATACTACAAAAAGAGTGTTTCAAACCTGCTCTATGAAAGGGAATGTTCAACTCTGTGACTTGAATGCAAACATCACAAAGAAGTTTCTGAGATTGCTGCTCTCTGCTTTTTGTATGTAATCCCGTGTCCAACGAAATCCTCCCAGCTAGCCAAATATCCACTTGCAGATTCCGCAAAAAGAGTGTTTCAAAACTGCTCCTTCAAGACGATGGTTTAGTTCTGTTAGTTGAGTACATACATCACAGATAAGTTTCTGAGAATGCTTCTGTCTAGTTTTTATGGGAGGATATTTCCTTTTTCAACACAAGCCTGAATGCGCTCCGAATGGACACTTCCAGATATGACAAAAGGCGTGTTTCAAACCTGCTCTCTCAAAGGGAATGTTCAACTCTGTGACTTCAATGCAAACATCACAAAGAAGTTTCTGAGAATGCTGCTGTCTGCTTTTTACATGTATTCCCGTTTCCAACGAAATCCTCAAAGCTGCCCTAATATCCACTTGCATATTCCACAAAAAGAGTGTTGCAAAACTGCTCTCTCAAAAGAAAGGTTCAACTCTGTTAGCTGAGTAGATCCATCACATAAAAGTTTCTGACGTTGCTTCTATCTAGATTTTATTGGAAGATATTTCCATTTTCACCGTCGTCCTGAAAGCGCTCCAAATGTCCACTTCCAGGGAATGCAAAAAGAGTGTTTCCAACGTGCGCTATAAAAGGGAATGTTCAACACTGGGACTTCAATCGAAACATCCCAACGAAGTTTCTGAGAATGCTTCTGTCTAGAGTTTATATGAAGCCATTCCCGTTTGGAACGAAATCCTCAAAGCTATCCAAATATCCTCTTGCAGATTTTACAAAAAGAGTGTTTCAAAACTGCTCTATCAAAAGAAAGGTTCAACTCTGTTAGTTGAGGGCACACATCACAAATAAATTTCTGAGAATGCTTCTGTCTAGTTTTTACGGAAGATATTTCCTTTTTCACCATACGCCTGGAAGCGCTCCAAATGTCCTCATCCAGATACTACAAAAAGAGTGTTTCCAACCTGCTCTATGAAAGGGAATGCTCAACTCTGTGACTTGAATGCAGACATCACAAAGAAGTTTCTGAGAATGCTGCTGTCTCCTTTTTATATGTAATCCCGTTTCCAACGACATCCTCAAAGCTAGCCAAATATCCACTTGCAGATTCCACGAAAACAGTGTTTCAAAACTGCTCCTTCAAAACGATGGTTCAATTCTGTTAGTTGAGCAAACACATCACAAGTAAGTTTCTGAGAATGCTTCCGTCTAGTTTTTATGGGAAGATATTTCCTTTTTCAACATAGGCCTGAAAGCGCTCCAAATGTCCACTTCCAGATACTTCAAAAAGAGTGTTTCAAATCTGCTCTATGAATGGGAATGTTCTACTCTGTGACTTGAATGCAACATCCCACAGAAGTTTCTGAGAATGCTTCTGTCTAGAGTTTATCTGAAGACATACCCGTTTCCAACGAAATCCTCAAAGCTATCCAAATATCCTCTTGCAGATTCTACAAAAAGTGTGTTTCAAAGCTGCTCTTTTCAAAGAAAGGTTCAACTCTGTCAGTAGAGGGCACACATCACGAACAAGTTTCTGAGAATGCTTCTGTCTAGTTTTTATGGGAAGATATTTCCTTTTTCACGTTAGGCCTGAAAGCACGCCAAATGTTCACTTATAGACACTACAAAAAGAGTGTTTCAAACCTGCTCTGTGAAAGGGAATGTTCAACACTGTGACTTCAATTGAAACATCCCAAAGAAGTTTCTGAGAATGCTTCTGTCTAGAGTTTATCTGAAGACATTCCCGTTTCCCAAGAAATCCTCAAAGCTATCCAAATATCCTCTTGCAGATTCTACAAAAAGAGTGTTTCAAAACTGCTCTTTGCAAAGAAAGGTTCAAATCTGTCAGTAGAGGGCACACATCACAAACAAGTTTCTGAGAATGCTTCTGTCTAGTTTTTATGGGAAGATATTTCCTTTTTCACCTTAGGCCTGAAAGCAATCCAAATGTTCACTTACAGACACTACAAAAAGAGTGTTTCAAACCTGCTCTGTGAAAGGCAGTGTTCCATTCTGTGACTTGCATGCAAACATCACAAAGTAGTTTCTGACAATGCTGCTGTCTGCTTTTTATACGTATTCCCGTTTCCAACGAAATCCTCCAAGCTGGCCTAATACCCACTTGCATATTCCACAAAAAGAGTGTTTCAAAACTGCTCTCTCAAAAGAAAGGTTCAACTCTGTTTGCTGAGTAGATACATCATGAAAAAAGTTCTGACATTGCTTCTATCTAGTTTTTATTGGAAGATATCTCCTTTTTCACCGTAGACCTGAAAGCGCTCCAAATGTCCACTTCCAGATAGTACAAAAAGAGTGTTTCAAACCTGCTCTATGAAAGGGAATGTTCAACAGTGGGACTTCAATTGAAACATCCCAAAGCAGTTTCTGAGAATGCTTCTGTCTAGAGTTTACATGAAGACATTCCCGTTTCCAACGAAATCCTCAAAGCTATCCAAATATCCTCTTGCAGATTTTACAAAAAGTGTGTTTCAGAACTGCTCTATCAAAACAAAGGTTCAACACTGTCAGTTGAGGGCACACATCACAAATAAGTTTCTGAGAATGCTTCTGTCTAGTTTTCATGGGAAGATATTTCCTTTTTCACCATAGGCCTGAAAGCGATCCAAATGTCCACATCCACATACTACAAAAAGAGTGTTTCAAACCTGCTCTATGAAAGGGAATGTTCAACTCTGTGACTTGAATGCAAACATCACAAAGAAGTTTCTGAGAATGCTGCTCTCTGCTTTTTGTATGTCATCCCGTTTCCAACGAAATCCTCCAAGCTAGCCAAATATCCACTTGCATATTCCGCAAAAAGAGTGTTTCAAAACTGCTCCTTCAAAACGATGGTTTAGTTCTGTTAGTTGAGTACATACATCACAGATAAGTTTCTGAGAATGCTTCTGTCTAGTTTTTATGGGAGGATATTTCCTTTTTCAACACAAGCCTGAATGCGCTCCGAATGGACACTTCCAGATATGACAAAAGGCGTGTTTCAAACCTGCTCTCTCAAAGGGAATGTTCAACTCTGTGACTTCAATGCAAACATCACAAAGAAGTTTCTGAGAATGCTGCTGTCTGCTTTTTACATGTATTCCCGTTTCCAACGAAATCCTCAAAGCTGCCCTAATATCCACTTGCATATTCCACAAAAAGAGTGTTGCAAAACTGCTCTCTCAAAAGAAAGGTTCAACTCTGTTAGCTGAGTAGATCCATCACATAAAAGTTTCTGACATTGCTTCTATCTAGATTTTCTTGGAAGATATTTCCATTTTCACCGTCGTCCTGAAAGCGCTCCAAATGTCCACTTCCAGGGAATGCAGAAAGAGTGTTTCCAACCTGCTCTATAAAAGGGAATGTTCAACACTGGGACTTCAATCGAAACATCCCAACGAAGTTTCTGAGAATGCTTCTGTCTAGAGTTTATATGAAGCCATTCCCGTTTGCAACGAAATCCTCAAAGCTATCCAAATATCCTCTTGCAGATTTTACGAAAAGAGTGTTTCAAAACTGCTCTATCAAAAGAAAGGTTCAACTCTGTTAGTTGAGGGCACACATCACAAATAAACTTCTGAGAATGCTTCTGTCTAGTTTTTACGGGAAGATATTTCCTTTTTCACCATACGCCTGAAAGCGCTCCAAATGTCCTCATCCAGATACTACAAAAAGAGTGTTTCCAACCTGCTCTATGAAAGGGAATGCTCAACTCTGTGAATTGAATGCAGACATCACAAAGAAGTTTCTGAGAATGCTGCTGTCTCCTTTTTATATGTAATCCCGTTTCCAACGAAATCCTCAAAGCTAGCCAAATATCCACTTGCAGATTCCACGAAAACAGTGTTTCAAAACTGCTCCTTCAAAACGATGGTTCAATCCTGTTAGTTGAGCAAACACATCAAGAACAAGTTTCTGAGAATGCTTCCGTCTAGTTTTTATGGGAAGATATTTCCTTTTTCAACATAGGCCTGAAAGCGCTCCAAATGTCCACTTCCAGATACTACAAAAAGAGTGTTTCAAATCTGCTCTATGAATGGGAATGTTCTACTCTGTGACTTGAATGCAACATCCCAAAGAAGTTTCTGAGAATGCTTCTGTCTAGAGTTTATCTGAAGACATACCCGTTTCCAACGAAATCCTCCAAGCTATCCAAATATCCTCTTGCAGATTCTACAAAAAGAGTGTTTCAAAGCTGCTCTTTGCAAAGAAAGGTTCAACTCTGTCAGTAGAGGGGACACATCAAGAACAAGTTTCTGAGAATGCTTCTGTCTAGTTTTTATGGGAAGATATTTCCTTTTTCACGTTACGCCTGAAAGCACGCCAAATGTTCACTTATAGACACTACAAAAAGAGTGTTTCAAACCTGCTCTGTGAAAGGGAATGTTCAACACTGTGACTTCAATTGAAACATCCCAAAGAAGTTTCTGAGAATGCTTCTGTCTAGAGTTTATCTGAAGACATTCCCGTTTCCCAAGAAATCCTCAAAGCTATCCAAATATCCTCTTGCAGATTCTACAAAAAGAGTGTTTCAAAACTGCTCTTTGAAAAGAAAGGTTCAACTCTGTCAGTAGAGGGCACACATCACAAACAAGTTTCTGAGAATGCTTCTGTCTAGTTTATATGGGAAGATATTTCCTTTTTCACCTTAGGCCTGAAAGCAATCCAAATGTTCACTTACAGACACTACAAAAAGAGAGTTTCAAACCTGCTCTGTGAAAGGGAGTGTTCAATTCTGTGACTTGAATGCAAACATCACAAAGTAGTTTCTGACAATGCTGCTGTCTGCTTTTTATACGTATTCCCGTTTCCAACGAAATCCTCCAAGCTGGCCTAATACCCACTTGCATATTCCACAAAAAGAGTGTTTCAAAACTGCTCTCTCAAAAGAAAGGTTCAACTCTGTTTGCTGAGTAGATACATCATGAAAAAAGTTCTGACATTGCTTCTATCTAGTTTTTATTGGAAGATATCTCCTTTTTCACCGTAGACCTGAAAGCGCTCCAAATGTCCACTTCCAGATAGTACAAAAAGAGTGTTTCAAACCTGCTCTATGAAAGGGAATGTTCAACACTGGGACTTCAATTGAAACATCCCAAAGCAGTTTCTGAGAATGCTTCTGTCTAGAGTTTACATGAAGACATTCCCGTTTCCAACGAAATCCTCAAAGCTATCCAAATATCCTCTTGCAGATTTTACAAAAAGTGTGTTTCAGAACTGCTCTATCAAAACAAAGGTTCAACACTGTCAGTTGAGGGCACACATCACAAATAAGTTTCTGAGAATGCTTCTGTCTAGTTTTCATGGGAAGATATTTCCTTTTTCACCATAGGCCTGAAAGCGATCCAAATGTCCACATCCAGATACTACAAAAAGAGTGTTTCAAACCTGCTCTATGAAAGGGAATGTTCAACTCTGTGACTTGAATGCAAACATCACAAAGAAGTTTCTGAGAATGCTGCTGTCTGCTTTTTGTATGTAATCCCGTTTCCAACGAAATCCTCCCAGCTAGCCAAATATCCACTTGCAGATTCCGCAAAAAGAGTGTTTCAAAACTGCTCCTTCAAAACGATGGTTTAGTTCTGTTAGTTGAGTACATACATCACAGATAAGTTTCTGAGAATGCTTCTGTCTAGTTTTTATGGGAGGATATTTCCTTTTTCAACACAAGCCTGAATGCGCTCCGAATGGACACTTCCAGATATGACAAAAGGCGTGTTTCAAACCTGCTCTCTCAAAGGGAATGTTCAACTCTGTGACTTCAATGCAAACATCACAAAGAAGTTTCTGAGAATGCTGCTGTCTGCTTTTTACATGTATTCCCGTTTCCAACGAAATCCTCAAAGCTGCCCTAATATCCACTTGCATATTCCACAAAAAGAGTGTTGCAAAACTGCTCTCTCAAAAGAAAGGTTCAACTCTGTTAGCTGAGTAGATCCATCACAGAAAAGTTTCTGACGTTGCTTCTATCTAGATTTTCTTGGAAGATATTTCCATTTTCACCGTCGTCCTGAAAGCGCTCCAAATGTCCACTTCCAGGGAATGCAGAAAGAGTGTTTCCAACCTGCTCTATAAAAGGGAATGTTCAACACTGGGACTTCAATCGAAACATCCCAACGAAGTTTCTGAGAATGCTTCTGTCTAGAGTTTATATGAAGCCATTCCCGTTTGCAATGAAATCCTCAAAGCTATCCAAATATCCTCTTGCAGATTTTACAAAAAGAGTGTTTCAAAACTGCTCTATCAAAAGAAAGGTTCAACTCTGTTAGTTGAGGGCACACATCACAAATAAATTTCTGAGAATGCTTCTGTCTAGTTTTTACGGGAAGATATTTCCTTTTTCACCATACGCCTGAAAGCGCTCCAAATGTCCTCATCCAGATACTACAAAAAGAGTGTTTCATACCTGCTCTATGAAAGGGAATGCTCAACTCTGTGACTTGAATGCAGACATCACAAGGAAGTTTCTGAGAATGCTGCTGTCTCCTTTTTATATGTAATCCCGTTTCCAACGAAATCCTCAAAGCTAGCCAAATATCCACTTGCAGATTCCACGAAAACAGTGTTTCAAAACTGCTCCTTCAAAACGATGGTTCAATTCTGTTAGTTGAGCAAACACATCACAAGTAAGTTTCTGAGAATGCTTCCGTCTAGTTTTTATGGGAAGATATTTCCTTTTTCAACATAGGCCTGAAAGCGCTCCAAATGTCCACTTCCAGATACTACAAAAAGAGTGTTTCAAATCTGCTCTATGAATGGGAATGTTCTACTCTGTGACTTGAATGCAACATCCCAAAGAAGTTTCTGAGAATGCTTCTGTCTAGAGTTTATCTGAAGACATACCCGTTTCCAACGAAATCCTCAAAGCTATCCAAATATCCTCTTGCAGATTCTACAAAAAGAGTGTTTCAAAGCTGCTCTTTGCAAAGAAAGGTTCAACTCTGTCAGTAGAGGGCACACATCACGAACAAGTTTCTGAGAATGCTTCTGTCTAGTTTTTATGGGAAGATATTTCCTTTTTCACCTTAGGCCTGAAAGCACGCCAAATGTTCACTTATAGACACTACAAAAAGAGTGTTTCAAACCTGCTCTGTGAAAGGGAGTGTTCAATTCTGTGACTTGAATGCAAACATCACAAAGTAGTTTCTGACAATGCTGCTGTCTGCTTTTTATACGTATTCCCGTTTCCAACGAAATCCTCCAAGCTGGCCTAATACCCACTTGCATATTCCACAAAAAGAGTGTTTCAAAACTGCTCTCTCAAAAGAAAGGTTCAACTCTGTTAGCTGAGTAGATACATCATGAAAAAAGTTCTGACATTGCTTCTATCTAGTTTTTATTGGAAGATATCTCCTTTTTCACCGTAGACCTGAAAGCGCTCCAAATGTCCACTTCCAGATAGTACAAAAAGAGTGTTTCAAACCTGCTCTATGAAAGGGAATGTTCAACACTGGGACTTCAATTGAAACATCCCAAAGCAGTTTCTGAGAATGCTTCTGTCTAGAGTTTACATGAAGACATTCCCGTTTCCAACGAAATCCTCAAAGCTATCCAAATATCCTCTTGCAGATTTTACAAAAAGTGTGTTTCAGAACTGCTCTATCAAAACAAAGGTTCAACACTGTCAGTTGAGGGCACACATCACAAATAAGATTCTGAGAATGCTTCTGTCTAGTTTTCATGGGAAGATATTTCCTTTTTCACCATAGGCCTGAAAGCGATCCAAATGTCCACATCCAGATACTACAAAAAGAGTGTTTCCAACCTGCTCTATGAAAGGGAATGCTCAACTCTGTGAATTGAATGCAGACATCACAAAGAAGTTTCTGAGAATGCTGCTGTCTCCTTTTTATATGTAATCCCGTTTCCAACGAAATCCTCAAAGCTAGCCAAATATCCACCTGCAGATTCCACGAAAACAGTGTTTCAAAACTGCTCCTTCAAAACGAAGGTTCAATCCTGTTAGTTGAGCAAACACATCACAAATAAGTTTCTGAGAATGCTTCCGTCTAGTTTTTATGGGAAGATATTTCCTTTTTCAACATAGGCCTGAAAGCGCTCCAAATGTCCACTTCCAGATACTACAAAAAGAGTGTTTCAAATCTGCTCTATGAATGGGAATGTTCTACTCTGTGACTTGCATGCAACATCCCAAAGAAGTTTCTGAGAATGCTTCTGTCTAGAGTTTATCTGAAGACATACCCGTTTCCAACGAAATCCTCCAAGCTATCCAAATATCCTCTTGCAGATTCTACAAAAAGTGTGTTTCAAAGCTGCTCTTTGCAAAGAAAGGTTCAACTCTGTCAGTAGAGGGCACACATCACGAACAAGTTTCTGAGAATGCTTCTGTCTAGTTTTTATGGGAAGATATTTCCTTTTTCACGTTAGGCCTGAAAGCACGCCAAATGTTCACTTATAGACACTACAAAAAGAGTGTTTCAAACCTGCTCTGTGAAAGGGAATGTTCAACACTGTGACTTCAATTGAAACATCCCAAAGAAGTTTCTGAGAATGCTTCTGTCTAGAGTTTATCTGAAGACATTCCCGTTTCCCAAGAAATCCTCAAAGCTATCCAAATATCCTCTTGCAGATTCTACAAAAAGAGTGTTTCAAAACTGCTCTTTGCAAAGAAAGGTTCAACTCTGTCAGTAGAGGGCACACATCACAAACAAGTTTCTGAGAATGCTTCTGTCTAGTTTTTATGGGAAGATATTTCCTTTTTCACCTTAGGCCTGAAAGCAATCCAAATGTTCACTTACAGACACTACAAAAAGAGTGTTTCAAACCTGCTCTGTGAAAGGGAGTGTTCAGTTCTGTGACTTGAATGCAAACATCACAAAGTAGTTTCTGACAATGCTGCTGTCTGCTTTTTATACGTATTCCCGTTTCCAACGAAATCCTCCAAGCTGGCCTAATACCCACTTTCATATTCCACAAAAAGAGTGTTTCAAAACTGCTCTCTCAAAAGAAAGGTTCAACTCTGTTTGCTGAGTAGATACATCATGAAAAAAGTTCTGACATTGCTTCTATCTAGTTTTTATTGGAAGATATCTCCTTTTTCACCGTAGACATGAAAGCGCTCCAAATGTCCACTTCCAGATAGTACAAAAAGAGTGTTTCAAACCTGCTCTATGAATGGGAATGTTCAACACTGGGACTTCAATTGAAACATCCCAAAGCAGTTTCTGAGAATGCTTCTGTGTAGAGTTTACATGAAGACATTCCCGTTTCCAACGAAATCCTCAAAGCTATCCAAATATCCTCTTGCAGATTTTACAAAAAGTGTGTTTCAGAACTGCTCTATCAAAACAAAGGTTCAACACTGTCAGTTGAGGGCACACATCACAAACAAGTTTCTGAGAATGCTTCTGTCTAGTTTTCATGGGAAGATATTTCCTTTTTCACCATAGGCCTGAAAGCGATCCAAATGTCCACATCCAGATACTACAAAAAGAGTGTTTCAAACCTACTCTATGAAAGGGAATGTTCAACTCTGTGACTTGAATGCAAACATCACAAAGAAGTTTCTGAGAATGCTGCTGTCTGCTTTTTGTATGTAATCCCGTTTCCAACGAAATCCTCCCAGCTAGCCAAATATCCACTTGCAGATTCCGCAAAAAGAGTGTTTCAAAACTGCTCCTTCAAAACGATGGTTTAGTTCGGTTAGTTGAGTACATACATCACAGATAAGTTTCTGAGAATGCTTCTGTCTAGTTTTTATGGGAGGATATTTTCTTTTTCAACACAAGCCTGAATGCGCTCCGAATGGACACTTCCAGATATGACAAAAGGCGTGTTTCAAACCTGCTCTCTCAAAGGGAATGTTCAACTCTGTGACTTCAATGCAAACATCACAAAGAAGTTTCTGAGAATGCTGCTGTCTGCTTTTTACATGTATTCCCGTTTCCAACGAAATCCTCAAAGCTGCCCTAATATCCACTTGCATATTCCACAAAAAGAGTGTTGCAAAACTGCTCTCTCAAAAGAAAGGTTCAACTCTGTTAGCTGAGTAGATCCATCACAGAAAAGTTTCTGACATTGCTTCTATCCAGATTTTATTGGAAGATATTTCCATTTTCACCGTCGTCCTGAAAGCGCTCCAATTGTCCACTTCCAGGGAATGCAGAAAGAGTGTTTCCAACCTGCTCTATAAAAGGGAATGTTCAACACTGGGACTTCAATCGAAACATCCCGACGAAGTTTCTGAGAATGCTTCTGTCTAGAGTTTATATGAAGCCATTCCCGTTTGCAACGAAATCCTCAAAGCTATCCAAATATCCTCTTGCAGATTTTACAAAAAGAGTGTTTCAAAACTGCTCTATCAAAAGAAAGGTTCAACTCTGTTAGTTGAGGGCACACATCACAAATAAATTTCTGAGAATGCTTCTGTCTAGTTTTTACGGGAAGATATTTCCTTTTTCACCATACGCCTGAAAGCGCTCCAAATGTCCTCATCCAGATACTACAAAAAGAGTGTTTCCAACCTGCTCTATGAAAGGGAATGCTCAACTCTGTGAATTGAATGCAGACATCACAAAGAAGTTTCTGAGAATGCTGCTGTCTCCTTTTTATATGTAATCCCGTTTCCAACGAAATCCTCAAAGCTAGCCAAATATCCACTTGCAGATTCCACGAAAACAGTGTTTCAAAACTGCTCCTTCAAAACGATGGTTCAATTCTGTTAGTTGAGCAAACACATCACAAGTAAGTTTCTGAGAATGCTTCCGTCTAGTTTTTATGGGAAGATATTTCCTTTTTCAACATAGGCCTGAAAGCGCTCCAAATGTCCACTTCCAGATACTACAAAAAGAGTGTTTCAAATCTGCTCTATGAATGGGAATGTTCTACTCTGTGACTTGAATGCAACATCCCAAAGAAGTTTCTGAGAATGCTTCTGTCTAGAGTTTATCTGAAGACATACCCGTTTCCAACGAAAACCTCCAAGCTATCCAAATATCCTCTTGCAGATTCTACAAAAAGAGTGTTTCAAAGCCGCTCTTTGCAAAGAAAGGTTCAACTCTGTCAGTAGAGGGGACACATCAAGAACAAGTTTCTGAGAATGCTTCTGTCTAGTTTTTATGGGAAGATATTTCCTTTTTCACGTTAGGCCTGAAAGCACGCCAAATGTTCACTTATAGACACTACAAAAAGAGTGTTTCAAACCTGCTCTGTGAAAGGGAATGTTCAACACTGTGACTTCAATTGAAACATCCCAAAGAAGTTTCTGAGAATGCTTCTGTCTAGAGTTTATCTGAAGACATTCCCGTTTCCCAAGAAATCCTCAAAGCTATCCAAATATCCTCTTGCAGATTCTACAAAAAGAGTGTTTCAAAGCTGCTCTTTGCAAAGAAAGGTTCAACTCTGTCAGTAGAGGGCACACATCACAAACAAGTTTCTGAGAATGCTTCTGTCTAGTTTTTATGGGAAGATATTTCCTTTTTCACCTTAGGCCTGAAAGCAATCCAAATGTTCACTTACAGACACTACAAAAAGAGTGTTTCAAACCTGCTCTGTGAAAGGGAGTGTTCAATTCTGTGACTTGAATGCAAACATCACAAAGTAGTTTCTGACAATGCTGCTGTCTGCTTTTTATACGTATTCCCGTTTCCAACGAAATCCTCCAAGCTGGCCTAATACCCACTTGCATATTCCACAAAAAGAGTGTTTCAAAACTGCTCTCTCAAAAGAAAGGTTCAACTCTGTTTGCTGAGTAGATACATCATGAAAAAAGTTCTGACATTGCTTCTATCTAGTTTTTATTGGAAGATATCTCCTTTTTCACCGTAGACCTGAAAGTGCTCCAAATGTCCACTTCCAGATAGTACAAAAAGAGTGTTTCAAACCTGCTCTATGAATGGGAATGTTCAACACTGGGACTTCAATTGAAACATCCCAAAGCAGTTTCTGAGAATGCTTCTGTCTAGAGTTTACATGAAGACATTCCCGTTTCCAACGAAATCCTCAAAGCTATCCAAATATCCTCTTGCAGATTTTACAAAAAGTGTGTTTCAGAACTGCTCTATCAAAACAAAGGTTCAACACTGTCAGTTGAGGGCACACATCACAAATAAGTTTCTGAGAATGCTTCTGTCTAGTTTTCATGGGAAGATATTTCCTTTTTCACCATAGGCCTGAAAGCGATCCAAATGTCCACATCCAGATACTACAAAAAGAGTGTTTCAAACCTGCTCTATGAAAGGGAATGTTCAACTCTGTGACTTGAATGCAAACATCACAAAGAAGTTTCTGAGAATGCTGCTGTCTGCTTTTTGTATGTAATCCCGTTTCCAACGAAATCCTCCCAGCTAGCCAAATATCCACTTGCAGATTCCGCAAAAAGAGTGTTTCAAAACTGCTCCTTCAAAACGATGGTTTAGTTCTGTTAGTTGAGTACATACATCACAGATAAGTTTCTGAGAATGCTTCTGTCTAGTTTTTATGGGAGGATATTTCCTTTTTCAACACAAGCCTGAATGCGCTCCGAATGGACACTTCCAGATATGACAAAAGGCGTGTTTCAAACCTGCTCTCTCAAAGGGAATGTTCAACTCTGTGACTTCAATGCAAACATCACAAAGAAGTTTCTGAGAATGCTGCTGTCTGCTTTTTACATGTATTCCCGTTTCCAACGAAATCCTCAAAGCTGCCCTAATATCCACTTGCATATTCCACAAAAAGAGTGTTGCAAAACTGCTCTCTCAAAAGAAAGGTTCAACTCTGTTAGCTGAGTAGATCCATCACATAAAAGTTTCTGACATTGCTTCTATCTAGATTTTCTTGGAAGATATTTCCATTTTCACCGTTGTCCTGAAAGCGCTCCAAATGTCCACTTCCAGGGAATGCAGAAAGAGTGTTTCCAACCTGCTCTATAAAAGGGAATGTTCAACACTGGGACTTCAATCGAAACATCCCAACGAAGTTTCTGAGAATGCTTCTGTCTAGAGTTTATATGAAGCCATTCCCGTTTGCAACGAAATCCTCAAAGCTATCCAAATATCCTCTTGCAGATTTTACAAAAAGAGTGTTTCAAAACTGCTCTATCAAAAGAAAGGTTCAACTCTGTTAGTTGAGGGCACACATCACAAATAAACTTCTGAGAATGCTTCTGTCTAGTTTTTACGGGAAGATATTTCCTTTTTCACCATAGGCCTGAAAGCGCTCCAAATGTCCTCATCCAGATACTACAAAAAGAGTGTTTCCAACCTGCTCTATGAAAGGGAATGCTCAACTCTGTGAATTGAATGCAGACATCACAAAGAAGTTTGCTGAGAATGCTGCTGTCTCCTTTGTATATGTAATCCCGTTTCCAACGAAATCCTCAAAGCTAGCCAAATATCCACTTGCAGATTCCACGAAAACAGTGTTTCAAAACTGCTCCTTCAAAACGATGGTTCAATCCTGTTAGTTGAGCAAACACATCACAAATAAGTTTCTGAGAATGCTTCCGTCTAGTTTTTATGGGAAGATATTTGCTTTTTCAACATAGGCCTGAAAGCGCTCCAAATGTCCACTTCCAGATACTACAAAAAGAGTGTTTCAAATCTGCTCTATGAATGGGAATGTTCTACTCTGTGACTTGAATGCAACATCCCAAAGAAGTTTCTGAGAATGCTTCTGTCTAGAGTTTATCTGAAGACATACCCGTTTCCAACGAAATCCTCCAAGCTATCCAAATATCCTCTTGCAGATTCTACAAAAAGAGTGTTTCAAAGCTGCTCTTTGCAAAGAAAGGTTCAACTCTCTCAGTAGAGGGGACACATCAAGAACAAGTTTCTGAGAATGCTTCTGTCTAGTTTTTATGGGAAGATATTTCCTTTTTCACCTTAGGCCTGAAAGCAATCCAAATGTTCACTTACAGACACTACAAAAAGAGTGTTTCAAACCTGCTCTGTGAAAAGGAGTGTTCAATTCTGTGACTTGAATGCAAACATCACAAAGTAGTTTCTGACAATGCTGCTGTCTGCTTTTTATACGTATTACCGTTTCCAACGAAATCCTCCAAGCTGGCCTAATACCCACTTGCATATTCCACAAAAATAGTGTTTCAAAACTGCTCCCTCAAAAGAAAGGTTCAACTCTGTTTGCTGAGTAGATACATCATGAAAAAAGTTCTGACATTGCTTCTATCTAGTTTTTATTGGAAGATATCTCCTTTTTCACCGTAGACCTGAAAGCGCTCCAAATGTCCACTTCCAGATAGTACAAAAAGAGTGTTTCAAACCTGCTCTATGAATGGGAATGTTCAACACTGGGACTTCAATTGAAACGTCCCAAAGCAGTTTCTGAGAATGCTTCTGTGTAGAGTTTACATGAAGACATTCCCGTTTCCAACGAAATCCTCAAAGCTATCCAAATATCCTCTTGCAGATTTTACAAAAAGTGTGTTTCAGAACTGCTCTATCAAAACAAAGGTTCAACACTGTCAGTTGAGGGCACACATCACAAATAAGTTTCTGAGAATGCTTCTGTCTAGTTTTCATGGGAAGATATTTCCTTTTTCACCATAGGCCTGAAAGCGATCCAAATGTCCACATCCAGATACTACAAAAAGAGTGTTTCAAACCTGCTCTATGAAAGGGAATGCTCAACTCTGTGAATTGAATGCAGACATCACAAAGAAGTTTCTCAGAATGCTGCTGTCTCCTTTTTATATGTAATCCCGTTTCCAACGAAATCCTCCCAGCTAGCCAAATATCCACTTGCAGATTCCACGAAAACAGTGTTTCAAAACTGCTCCTTCAAAACGATGGTTCAATCCTGTTAGTTGAGCAAACACATCACAAATAAGTTTCTGAGAATGCTTCCGTCTAGTTTTTATGGGAAGATATTTCCTTTTTCAACATAGGCCTGAAAGCGCTCCAAATGTCCACTTCCAGATACTACAAAAAGAGTGTTTCAAATCTGCTCTATGAATGGGAATGTTCTACTCTGTGACTTGCATGCAACATCCCAAAGAAATTTCTGAGAATGCTTCTGTCTAGAGTTTATCTGAAGACATACCCGTTTCCAACGAAATCCTCAAAGCTATCCAAATATCCTCTTGCAGATTCTACAAAAAGTGTGTTTCAAAGCTGCTCTTTGCAAAGAAAGGTTCAACTCTGTCAGTAGAGGGCACACATCACGAACAAGTTTCTGAGAATGCTTCTGTCTAGTTTTTATGGGAAGATATTTCCTTTTTCACGTTAGACCTGAAAGCACGCCAAATGTTCACTTATAGACACTACAAAAAGAGTGTTTCAAACCTGCTCTGTGAAAGGGAATGTTCAACACTGTGACTTCAATTGAAACATCCCAAAGAAGTTTCTGAGAATGCTTCTGTCTAGAGTTTATCTGAAGACATTCCCGTTTCCCAAGAAATCCTCAAAGCTATCCAAATATCCTCTTGCAGATTCTACAAAAGGAGTGTTTCAAAACTGCTCTTTGCAAAGAAAGGTTCAACTCTGTCAGTAGAGGGCACACATCACAAACAAGTTTCTGAGAGTGCTTCTGTCTAGTTTTTATGGGAAGATATTTCCTTTTTCACCTTAGGCCTGAAAGCAATCCAAATGTACACTTACAGACACTACAAAAAGAGTGTTTCAAACCTGCTCTGTGAAAGGGAGTGTTCAATTCTGTGACTTGAATGCAAACATCACAAAGTAGTTTCTGACAATGCTGCTGTCTGCTTTTTATACGTATTCCCGTTTCCAACGAAATCCTCCAAGCTGGCCTAATACCCACTTGCATATTCCACAAAAAGAGTGTTTCAAAACTGCTCTCTCAAAAGAAAGGTTCAACTCTGTTTGCTGAGTAGATACATCATGAAAAAAGTTCTGACATTGCTTCTATCTAGTTTTTATTGGAAGATATCTCCTTTTTCACCGTAGACCTGAAAGCGCTCCAAATGTCCACTTCCAGATAGTACAAAAAGAGTGTTTCAAACGTGCTCTATGAAAGGGAATGTTCAACACTGGGACTTCAATTGAAACATCCCAAAGCAGTTTCTGAGAATGCTTCTGTCTAGAGTTTACATGATGACATTCCCGTTTCCAACGAAATCCTCAAAGCTATCCAAATATCCTCTTGCAGATTTTACAAAAAGTGTGTTTCAGAACTGCTCTATCAAAACAAAGGTTCAACACTGTCAGTTGAGGGCACACATCACAAATAAGTTTCTGAGAATGCTTCTGTCTAGTTTTCATGGGAAGATATTTCCTTTTTCACCATAGGCCTGAAAGCGATCCAAATGTCCACATCCAGATACTACAAAAAGAGTGTTTCAAACCTGCTCTATGAAAGGGAATGTTCAACTCTGTGACTTGAATGCAAACATCACAAAGAAGTTTCTGAGAATGCTGCTGTCTGCTTTTTGTATGTAATCCCGTTTCCAACGAAATCCTCCCAGCTAGCCAAATATCCACTTGCAGATTCCGCAAAAAGAGTGTTTCAAAACTGCTCCTTCAAAACGATGGTTTAGTTCTGTTTGTTGAGTACATACATCACAGATAAGTTTCTGAGAATGCTTCTGTCTAGTTTTTATGGGAGGATATTTCCTTTTTCAACACAAGCCTGAATGCGCTCCGAATGGACACTTCCAGATATGACAAAAGGCGTGTTTCAAACCTGCTCTCTCAAAGGGAATGTTCAACTCTGTGACTTCAATGCAAACATCACAAAGAAGTTTCTGAGAATGCTGCTGTCTGCTTTTTACATGTATTCCCGTTTCCAACGAAATCCTCAAAGCTGCCCTAATATCCACTTGCATATTCCACAAAAAGAGTGTTGCAAAACTGCTCTCTCAAAAGAAAGGTTCAACTCTGTTAGCTGAGTAGATCCATCACATAAAAGTTTCTGACGTTGCTTCTATCTAGATTTTGCTTGGAAGATATTTCCATTTTCACCGTCGTCCTGAAAGCGCTCCAAATGTCCACTTCCAGGGAATGCAGAAAGAGTGTTTCCAACCTGCTCTATAAAAGGGAATGTTCAACACTGGGACTTCAATCGAAACATCCCAACGAAGTTTCTGAGAATGCTTCTGTCTAGAGTTTATATGAAGCCATTCCCGTTTGCAACGAAATCCTCAAAGCTATCCAAATATCCTCTTGCAGATTTTACAAAAAGAGTGTTTCAAAACTGCTCTATCAAAAGAAAGGTTCAACTCTGTTAGTTGAGGGCACACATCACAAATAAATTTCTGAGAATGCTTCTGTCTAGTTTTTACGGGAAGATATTTCCTTTTTCACCATAGGCCTGAAAGCGCTCCAAATGTCCTCATCCAGATACTACAAAAAGAGTGTTTCCAACCTGCTCTATGAAAGGGAATGCTCAACTCTGTGACTTGAATGCAGACATCACAAAGAAGTTTCTGAGAATGCTGCTGTCTCCTTTTTATATGTAATCCCGTTTCCAACGAAATCCTCAAAGCTAGCCAAATATCCACTTGCAGATTCCACGAAAACAGTGTTTCAAAACTGCTCCTTTAAAACGATGGTTCAATTCTGTTAGTTGAGCAAACACATCACAAGTAAGTTTCTGAGAATGCTTCCGTCTAGTTTTTATGGGAAGATATTTCCTTTTTCAACATAGGCCTGAAAGCGCTCCAAATGTCCACTTCCAGATACTACAAAAAGAGTGTTTCAAATCTGCTCTATGAATGGGAATGTTCTACTCTGTGACTTGAATGCAACATCCCAAAGAAGTTTCTGAGAATGCTTCTGTCTAGAGTTTATCTGAAGACATACCCGTTTCCAACGAAATCCTCAAAGCTATCCAAATATCCTCTTGCAGATTCTACAAAAAGAGTGTTTCAAAGCTGCTCTTTGCAAAGAAAGGTTCAACTCTGTCAGTAGAGGGCACACATCATGAACAAGTTTCTGAGAATGCTTCTGTCTAGTTTTTATGGGAAGATATTTCCTTTTTCACGTTAGGCCTGAAAGCACGCCAAATGTTCACTTATAGACACTACAAAAAGAGTGTTTCAAACCTGCTCTGTGAAAGGGAATGTTCAACACTGTGACTTCAATTGAAACATCCCAAAGAAGTTTCTGAGAATGCTTCTGTCTAGAGTTTATCTGAAGACATTCCCGTTTCCCAAGAAATCTTCAAAGCTATCCAAATATCCTCTTGCAGATTCTACAAAAAGAGTGTTTCAAAACTGCTCTTTGCAAAGAAAGGTTCAACTCTGTCAGTAGAGGGCACACATCACAAACAAGTTTCTGAGAATGCTTCTGTCTAGTTTTTATGGGAAGATATTTCCTTTTTCACCTTAGGCCTGAAAGCAATCCAAATGTTCACTTACAGACACTACAAAAAGAGTGTTTCAAACCTGCTCTGTGAAAGGGAGTGTTCAATTCTGTGACTTGAATGCAAACATCACAAAGTAGTTTCTGACAATGCTGCTGTCTGCTTTTTATACGTATTCCCGTTTCCAACGAAATCCTCCAAGCTGGCCTAATACCCACTTGCATATTCCACAAAAAGAGTGTTTCAAAACTGCTCTCTCAAAAGAAAGGTTCAACTCTGTTTGCTGAGTAGATACATCATGAAAAAAGTTCTGACATTGCTTCTATCTAGTTTTTATTGGAAGATATCTCCTTTTTCACCGTAGACCTGAAAGCGCTCCAAATGTCCACTTCCAGATAGTACAAAAAGAGTGTTTCAAACCTGCTCTATGAATGGGAATGTTCAACACTGGGACTTCAATTGAAACATCCCAAAGCAGTTTCTGAGAATGCTTCTGTCTAGAGTTTACATGAAGACATTCCCGTTTCCAACGAAATCCTCAAAGCTATCCAAATATCCTCTTGCAGATTTTACAAAAAGTGTGTTTCAGAACTGCTCTATCAAAACAAAGGTTCAACACTGTCAGTTGAGGGCACACATCACAAATAAGTTTCTGAGAATGCTTCTGTCTAGTTTTCATGGGAAGATATTTCCTTTTTCACCATAGGCCTGAAAGCCATCCAAATGTCCACATCCAGATACTACAAAAAGAGTGTTTCAAACCTGCTCTATGAAAGGGAATGTTCAACTCTGTGACTTGAATGCAAACATCACAAAGAAGTTTCTGAGAATGCTGCTGTCTGCTTTTTGTATGTAATCCCGTTTCCAACGAAATCCTCCCAGCTAGCCAAATATCCACTTGCAGATTCCGCAAAAAGAGTGTTTCAAAACTGCTCCTTCAAAACGATGGTTTAGTTCTGTTAGTTGAGTACATACATCACAGATAAGTTTCTGAGAATGCTTCTGTCTAGTTTTTCTGGGAGGATATTTCCTTTTTCAACACAAGCCTGAATGCGCTCCGAATGGACACTTCCAGATATGACAAAAGGCGTGTTTCAAACCTGCTCTCTCAAAGGGAATGTTCAACTCTGTGACTTCAATGCAAACATCACAAAGAAGTTTCTGAGAATGCTGCTGTCTGCTTTTTACATGTATTCCCGTTTCCAACGAAATCCTCAAAGCTGCCCTAATATCCACTTGCATATTCCACAAAAAGAGTGTTGCAAAACTGCTCTCTCAAAAGAAAGGTTCAACTCTGTTAGCTGAGTAGATCCATCACAGAAAAGTTTCTGACGTTGCTTCTATCTAGATTTTCTTGGAAGATATTTCCATTTTCACCGTCGTCCTGAAAGCGCTCCAAATGTCCACTTCCAGGGAATGCAGAAAGAGTGTTTCCAACCTGCTCTATAAAAGGGAATGTTCAACACTGGGACTTCAATCGAAACATCCCAACGAAGTTTCTGAGAATGCTTCTGTCTAGAGTTTATATGAAGCCATTCCCGTTTGCAACGAAATCCTCAAAGCTATCCAAATATCCTCTTGCAGATTTTACAAAAAGAGTGTTTCAAAACTGCTCTATCAAAAGAAAGGTTCAACTCGGTTAGTTGAGGGCACACATCACAAATAAATTTCTGAGAATGCTTCTGTCTAGTTTTTACGGGAAGATATTTCCTTTTTCACCATACGCCTGAAAGCGCTCCAAATGTCCTCATCCAGATACTACAAAAAGAGTGTTTCCAACCTGCTCTATGAAAGGGAATGCTCAACTCTGTGACTTGAATGCAGACATCACAAAGAAGTTTCTGAGAATGCTCCTGTCTCCTTTTTATATGTAATCCCGTTTCCAACGAAATCCTCAAAGCTAGCAAAATATCCACTTGCAGATTCCACGAAAACAGTGTTTCAAAACTGCTCCTTCAAAACGATGGTTCAATTCTGTTAGTTGAGAAAACACATCACAAGTAAGTTTCTGAGAATGCTTCCGTCTAGTTTTTATGGGAAGATATTTCCTTTTTCAACATAGGCCTGAAAGCGCTCCAAATGTCCACTTCCAGATACTACAAAAAGAGTGTTTCAAATCTGCTCTATGAATGGGAATGTTCTACTCTGTGACTTGAATGCAACATCCCAAAGAAGTTTCTGAGAATGCTTCTGTCTAGAGTTTATCTGAAGACATACCCGTTTCCAACGAAATCCTCCAAGCTATCCAAATATCCTCTTGGAGATTCTACAAAAAGAGTGTTTCAAAGCTGCTCTTTGCAAAGAAAGGTTCAACTCTGTCAGTAGAGGGCACACATCACGAACAAGTTTCTGAGAATGCTTCTGTCTAGTTTTTATGGGAAGATATTTCCTTTTTCACGTTAGGCCTGAAAGCACGCCAAATGTTCACTTATAGACACTACAAAAAGAGTGTTTCAAACCTGCTCTGTGAAAGGGAATGTTCAACACTGTGACTTCAATTGAAACATCCCAAAGAAGTTTCTGAGAATGCTTCTGTCTAGAGTTTATCTGAAGACATTCCCGTTTCCCAAGAAATCCTCAAAGCTATCCAAATATCCTCTTGCAGATTCTACAAAAAGAGTGTTTCAAAACTGCTCTTTGCAAAGAAAGTTTCAACTCTGTCAGTAGAGGGCACACATCACAAACAAGTTTGCTGAGAATGCTTCTGTCTAGTTTTTATGGGAAGATATTTCCTTTTTCACCTTAGGCCTGAAGCAATCCAAATGTTCACTTACAGACACTACAAAAAGAGTGTTTCAAACCTGCTCTGTGAAAGGGAGTGTTCAATTCTGTGACTTGAATGCAAACATCACAAAGTAGTTTCTGACAATGCTGCTGTCTGCTTTTTATACGTATTCCCGTTTCCAACGAAATCCTCCAAGCTGGCCTAATACCCACTTGCATATTCCACAAAAAGAGTGTTTCAAAACTGCTCTCTCAAAAGAAAGGTTCAACTCTGTTTGCTGAGTAGATACATCATGAAAAAAGTTCTGACATTGCTTCTATCTAGTTTTTATTGGAAGATATCTCCTTTTTCACCGTAGACCTGAAAGCGCTCCAAATGTCCACTTCCAGATAGTACAAAAAGAGTGTTTCAAACCTGCTCTATGAATGGGAATGTTCAACACTGGGACTTCAATTGAAACATCCCAAAGCAGTTTCTGAGAATGCTCTGTCTAGAGTTTACATGAAGACATTCCCGTTTCCAACGAAATCCTCAAAGCTATCCAAATATCCTCTTGCAGATTTTACAAAAAGTGTGTTTCAGAACTGCTCTATCAAAACAAAGGTTCAACACTGTCAGTTGAGGGCACACATCACAAATAAGTTTCTGAGAATGCTATCTGTCTAGTTTTCATGGGGAAGATATTTCCTTTTTCACCATAGGCCTGAAAGCGATCCAAATGTCCACATCCAGATACTACAAAAAGAGTGTTTCAAACCTGCTCTATGAAAGGGAATGTTCAACTCTGTGACTTGAATGCAAACATCACAAAGAAGTTTCTGAGAATGCTGCTGTCTGCTTTTTGTATGTAATCCCGTTTCCAACGAAATCCTCCCAGCTAGCCAAATATCCACTTGCAGATTCCGCAAAAAGAGTGTTTCAAAACTGCTCCTTCAAAACGATGGTTTAGTTCTGTTAGTTGAGTACATACATCACAGATAAGTTTCTGAGAATGCTTCTGTCTAGTTTTTATGGGAGGATATTTCCTTTTTCAACACAAGCCTGAATGCGCTCCGAATGGACACTTCCAGATATGACAAAAGGCGTGTTTCAAACCTGCTCTCTCAAAGGGAATGTTCAACTCTGTGACTTCAATGCAAACATCACAAAGAAGTTTCTGAGAATGCTGCTGTCTGCTTTTTACATGTATTCCCGTTTCCAACGAAATCCTCAAAGCTGCCCTAATATCCACTTGCATATTCCACAAAAAGAGTGTTGCAAAACTGCTCTCTCAAAAGAAAGGTTCAACTCTGTTAGCTGAGTAGATCCATCACATAAAAGTTTCTGACATTGCTTCTATCTAGATTTTCTTGGAAGATATTTCCATTTTCACCGTCGTCCAGAAAGCGCTCCAAATGTCCACGTCCAGGGAATGCAGAAAGAGTGTTTCCAACCTGCTCTATAAAAGGGAATGTTCAACACTGGGACTTCAATCGAAACATCCCAACGAAGTTTCTGAGAATGCTTCTGTCTAGAGTTTATATGAAGCCATTCCGTTTGCAACGAAATCCTCAAAGCTATCCAAATATCCTCTTGCAGATTTTACAAAAAGAGTGTTTCAAAACTGCTCTATCAAAAGAAAGGTTCAACTCTGTTAGTTGAGGGCACACATCACAAATAAATTTCTGAGAATGCTTCTGTCTAGTTTTTACGGGAAGATATTTCCTTTTTCACCATACGCCTGAAAGCGCTCCAAATGTCCTCATCCAGATACTACAAAAAGAGTGTTTCCAACCTGCTCTATGAAAGGGAATGCTCAACTCTGTGACTTGAATGCAGACATCACAAAGAAGTTTCTGAGAATGCTGCTGTCTCCTTTTTATATGTAATCCCGTTTCCAACGAAATCCTCAAAGCTAGCCAAATATCCACTTGCAGATTCCACGAAAACAGTGTTTCAAAACTGCTCCTTCAAAACGATGGTTCAATTCTGTTAGTTGAGCAAACACATCACAAGTAAGTTTCTGAGAATGCTTCCGTCTAGTTTTTATGGGAAGATATTTCCTTTTTCAACATAGGCCTGAAAGCGCTCCAAATGTCCACTTCCAGATACTACAAAAAGAGTGTTTCAAATCTGCTCTATGAATGGGAATGTTCTACTCTGTGACTTGAATGCAACATCCCAAAGAAGTTTCTGAGAATGCTTCTGTCTAGAGTTTATCTGAAGACATACCCGTTTCCAACGAAATCCTCCAAGCTATCCAAATATCCTCTTGCAGATTCTACAAAAAGAGTGTTTCAAAGCTGCTCTTTGCAAAGAAAGGTTCAACTCTGTCAGTAGAGGGCACACATCATGAACAAGTTTCTGAGAATGCTTCTGTCTAGTTTTTATGGGAAGATATTTCCTTTTTCACGTTAGGCCTGAAAGCACGCGAAATGTTCACTTATACACACTACAAAAAGAGTGTTTCAAACCTGCTCTGTGAAAGGGAATGTTCAACACTGTGACTTCAATTGAAACATCCCAAAGAAGTTTCTGAGAATGCTTCTGTCTAGAGTTTATCTGAAGACATTCCCGTTTCCCAAGAAATCCTCAAAGCTATCCAAATATCCTCTTGCAGATTCTACAAAAAGAGTGTTTCAAAACTGCTCTTTGCAAAGAAAGTTTCAACTCTGTCAGTAGAGGGCACACATCACAAACAAGTTCTGAGAATGCTTCTGTCTAGTTTTTATGGGAAGATATTTCCTTTTTCACCTTAGGCCTGAAAGCAATCCAAATGTTCACTTACAGACACTACAAAAAGAGTGTTTCAAACCTGCTCTGTGAAAGGGAGTGTTCAATTCTGTGACTTGAATGCCAACATCACAAAGTAGTTTCTGACAATGCTGCTGTCTGCTTTTTATACGTATTCCCGTTTCCAACGAAATCCTCCAAGCTGGCCTAATACCCACTTGCATATTCCACAAAAAGAGTGTTTCAAAACTGCTCTCTCAAAAGAAAGGTTCAACTCTGTTTGCTGAGTAGATACATCATGAAAAAAGTTCTGACATTGCTTCTATCTAGTTTTTATTGGAAGATATCTCCTTTTTCACCGTAGACCTGAAAGCGCTCCAAATGTCCACTTCCAGATAGTACAAAAAGAGTGTTTCAAACCTGCTCTATGAAAGGGAATGTTCAACACTGGGACTTCAATTGAAACATCCCAAAGCAGTTTCTGAGAATGCTTCTGTCTAGAGTTTACATGAAGACATTCCCGTTTCCAACGAAATCCTCAAAGCTATCCAAATATCCTCTTGCAGATTTTACAAAAAGTGTGTTTCAGAACTGCTCTATCAAAACAAAGGTTCAACACTGTCAGTTGAGGGCACACATCACAAATAAGTTTCTGAGAATGCTTCTGTCTAGTTTTCATGGGAAGATATTTCCTTTTTCACCATAGGCCTGAAAGCGATCCAAATGTCCACATCCAGATACTACAAAAAGAGTGTTTCAAACCTGCTCTATGAAAGGGAATGTTCAACTCTGTGACTTGAATGCAAACATCACAAAGAAGTTTCTGAGAATGCTGCTGTCTGCTTTTTGTATGTAATCCCGTTTCCAACGAAATCCTCCCAGCTAGCCAAATATCCACTTGCAGATTCCGCAAAAAGAGTGTTTCAAAACTGCTCCTTCAAAACGATGGTTTAGTTCTGTTAGTTGAGTACATACATCAGAGATAAGTTTCTGAGAATGCTTCTGTCTAGTTTTTATGGGAGGATATTTCCTTTTTCAACACAAGCCTGAATGCGCTCCGAATGGACACTTCCAGATATGACAAAAGGCGTGTTTCAAACCTGCTCTCTCAAAGGGAATGTTCAACTCTGTGACTTCAATGCAAACATCACAAAGAAGTTTCTGAGAATGCTGCTGTCTGCTTTTTACATGTATTCCCGTTTCCAACGAAATCCTCAAAGCTGCCCTAATATCCACTTGCATATTCCACAAAAAGAGTGTTGCAAAACTGCTCTCTCAAAAGAAAGGTTCAACTCTGGTAGCTAAGTAGATCCATCACAGAAAAGTTTCTGACGTTGCTTCTATCTAGATTTTCTTGGAAGATATTTCCATTTTCACCGTCGTCCTGAAAGCGCTCCAAATGTCCACTTCCAGGGAATGCAGAAAGAGTGTTTCCAACCTGCTCTATAAAAGGGAATGTTCAACACTGGGACTTCAATCGAAACATCCCAACGAAGTTTCTGAGAATGCTTCTGTCTAGAGTTTATATGAAGCCATTCCCGTTTGCAACGAAATCCTCAAAGCTATCCAAATATCCTCTTGCAGATTTTACAAAAAGAGTGTTTCAAAACTGCTCTATCAAAAGAAAGGTTCAAGTCTGTTAGTTGAGGGCACACATCACAAATAAACTTCTGAGAATGCTTCTGTCTAGTTTTTACGGGAAGATATTTCCTTTTTCACCATACGCCTGAAAGCGCTCCAAATGTCCTCATCCAGATACTACAAAAAGAGTGTTTCCAACCTGCTCTATGAAAGGGAATGCTCAACTCTGTGAATTGAATGCAGACATCACAAAGAAGTTTCTGAGAATGCTGCTGTCTCCTTTGTATATGTAATCCCGTTTCCAACGAAATCCTCAAAGCTAGCCAAATATCCACTTGCAGATTCCACGAAAACAGTGTTTCAAAACTGCTCCTTCAAAACGATGGTTCAATCCTGTTAGTTGAGCAAACACATCACAAATAAGTTTCTGAGAATGCTTCCGTCTAGTTTTTATGGGAAGATATTTCCTTTTTCAACATAGGCCTGAAAGCGCTCCAAATGTCCACTTCCAGATACTACAAAAAGAGTGTTTCAAATCTGCTCTATGAATGGGAATGTTCTACTCTGTGACTTGAATGCAACATCCCAAAGAAGTTTCTGAGAATGCTTCTGTCTAGAGTTTATCTGAAGACATACCCGTTTCCAACGAAATCCTCAAAGCTATCCAAATATCCTCTTGCAGATTCTACAAAAAGAGTGTTTCAAAGCTGCTCTTTGCAAAGAAAGGTTCAACTCTGTCAGTAGAGGGCACACATCACGAACAAGTTTCTGAGAATGCTTCTGTCTAGTTTTTATGGGAAGATATTTCCTTTTTCACCTTAGGCCTGAAAGCACGCCAAATGTTCACTTATAGACACTACAAAAAGAGTGTTTCAAACCTGCTCTGTGAAAGGGAGTGTTCAATTCTGTGACTTGAATGCAAACATCACAAAGTAGTTTCTGACAATGCTGCTGTCTGCTTTTTATACGTATTCCCGTTTCCAACGAAATCCTCCAAGCTGGCCTAATACCCACTTGCATATTCCACAAAAAGAGTGTTTCAAAACTGCTCTCTCAAAAGAAAGGTTCAACTCTGTTTGCTGAGTAGATACATCATGAAAAAAGTTCTGACATTGCTTCTATCTAGTTTTTATTGGAAGATATCTCCTTTTTCATCGTAGACCTGAAAGCGCTCCAAATGTCCACTTCCAGATAGTACAAAAAGAGTGTTTCAAACCTGCTCTATGAATGGGAATGTTCAACACTGGGACTTCAATTGAAACATCCCAAAGCAGTTTCTGAGAATGCTTCTGTCTAGAGTTTACATGAAGACATTCCCGTTTCCAACGAAATCCTCAAAGCTATCCAAATATCCTCTTGCAGATTTTACAAAAAGTGTGTTTCAGAACTGCTCTATCAAAACAAAGGTTCAACACTGTCAGTTGAGGGCACACATCACAAATAAGTTTCTGAGAATGCTTCTGTCTAGTTTTCATGGGAAGATATTTCCTTTTTCACCATAGGCCTGAAAGCGATCCAAATGTCCACATCCAGATACTACAAAAAGAGTGTTTCAAACCTGCTCTATGAAAGGGAATGCTCAACTCTGTGAATTGAATGCAAACATCACAAAGAAGTTTCTGAGAATGCTGCTGTCTCCTTTTTATATGTAATCCCGTTTCCAACGAAATCCTCAAAGCTAGCCAAATATCCACTTGCAGATTCCACGAAAACAGTGTTTCAAAACTGCTCCTTCAAAACGATGGTTCAATCCTGTTAGTTGAGCAAACACATCACAAATAAGTTTCTGAGAATGCTTCCGTCTAGTTTTTATGGGAAGATATTTCCTTTTTCAACATAGGCCTGAAAGCGCTCCAAATGTCCACTTCCAGATACTACAAAAAGAGTGTTTCAAATCTGCTCTATGAATGGGAATGTTCTACTCTGTGACTTGAATGCAACATCCCAAAGAAGTTTCTGAGAATGCTTCTGTCTAGAGTTTATCTGAAGACATACCCGTTTCCAACGAAATCCTCAAAGCTATCCACATATCCTCTTGCAGATTCTACAAAAAGAGTGTTTCAAAGCTGCTCTTTGCAAAGAAAGGTTCAACTCTGTCAGTAGAGGGCACACATCACAAACAAGTTTCTGAGAATGCTTCTGTCTGGTTTTTATGGGAAGATATTTCCTTTTTCACG
Source organism: Homo sapiens (assembly GCF_000001405.40). Taxonomy (NCBI): domain Eukaryota; kingdom Metazoa; phylum Chordata; class Mammalia; order Primates; family Hominidae; genus Homo; species Homo sapiens. The sequence continues at coordinate 26,783,017 of NC_000020.11, read as the reverse complement.
TTACGCCTGAAAGCACGCCAAATGTTCACTTATAGACACTACAAAAAGAGTGTTTCAAACCTGCTCTGTGAAAGGGAATGTTCAACACTGTGACTTCAATTGAAACATCCCAAAGAAGTTTCTGAGAATGCTTCTGTCTAGAGTTTATCTGAAGACATTCCCGTTTCCCAAGAAATCCTCAAAGCTATCCAAATATCCTCTTGCAGATTCTACAAAAAGAGTGTTTCAAAACTGCTCTTTGCAAAGAAAGGTTCAACTCTGTCAGTAGAGGGCACACATCACAAACAAGTTTCTGAGAATGCTTCTGTCTAGTTTTTATGGGAAGATATTTCCTTTTTCACCTTAGGCCTGAAAGCAATCCAAATGTTCACTTACAGACACTACAAAAAGAGTGTTTCAAACCTGCTCTGTGAAAGGGAGTGTTCAGTTCTGTGACTTGAATGCAAACATCACAAAGTAGTTTCTGACAATGCTGCTGTCTGCTTTTTATACGTATTCCCGTTTCCAACGAAATCCTCCAAGCTGGCCTAATACCCACTTGCATATTCCACAAAAAGAGTGTTTCAAAACTGCTCTCTCAAAAGAAAGGTTCAACTCTGTTAGCTGAGTAGATACATCATGAAAAAAGTTCTGACATTGCTTCTATCTAGTTTTTATTGGAAGATATCTCCTTTTTCACCGTAGACCTGAAAGCGCTCCAAATGTCCACTTCCAGATATTACAAAAAGAGTGTTTCAAACCTGCTCTATGAATGGGAATGTTCAACACTGGGACTTCAATTGAAACATCCCAAAGCAGTTTCTGAGAATGCTTCTGTGTAGAGTTTACATGAAGACATTCCCGTTTCCAACGAAATCCTCAAAGCTATCCAAATATCCTCTTGCAGATTTTACAAAAAGTGTGTTTCAGAACTGCTCTATCAAAACAAAGGTTCAACACTGTCAGTTGAGGGCACACATCACAAATAAGTTTCTGAGAATGCTTCTGTCTAGTTTTCATGGGAAGATATTTCCTTTTTCACCATAGGCCTGAAAGCGATCCAAATGTCCACATCCAGATACTACAAAAAGAGTGTTTCAAACCTGCTCTATGAAAGGGAATGTTCAACTCTGTGACTTGAATGCAAACATCACAAAGAAGTTTCTGAGAATGCTGCTGTCTGCTTTTTGTATGTAATCCCGTTTCCAACGAAATCCTCCCAGCTAGCCAAATATCCACTTGCAGATTCCGCAAAAAGAGTGTTTCAAAACTGCTCCTTCAAAACGATGGTTTAGTTCTGTTAGTTGAGTACATACATCACAGATAAGTTTCTGAGAATGCTTCTGTCTAGTTTTTATGGGAGGATATTTCCTTTTTCAACACAAGCCTGAATGCGCTCCGAATGGACACTTCCAGATATGACAAAAGGCGTGTTTCAAACCTGCTCTCTCAAAGGGAATGTTCAACTCTGTGACTTCAATGCAAACATCACAAAGAAGTTTCTGAGAATGCTGCTGTCTGCTTTTTACATGTATTCCCGTTTCCAACGAAATCCTCAAAGCTGCCCAAATATCCACTTGCATATTCCACAAAAAGAGTGTTGCAAAACTGCTCTCTCAAAAGAAAGGTTCAACTCTGTTAGCTGAGTAGATCCATCACATAAAAGTTTCTGACATTGCTTCTATCTAGATTTTCTTGGAAGATATTTCCATTTTCACCGTCGTCCTGAAAGCGCTCCAAATGTCCACTTCCAGGGAATGCAGAAAGAGTGTTTCCAACCTGCTCTATAAAAGGGAATGTTCAACACTGGGACTTCAATCGAAACATCCCAACGAAGTTTCTGAGAATGCTTCTGTCTAGAGTTTATATGAAGCCATTCCCGTTTGCAACGAAATCCTCAAAGGTATCCAAATATCCTCTTGCAGATTTTACAAAAAGAGTGTTTCAAAACTGCTCTATCAAAAGAAAGGATCAACTCTGTTAGTTGAGGGCACACATCACAAATAAATTTCTGAGAATGCTTCTGTCTGGTTTTTACGGGAAGATATTTCCTTTTTCACCATACGCCTGAAAGCGCTCCAAATGTCCTCATCCAGATACTACAAAAAGAGTGTTTCCAACCTGCTCTATGAAAGGGAATGCTCAACTCTGTGACTTGAATGCAGGCATCACAAAGAAGTTTCTGAGAATGCTGCTGTCTCCTTTTTATATGTAATCCCGTTTCCAACGAAATCCTCAAAGCTAGCCAAATATCCACTTGCAGATTCCACGAAAACAGTGTTTCAAAACTGCTCCTTCAAAACGATGGTTCAATTCTGTTAGTTGAGCAAACACATCACAAGTAAGTTTCTGAGAATGCTTCCGTCTAGTTTTTATGGGAAGATATTTCCTTTTTCAACATAGGCCTGAAAGCGCTCCAAATGTCCACTTCCAGATACTACAAAAAGAGTGTTTCAAATCTGCTCTATGAATGGGAATGTTCTACTCTGTGACTTGAATGCAACATCCCAAAGAAGTTTCTGAGAATGCTTCTGTCTAGAGTTTATCTGAAGACATACCCGTTTCCAACGAAATCCTCAAAGCTATCCAAATATCCTCTTGCAGATTCTACAAAAAGAGTGTTTCAAAGCTGCTCTTTGCAAAGAAAGGTTCAACACTGTCAGTAGAGGGCACACATCATGAACAAGTTTCTGAGAATGCTTCTGTCTAGTTTTTATGGGAAGATATTTAATTTTTCACGTTAGGCCTGAAAGCACGCCAAATGTTCACTTATAGACACTACAAAAAGAGTGTTTCAAACCTGCTCTGTGAAAGGGAATGTTCAACACTGTGACTTCAATTGAAACATCCCAAAGAAGTTTCTGAGAATGCTTCTGTCTAGAGTTTATCTGAAGACATTCCCGTTTCCCAAGAAATCTTCAAAGCTATCCAAATATCCTCTTGCAGATTCTACAAAAAGAGTGTTTCAAAACTGCTCTTTGCAAAGAAAGGTTCAACTCTGTCAGTAGAGGGCACACATCACAAACAAGTTTCTGAGAATGCTTCTGTCTAGTTTTTATGGGAAGATATTTCCTTTTTCACCTTAGGCCTGAAAGCAATCCATATGTTCACTTACAGACACTACAAAAAGAGTGTTTCAAACCTGCTCTGTGAAAGGGAGTGTTCAATTCTGTGACTTGAATGCAAACATCACAAAGTAGTTTCTGACAATGCTGCTGTCTGCTTTTTATACGTATTCCCGTTTCCAACGAAATCCTCCAAGCTGGCCTAATACCCACTTGCATATTCCACAAAAAGAGTGTTTCAAAACTGCTCTCTCAAAAGAAAGGTTCAACTCTGTGTGCTGAGTAGATACATCATGAAAAAAGTTCTGACATTGCTTCTATCTAGTTTTTATTGGAAGATATCTCCTTTTTCACCGTAGACCTGAAAGCGCTCCAAATGTCCACTTCCAGATAGTACAAAAAGAGTGTTTCAAACCTGCTCTATGAATGGGAATGTTCAACACTGGGACTTCAATTGAAACATCCCAAAGCAGTTTCTGAGAATGCTTCTGTCTAGAGTTTACATGAAGACATTCCCGTTTCCAACGAAATCCTCAAAGCTATCCAAATATCCTCTTGCAGATTTTACAAAAAGTGTGTTTCAGAACTGCTCTATCAAAACAAAGGTTCAACACTGTCAGTTGAGGGCACACATCACAAATAAGTTTCTGAGAATGCTTCTGTCTAGTTTTCATGGGAAGATATTTCCTTTTTCACCATAGGCCTGAAAGCGATCCAAATGTCCACATCCAGATACTACAAAAAGAGTGTTTCAAACCTGCTCTATGAAAGGGAATGTTCAACTCTGTGACTTGAATGCAAACATCACAAAGAAGTTTCTGAGAATGCTGCTCTCTGCTTTTTGTATGTAATCCCGTTTCCAACGAAATCCTCCCAGCTAGCCAAATATCCACTTGCAGATTGCGCAAAAAGAGTGTTTCAAAACTGCTCCTTCAAAACGATGGTTTAGTTCTGTTAGTTGAGTACATACATCACAGATAAGTTTCTGAGAATGCTTCTGTCTAGTTTTTATGGGAGGATATTTCCTTTTTCAACACAAGCCTGAATGCGCTCCGAATGGACACTTCCAGATATGACAAAAGGCGTGTTTCAAACCTGCTCTCTCAAAGGGAATGTTCAACTCTGTGACTTCAATGCAAACATCACAAAGAAGTTTCTGAGAATGCTGCTGTCTGCTTTTTACATGTATTCCCGTTTCCAACGAAATCCTCAAAGCTGCCCTAATATCCACTTGCATATTCCACAAAAAGAGTGTTGCAAAACTGCTCTCTCAAAAGAAAGGTTCAACTCTGTTAGCTGAGTAGATCCATCACAGAAAAGTTTCTGACGTTGCTTCTATCTAGATTTTCTTGGAAGATATTTCCATTTTCACCGTCGTCCTGAAAGCGCTCCAAATGTCCACTTCCAGGGAATGCAGAAAGAGTGTTTCCAACCTGCTCTATAAAAGGGAATGTTCAACACTGGGACTTCAATCGAAACATCCCAACGAAGTTTCTGAGAATGCTTCTGTCTAGAGTTTATATGAAGCCATTCCCGTTTGCAACGAAATCCTCAAAGCTATCCAAATATACTCTAGCAGATTTTACAAAAAGAGTGTTTCAAAACTGCTGTATCAAAAGAAAGGTTCAACTCTGTTAGTTGAGGGCACACATCACAAATAAACTTCTGAGAATGCTTCTGTCTAGTTTTTACGGGAAGATATTTCCTTTTTCACCATACGCCTGAAAGCGCTCCAAATGTCCTCATCCAGATACTACAAAAAGAGTGTTTCCAACCTGCTCTATGAAAGGGAATGCTCAACTCTGTGACTTGAATGCAGACATCACAAAGAAGTTTCTGAGAATGCTGCTGTCTCCTTTTTATATGTAATCCCGTTTCCAACGAAATCCTCAAAGCTAGCCAAATATCCACTTGCAGATTCCACGAAAACAGTGTTTCAAAACTGCTCCTTCAAAACGATGGTTCAATTCTGTTAGTTGAGCAAACACATCACAAGTAAGTTTCTGAGAATGCTTCCGTCTAGTTTTTATGGGAAGATATTTCCTTTTTCAACATAGGCCTGAAAGCGCTCCAAATGTCCACTTCCAGATACTACAAAAAGAGTGTTTCAAATCTGCTCTATGAATGGGAATGTTCTACTCTGTGACTTGAATGCAACATCCCAAAGAAGTTTCTGAGAATGCTTCTGTCTAGAGTTTATCTGAAGACATACCCGTTTCCAACGAAATCCTCAAAGCTATCCAAATATCCTCTTGCAGATTCTACAAAAAGAGTGTTTCAAAGCTGCTCTTTGCAAAGAAAGGTTCAACTCTGTCAGTAGAGGGCACACATCATGAACAAGTTTCTGAGAATGCTTCTGTCTAGTTTTTATGGGAAGATATTTCCTTTTTCACGTTAGGCCTGAAAGCACGCCAAATGTTCACTTATAGTCACTACAAAAAGAGTGTTTCAAACCTGCTCTGTGAAAGGGAATGTTCAACACTGTGACTTCAATTGAAACATCCCAAAGAAGTTTCTGAGAATGCTTCTGTCTAGAGTTTATCTGAAGACATACCCGTTTCCAACGAAATCCTCAAAGCTATCCACATATCCTCTTGCAGATTCTACAAAAAGAGTGTTTCAAAGCTGCTCTTTGCAAAGAAAGGTTCAACTCTGTCAGTAGAGGGCACGCATCACGAACAAGTTTCTGAGAATGCTTCTGTCTAGTTTTTATGGGAAGATATTTCCTTTTTCACGTTAGGCCTGAAAGCACGCCAAATGTTCAATTATAGACACTACAAAAAGAGTGTTTCAAACCTGCTCTGTGAAAGGGAATGTTCAACACTGTGACTTCAATTGAAACATCCCAAAGAAGTTTCTGAGAATGCTTCTGTCTAGAGTTTATCTGAAGACATTCCCGTTTCCCAAGAAATCCTCAAAGCTATCCAAATATCCTCTTGCAGATTCTACAAAAAGAGTGTTTCAAAACTGCTCTTTGCAAAGAAAGGTTCAACTCTGTCAGTAGAGGGCACACATCACAAACAAGTTTCTGAGAATGCTTCTGTCTAGTTTTTATGGGAAGATATTTCCTTTTTCACCTTAGGCCTGAAAGCAATCCAAATGTTCACTTACAGACACTACAAAAAGAGTGTTTCAAACCTGCTCTGTGAAAGGGAGTGTTCAGTTCTGTGACTTGAATGCAAACATCACAAAGTAGTTTCTGACAATGCTGCTGTCTGCTTTTTATACGTATTCCCGTTTCCAACGAAATCCTCCAAGCTGGCCTAATACCCACTTTCATATTCCACAAAAAGAGTGTTTCAAAACTGCTCTCTCAAAAGAAAGGTTCAACTCTGTTTGCTGAGTAGATACATCATGAAAAAAGTTCTGACATTGCTTCTATCTAGTTTTTATTGGAAGATATCTCCTTTTTCACCGTAGACCTGAAAGCGCTCCAAATGTCCACTTCCAGATAGTACAAAAAGAGTGCTTCAAACCTGCTCTATGAATGGGAATGTTCAACACTGGGACTTCAATTGAAACATCCCAAAGCAGTTTCTGAGAATGCTTCTGTGTAGAGTTTACATGAAGACATTCCCGTTTCCAACGAAATCCTCAAAGCTATCCAAATATCCTCTTGCAGATTTTACAAAAAGTGTGTTTCAGAACTGCTCTATCAAAACAAAGGTTCAACACTGTCAGTTGAGGGCACACATCACAAATAAGTTTCTGAGAATGCTTCTGTCTAGTTTTCATGGGAAGATATTTCCTTTTTCACCATAGGCCTGAAAGCGATCCAAATGTCCACATCCAGATACTACAAAAAGAGTGTTTCAAACCTGCTCTATGAAAGGGAATGTTCAACTCTGTGACTTGAATGCAAACATCACAAAGAAGTTTCTGAGAATGCTGCTGTCTGCTTTTTGTATGTAATCCCGTTTCCAACGAAATCCTCCCAGCTAGCCAAATATCCACTTGCAGATTCCGCAAAAAGAGTGTTTCAAAACTGCTCCTTCAAAACGATGGTTTAGTTCTGTTAGTTGAGTACATACATCACAGATAAGTTTCTGAGAATGCTTCTGTCTAGTTTTTATGGGAGGATATTTCCTTTTTCAACACAAGCCTGAATGCGCTCCGAATGGACACTTCCAGATATGACAAAAGGCGTGTTTCAAACCTGCTCTCTCAAAGGGAATGTTCAACTCTGTGACTTCAATGCAAACATCACAAAGAAGTTTCTGAGAATGCTGCTGTCTGCTTTTTACATGTATTCCCGTTTCCAACGAAATCCTCAAAGCTGCCCTAATATCCACTTGCATATTCCACAAAAAGAGTGTTGCAAAACTGCTCTCTCAAAAGAAAGGTTCAACTCTGTTAGCTGAGTAGATCCATCACATAAAAGTTTCTGACGTTGCTTCTATCTAGATTTTCTTGGAAGATATTTCCATTTTCACCGTCGTCCTGAAAGCGCTCCAAATGTACACTTCCAGGGAATGCAGAAAGAGTGTTTCCAACCTGCTCTATAAAAGGGAATGTTCAACACTGGGACTTCAATCGAAACATCCCAACGAAGTTTCTGAGAATGCTTCTGTCTAGAGTTTATATGAAGCCATTCCCGTTTGCAACGAAATCCTCAAAGCTATCCAAATATCCTCTTGCAGATTTTACAAAAAGAGTGTTTCAAAACTGCTCTATCAAAAGAAAGGTTCAACTCTGTTAGTTGAGGGCACACATCACAAATAAATTTCTGAGAATGCTTCTGTCTAGTTTTTACGGGAAGATATTTCCTTTTTCACCATACGCCTGAAAGCGCTCCAAATGTCCTCATCCAGATACTACAAAAAGAGTGTTTCCAACCTGCTCTATGAAAGGGAATGCTCAACTCTGTGACTTGAATGCAGACATCACAAAGAAGTTTCTGAGAATGCTGCTGTCTCCTTTTTATATGTAATCCCGTTTCCAACGAAATCCTCAAAGCTAGCCAAATTTCCACTTGCAGATTCCACGAAAACAGTGTTTCAAAACTGCTCCTTCAAAACGATGGTTCAATTCTGTTAGTTGAGCAAACACATCACAAGTAAGTTTCTGAGAATGCTTCCGTCTAGTTTTTATGGGAAGATATTTCCTTTTTCAACATAGGCCTGAAAGCGCTCCAAATGTCCACTTCCAGATACTACAAAAAGAGTGTTTCAAATCTGCTCTATGAATGGGAATGTTCTACTCTGTGACTTGAATGCAACATCCCAAAGAAGTTTCTGAGAATGCTTCTGTCTAGAGTTTATCTGAAGACATACCCGTTTCCAACGAAATCCTCAAAGCTATCCAAATATCCTCTTGCAGATTCTACAAAAAGAGTGTTTCAAAGCTGCTCTTTGCAAAGAAAGGTTCAACTCTGTCAGTAGAGGGCACACATCACGAACAAGTTTCTGAGAATGCTTCTGTCTAGTTTTTATGGGAAGATATTTCCTTTTTCACGTTAGGCCTGAAAGCACGCCAAATGTTCACTTATAGACACTACAAAAAGAGTGTTTCAAACCTGCTCTGTGAAAGGGAATGTTCAACACTGTGACTTCAATTGAAACATCCCAAAGAAGTTTCTGAGAATGCTTCTGTCTAGAGTTTATCTGAAGACATTCCCGTTTCCCAAGAAATCCTCAAAGCTATCCAAATATCCTCTTGCAGATTCTACAAAAAGAGTGTTTCAAAACTGCTCTTTGCAAAGAAAGGTTCAACTCTGTCAGTAGAGGGCACACATCACAAACAAGTTTCTGAGAATGCTTCTGTCTAGTTTTTATGGGAAGATATTTCCTTTTTCACCTTAGGCCTGAAAGCAATCCAAATGTTCACTTACAGACACTACAAAAAGAGTGTTTCAAACCTGCTCTGTGAAAGGGAGTGTTCAATTCTGTGACTTGAATGCAAACATCACAAAGTAGTTTCTGACAATGCTGCTGTCTGCTTTTTATACGTATTCCCGTTTCCAACGAAATCCTCCAAGCTGGCCTAATACCCACTTGCATATTCCACAAAAAGAGTGTTTCAAAACTGCTCTCTCAAAAGAAAGGTTCAACTCTGTTTGCTGAGTAGATACATCATGAAAAAAGTTCTGACATTGCTTCTATCTAGTTTTTATTGGAAGATATCTCCTTTTTCACCGTAGACCTGAAAGCGCTCCAAATGTCCACTTCCAGATAGTACAAAAAGAGTGTTTCAAACCTGCTCTATGAAAGGGAATGTTCAACACTGGGACTTCAATTGAAACATCCCAAAGCAGTTTCTGAGAATGCTTCTGTCTAGAGTTTACATGAAGACATTCCCGTTTCCAACGAAATCCTCAAAGCTATCCAAATATCCTCTTGCAGATTTTACAAAAAGTGTGTTTCAGAACTGCTCTATCAAAACAAAGGTTCAACACTGTCAGTTGAGGGCACACATCACAAATAAGTTTCTGAGAATGCTTCTGTCTAGTTTTCATGGGAAGATATTTCCTTTTTCACCATAGGCCTGAAAGCGATCCAAATGTCCACATCCAGATACTACAAAAAGAGTGTTTCAAACCTGCTCTATGAAAGGGAATGTTCAACTCTGTGACTTGAATGCAAACATCACAAAGAAGTTTCTGAGAATGCTGCTCTCTGCTTTTTGTATGTAATCCCGTTTCCAACGAAATCCTCCAAGCTAGCCAAATATCCACTTGCAGATTCCGCAAAAAGAGTGTTTCAAAACTGCTCCTTCAAAACGATGGTTTAGTTCTGTTAGTTGAGTACATACATCACAGATAAGTTTCTGAGAATGCTTCTGTCTAGTTTTTATGGGAGGATATTTCCTTTTTCAACACAAGCCTGAATGCGCTCCGAATGGACACTTCCAGATATGACAAAAGGCGTGTTTCAAACCTGCTCTCTCAAAGGGAATGTTCAACTCTGTGACTTCAATGCAAACATCACAAAGAAGTTTCTGAGAATGCTGCTGTCTGCTTTTTACATGTATTCCCGTTTCCAACGAAATCCTCAAAGCTGCCCTAATATCCACTTGCATATTCCACAAAAAGAGTGTTGCAAAACTGCTCTCTCAAAAGAAAGGTTCAACTCTGTTAGCTGAGTAGATCCATCACATAAAAGTTTCTGACGTTGCTTCTATCTAGATTTTCTTGGAAGATATTTCCATTTTCACCGTCGTCCTGAAAGCGCTCCAAATGTCCACTTCCAGGGAATGCAGAAAGAGTGTTTCCAACCTGCTCTATAAAAGGGAATGTTCAACACTGGGACTTCAATCGAAACATCCCAACGAAGTTTCTGAGAATGCTTCTGTCTAGAGTTTATATGAAGCCATTCCCGTTTGCAATGAAATCCTCAAAGCTATCCAAATATCCTCTTGCAGATTTTACAAAAAGAGTGTTTCAAAACTGCTCTATCAAAAGAAAGGTTCAACTCTGTTAGTTGAGGGCACACATCACAAATAAATTTCTGAGAATGCTTCTGTCTAGTTTTTACGGGAAGATATTTCCTTTTTCACCATACGCCTGAAAGCGCTCCAAATGTCCTCATCCAGATACTACAAAAAGAGTGTTTCCAACCTGCTCTATGAAAGGGAATGCTCAACTCTGTGACTTGAATGCAGACATCACAAAGAAGTTTCTGAGAATGCTGCTGTCTCCTTTTTATATGTAATCCCGTTTCCAACGAAATCCTCAAAGATAGCCAAATATCCACTTGCAGATTCCACGAAAACAGTGTTTCAAAACTGCTCCTTCAAAACGATGGTTCAATCCTGTTAGTTGAGCAAACACATCACAAATAAGTTTCTGAGAATGCTTCCGTCTAGTTTTTATGGGAAGATATTTCCTTTTTCAACATAGGCCTGAAAGCGCTCCAAATGTCCACTTCCAGATACTACAAAAAGAGTGTTTCAAATCTGCTCTATGAATGGGAATGTTCTACTCTGTGACTTGAATGCAACATCCCAAAGAAGTTTCTGAGAATGCTTCTGTCTAGAGTTTATCTGAAGACATCCCCGTTTCCAACGAAATCCTCAAAGCTATCCAAATATCCTCTTGCAGATTCTACAAAAAGAGTGTTTCAAAGCTGCTCTTTGCAAAGAAAGGTTCAACTCTGTCAGTTAGAGGGCACACATCAGGAACAAGTTTCTGAGAATGCTTCTGTCTGGTTTTTATGGGAAGATATTTCCTTTTTCACGTTACGCCTGAAAGCACGCCAAATGTTCACTTATAGACACTACAAAAAGAGTGTTTCAAACCTGCTCTGTGAAAGGGAATGTTCAACACTGTGACTTCAATTGAAACATCCCAAAGAAGTTTCTGAGAATGCTTCTGTCTAGAGTTTATCTGAAGACATTCCCGTTTCCCAAGAAATCCTCAAAGCTATCCAAATATCCTCTTGCAGATTCTACAAAAAGAGTGTTTCAAAACTGCTCTTTGCAAAGAAAGGTTCAACTCTGTCAGTAGAGGGCACACATCACAAACAAGTTTCTGAGAATGCTTCTGTCTAGTTTTTATGGGAAGATATTTCCTTTTTCACCTTAGGCCTGAAAGCAATCCATATGTTCACTTACAGACACTACAAAAAGAGTGTTTCAAACCTGCTCTGTGAAAGGGAGTGTTCAATTCTGTGACTTGAATGCAAACATCACAAAGTAGTTTCTGACAATGCTGCTGTCTGCTTTTTATACGTATTCCCGTTTCCAACGAAATCCTCCAAGCTGGCCTAATACCCACTTGCATATTCCACAAAAAGAGTGTTTCAAAACTGCTCTCTCAAAAGAAAGGTTCAACTCTGTTTGCTGAGTAGATACATCATGAAAAAAGTTCTGACATTGCTTCTATCTAGTTTTTATTGGAAGATATCTCCTTTTTCACCGTAGACCTGAAAGCGCTCCAAATGTCCACTTCCAGATAGTACAAAAAGAGTGTTTCAAACCTGCTCTATGAATGGGAATGTTCAACACTGGGACTTCAATTGAAACATCCCAAAGCAGTTTCTGAGAATGCTTCTGTCTAGAGTTTACATGAAGACATTCCCGTTTCCAACGAAATCCTCAAAGCTATCCAAATATCCTCTTGCAGATTTTACAAAAAGTGTGTTTCAGAACTGCTCTATCAAAACAAAGGTTCAACACTGTCAGTTGAGGGCACACATCACAAATAAGTTTCTGAGAATGCTTCTGTCTAGTTTTCATGGGAAGATATTTCCTTTTTCACCATAGGCCTGAAAGCGATCCAAATGTCCACATCCAGATACTACAAAAAGAGTGTTTCAAACCTGCTCTATGAAAGGGAATGTTCAACTCTGTGACTTGAATGCAAACATCACAAAGAAGTTTCTGAGAATGCTGCTGTCTGCTTTTTGTATGTAATCCCGTTTCCAACGAAATCCTCCCAGCTAGCCAAATATCCACTTGCAGATTCCGCAAAAAGAGTGTTTCAAAACTGCTCCTTCAAAACGATGGTTTAGTTCTGTTAGTTGAGTACATACATCACAGATAAGTTTCTGAGAATGCTTCTGTCTAGTTTTTATGGGAGGATATTTCCTTTTTCAACACAAGCCTGAATGCGCTCCGAATGGACACTTCCAGATATGACAAAAGGCGTGTTTCAAACCTGCTCTCTCAAAGGGAATGTTCAACTCTGTGACTTCAATGCAAACATCACAAAGAAGTTTCTGAGAATGCTGCTGTCTGCTTTTTACATGTATTCCCGTTTCCAACGAAATCCTCAAAGCTGCCCTAATATCCACTTGCATATTCCACAAAAAGAGTGTTGCAAAACTGCTCTCTCAAAAGAAAGGTTCAACTCTGTTAGCTGAGTAGATCCATCACATAAAAGTTTCTGACATTGCTTCTATCTAGATTTTCTTGGAAGATATTTCCATTTTCACCGTCGTCCTGAAAGCGCTCCAAATGTCCACTTCCAGGGAATGCAGAAAGAGTGTTTCCAACCTGCTCTATAAAAGGGAATGTTCAACACTGGGACTTCAATCGAAACATCCCAACGAAGTTTCTTGAGAATGCTTCTGTCTAGGAGTTTATATGAAGCCATTCCCGTTTGCAACGAAATCCTCAAAGCTATCCAAATATCCTCTTGCAGATTTTACAAAAAGAGTGTTTCAAAACTGCTCTATCAAAAGAAAGGTTCAACTCTGTTAGTTGAGGGCACACATCACAAATAAATTTCTGAGAATGCTTCTGTCTAGTTTTTACGGGAAGATATTTCCTTTTTCACCATACGCCTGAAAGCGCTCCAAATGTCCTCATCCAGATACTACAAAAAGAGTGTTTCCAACCTGCTCTATGAAAGGGAATGCTCAACTCTGTGACTTGAATGCAGACATCACAAAGAAGTTTCTGAGAATGCTGCTGTCTCCTTTTTATATGTAATCCCGTTTCCAACGAAATCCTCAAAGCTAGCCAAATATCCACTTGCAGATTCCACGAAAACAGTGTTTCAAAACTGCTCCTTCAAAGCGATGGTTCAATTCTGTTAGTTGAGCAAACACATCACAAGTAAGTTTCTGAGAATGCTTCCGTCTAGTTTTTATGGGAAGATATTTCCTTTTTCAACATAGGCCTGAAAGCGCTCCAAATGTCCACTTCCAGATACTACAAAAAGAGTGTTTCAAATCTGCTCTATGAATGGGAATGTTCTACTCTGTGACTTGAATGCAACATCCCAAAGAAGTTTCTGAGAATGCTTCTGTCTAGAGTTTATCTGAAGACATACCCGTTTCCAACGAAATCCTCAAAGCTATCCAAATATCCTCTTGCAGATTCTACAAAAAGAGTGTTTCAAAGCTGCTCTTTGCAAAGAAAGGTTCAACTCTGTCAGTAGAGGGCACACATCATGAACAAGTTTCTGAGAATGCTTCTGTCTAGTTTTTATGGGAAGATATTTCCTTTTTCACGTTAGGCCTGAAAGCACGCCAAATGTTCACTTATAGACACTACAAAAAGAGTGTTTCAAACCTGCTCTGTGAAAGGGAATGTTCAACACTGTGACTTCAATTGAAACATCCCAAAGAAGTTTCTGAGAATTCTTCTGTCTAGAGTTTATCTGAAGACATTCCCGTTTCCCAAGAAATCCTCAAAGCTATCCAAATATCCTCTTGCAGATTCTACAAAAAGAGTGTTTCAAAACTGCTCTTTGCAAAGAAAGGTTCAACTCTGTCAGTAGAGGGCACACATCACAAACAAGTTTCTGAGAATGCTTCTGTCTAGTTTTTATGGGAAGATATTTCCTTTTTCACCTTAGGCCTGAAAGCAATCCAAATGTTCACTTACAGACACTACAAAAAGAGTGTTTCAAACCTGCTCTGTGAAAGGGAGTGTTCAATTCTGTGACTTGAATGCAAACATCACAAAGTAGTTTCTGACAATGCTGCTGTCTGCTTTTTATACGTATTCCCGTTTCCAACGATATCCTCCAAGGTGGCCTAATACCCACTTGCATATTCCACAAAAAGAGTGTTTCAAAACTGCTCTCTCAAAAGAAAGGTTCAACTCTGTTTGCTGAGTAGATACATCATGAAAAAAGTTCTGACATTGCTTCTATCTAGTTTTTATTGGAAGATATCTCCTTTTTCACCGTAGACCTGAAAGCGCTCCAAATGTCCACTTCCAGATACTACAAAAAGAGTGTTTCAAACCTGCTCTATGAAAGGGAATGTTCAACACTGGGACTTCAATTGAAACATCCCAAAGCAGTTTCTGAGAATGCTTCTGTCTAGAGTTTACATGAAGACATTCCCGTTTCCAACGAAATCCTCAAAGCTATCCAAATATCCTCTTGCAGATTTTACAAAAAGTGTGTTTCAGAACTGCTCTATCAAAACAAAGGTTCAACACTGTCAGTTGAGGGCACACATCACAAATAAGTTTCTGAGAATGCTTCTGTCTAGTTTTCATGGGAAGATATTTCCTTTTTCACCATAGGCCTGAAAGCGATCCAAATGTCCACATCCAGATACTACAAAAAGAGTGTTTCAAACCTGCTCTATGAAAGGGAATGTTCAACTCTGCGACTTGAATGCAAACATCACAAAGAAGTTTCTGAGAATGCTGCTGTCTGCTTTTTTATGTAATCCCGTTTCCAACGAAATCCTCCAAGCTAGCCAAATATCCAGTTGCAGATTCCGCAAAAAGAGTGTTTCAAAACTGCTCCTTCAAAACGATGGTTTAGTTCTGTTAGTTGAGTACATACATCACAAATAAGTTTCTGAGAATGCTTCTGTCTAGTTTTTATGGGAGGATATTTCCTTTTTCAACACAAGCCTGAATGCGCTCCGAATGGACACTTCCAGATATGACAAAAGGCGTGTTGCAAACCTGCTCTCTCAAAGGGAATGTTCAACTCTGTGACTTCAATGCAAACATCACAAAGAAGTTTCTGAGAATGCTGCTGTCTGCTTTTTACATGTATTCCCGTTTCCAACGAAATCCTCAAAGCTGCCCTAATATCCACTTGCATATTCCACAAAAAGAGTGTTGCAAAACTGCTCTCTCAAAAGAAAGGTTCAACTCTGTTAGCTGAGTAGATCCATCACAGAAAAGTTTCTGACATTGCTTCTATCTAGATTTTATTGGAAGATATTTCCATTTTCACCGTCGTCCTGAAAGCGCTCCAAATGTCCACTTCCAGGGAATGCAAAAAGAGTGTTTCCAACCTGCTCTATAAAAGGGAATGTTCAACACTGGGACTTCAATCGAAACATCCCAACGAAGTTTCTGAGAATGCTTCTGTCTAGAGTTTATATGAAGCCATTCCCGTTTGCAACGAAATCCTCAAAGCTATCCAAATATCCTCTTGCAGATTTTACAAAAAGAGTGTTTCAAAACTGCTCTATCAAAAGAAAGGTTCAACTCTGTTAGTTGAGGGCACACATCACAAATAAATTTCTGAGAATGCTTCTGTCTAGTTTTTACGGGAAGATATTTCCTTTTTCACCATACGCCTGAAAGCGCTCCAAATGTCCTCATCCAGATACTACAAAAAGAGTGTTTCAAACCTGCTCTATGAAAGGGAATGCTCAACTCTGTGACTTGAATGCAGACATCACAAAGAAGTTTCTGAGAATGCTGCTGTCTCCTTTTTATAGGTAATCCCGTTTCCAACGAAATCCTCAAAGCTAGCCAAATATCCACTTGCAGATTCCACGAAAACAGGGTTTCAAAACTGCTCCTTCAAAACGATGGTTCAATTCTGTTAGTTGAGCAAACACATCAGAAATAAGTTTCTGAGAATGCTTCCGTCTAGTTTTTATGGGAAGATATTTCGTTTCTCAACATAGGCCTGAAAGCGCTCCAAATGTCCACTTCCAGATACTACAAAAAGAGTGTTTCAAATCTGCTCTATGAATGGGAATGTTCTACTCTGTGACTTGAATGCAACATCCCAAAGAAGTTTCTGAGAATGCTTCTGTCTAGAGTTTATGTGAAGACATACCCGTTTCCAACGAAATCCTCAAAGCTATCCAAATATCCTCTTGCAGATTCTACAAAAAGAGTGTTTCAAAGCTGCTCTTTGCAAAGAAAGGTTCAACTCTGTCAGTAGAGGGCACACATCACAAACAAGTTTCTGAGAATGCTTCTGTCTAGTTTTTATGGGAAGAGATTTCCTTTTTCACGTTAGGCCTGAAAGCACGCCAAATGTTCACTTATAGACACTACAAAAAGACTGTTTCAAACCTGCTCTGTGAAAGGGAATGTTCAACACTGTGACTTCAATTGAAACATCCCAAAGAAGTTTCTGAGAATGCTTCTGTCTAGAGTTTATCTGAAGACATTCCCGTTTCCCAAGAAATCCTCAAAGCTATCCAAATATCCTCTTGCAGATTCTACAAAAAGAGTGTTTCAAAACTGCTCTTTGCAAAGAAAGGTTCAACTCTGTCAGTAGAGGGCACACATCACAAACAAGTTTCTGAGAATGCTTCTGTCTAGTTTTTATGGGAAGATATTTCCTTTTTCACCTTAGGCCTGAAAGCAATCCAAATGTTCACTTACAGACACTACAAAAAGAGTGTTTCAAACCTGCTCTGTGAAAGGGAGTGTTCAATTCTGTGACTTGAATGCAAACATCACAAAGTAGTTTCTGACAATGCTGCTGTCTGCTTTTTATACGTATTCCCGTTTCCAACGAAATCCTCCAAGCTGGCCTAATACCCACTTGCATATTCCACAAAGACTGTGTCAAAACTGCTCTCTCAAAAGAAAGGTTCAACTCTGTTTGCTGAGTAGATACATCATGAAAAAAGTTCTGACATTGCTTCTATCTAGTTTTTATTGGAAGATATCTCCTTTTTCACCGTAGACCTGAAAGCGCTCCAAATGTCCACTTCCAGATAGTACAAAAAGAGTGTTTCAAACCTGCTCTATGAAAGGGAATGTTCAACACTGGGACTTCAATTGAAACATCCCAAAGCAGTTTCTGAGAATGCTTCTGTCTAGAGTTTACATGAAGACATTCCCGTTTCCAACGAAATCCTCAAAGCTATCCAAATATCCTCTTGCAGATTTTACAAAAAGTGTGTTTCAGAACTGCTCTATCAAAACAAAGGTTCAACACTGTCAGTTGAGGGCACACATCACAAATAAGTTTCTGAGAATGCTTCTGTCTAGTTTTCATGGGAAGATATTTCCTTTTTCACCATAGGCCTGAAAGCGATCCAAATGTCCACATCCAGATACTACAAAAAGAGTGTTTCCAACCTGCTCTATGAAAGGGAATGTTCAACTCTGTGACTTGAATGCAAACATCACAAAGAAGTTTCTGAGAATGCTGCTGTCTGCTTTTTGTATGTAATCCCGTTTCCAACGAAATCCTCCCAGCTAGCCAAATATCCACTTGCAGATTCCGCAAAAAGAGTGTTTCAAAACTGCTCCTTCAAAACGATGGTTTAGTTCTGTTAGTTGAGTACATACATCACAGATAAGTTTCTGAGAATGCTTCTGTCTAGTTTTTATGGGAGGATATTTCCTTTTTCAACACAAGCCTGAATGCGCTCCGAATGGACACTTCCAGATATGACAAAAGGCGTGTTTCAAACCTGCTCTCTCAAAGGGAATGTTCAACTCTGTGACTTCAATGCAAACATCACAAAGAAGTTTCTGAGAATGCTGCTGTCTGCTTTTTACATGTATTCCCGTTTCCAACGAAATCCTCAAAGCTGCCCTAATATCCACTTGCATATTCCACAAAAAGAGTGTTGCAAAACTGCTCTCTCAAAAGAAAGGTTCAACTCTGTTAGCTGAGTAGATCCATCACATAAAAGTTTCTGACATTGCTTCTATCTAGATTTTCTTGGAAGATATTTCCATTTTCACCGTCGTCCTGAAAGCGCTCCAAATGTCCACTTCCAGGGAATGCAGAAAGAGTGTTTCCAACCTGCTCTATAAAAGGGAATGTTCAACACTGGGACTTCAATCGAAACATCCCAACGAAGTTTCTGAGAATGCTTCTGTCTAGAGTTTATATGAAGCCATTCCCGTTTGCAACGAAATCCTCAAAGCTATCCAAATATCCTCTTGCAGATTTTACAAAAAGAGTGTTTCAAAACTGCTCTATCAAAAGAAAGGTTCAACTCTGTTAGTTGAGGGCACACATCACAAATAAACTTCTGAGAATGCTTCTGTCTAGTTTTTACGGGAAGATATTTCCTTTTTCACCATACGCCTGAAAGCGCTCCAAATGTCCTCATCCAGATACTACAAAAAGAGTGTTTCCAACCTGCTCTATGAAAGGGAATGCTCAACTCTGTGAATTGAATGCAGACATCACAAAGAAGTTTCTGAGAATGCTGCTGTCTCCTTTTTATATGTAATCCCGTTTCCAACGAAATCCTCAAAGCTAGCCAAATATCCACTTGCAGATTCCACGAAAACAGTGTTTCAAAACTGCTCCTTCAAAACGATGGTTCAATCCTGTTAGTTGAGCAAACACATCACAAATAAGTTTCTGAGAATGCCTCCGTCTAGTTTTTATGGGAAGATATTTCCTTTTTCAACATAGGCCTGAAAGCGCTCCAAATGTCCACTTCCAGATACTACAAAAAGAGTGTTTCAAATCTGCTCTATGAATGGGAATGTTCTACTCTGTGACTTGAATGCAACATCCCAAAGAAGTTTCTGAGAATGCTTCTGTCTAGAGTATATCTGAAGACATACCCGTTTCCAACGAAATCCTCAAAGCTATCCAAATATCCTCTTGCAGATTCTACAAAAAGTGTGTTTCAAAGCTGCTCTTTGCAAAGAAAGGTTCAACTCTGTCAGTAGAGGGCACACATCACGAACAAGTTTCTGAGAATGCTTCTGTCTAGTTTTTATGGGAAGATATTTCCTTTTTCACGTTACGCCTGAAAGCACGCCAAATGTTCACTTATAGACACTACAAAAAGAGTGTTTCAAACCTGCTCTGTGAAAGGGAATGTTCAACACTGTGACTTCAATTGAAACATCCCAAAGAAGTTTCTGAGAATGCTTCTGTCTAGAGTTTATCTGAAGACATTCCCGTTTCCCAAGAAATCCTCAAAGCTATCCAAATATCCTCTTGCAGATTCTACAAAAAGAGTGTTTCAAAACTGCTCTTTGCAAAGAAAGGTTCAACTCTGTCAGTAGAGGGCACACATCACAAACAAGTTTCTGAGAATGCTTCTGTCTAGTTTTTATGGGAAGATATTTCCTTTTTCACCTTAGGCCTGAAAGCAATCCAAATGTTCACTTACAGACACTACAAAAAGAGTGTTTCAAACCTGCTCTGTGAAAGGGAGTGTTCAATTCTGTGACTTGAATGCAAACATCACAAAGTAGTTTCTGACAATGCTGCTGTCTGCTTTTTATACGTATTCCCGTTTCCAACGAAATCCTCCAAGCTGGCCTAATACCCACTTGCATATTCCACAAAAATAGTGTTTCAAAACTGCTCCCTCAAAAGAAAGGTTCAACTCTGTTTGCTGAGTAGATACATCATGAAAAAAGTTCTGACATTGCTTCTATCTAGTTTTTATTGGAAGATATCTCCTTTTTCACCGTAGACCTGAAAGCGCTCCAAATGTCCACTTCCAGATAGTACAAAAAGAGGGTTTCAAACCTGCTCTATGAAAGGGAATGTTCAACACTGGGACTTCAATTGAAACATCCCAAAGCAGTTTCTGAGAATGCTTCTGTCTAGAGTTTACATGAAGACATTCCCGTTTCCAACGAAATCCTCAAAGCTATCCAAATATCCTCTTGCAGATTTTACAAAAAGTGTGTTTCAGAACTGCTCTATCAAAACAAAGGTTCAACACTGTCAGTTGAGGGCACACATCACAAATAAGTTTCTGAGAATGCTTCTGTCTAGTTTTCATGGGAAGATATTTCCTTTTTCACCATAGGCCTGAAAGCGATCCAAATGTCCACATCCAGATACTACAAAAAGAGTGTTTCAAACCTGCTCTATGAAAGGGAATGTTCAACTCTGTGACTTGAATGCAAACATCACAAAGAAGTTTCTGAGAATGCTGCTGTCTGCTTTTTGTATGTAATCCCGTTTCCAACGAAATCCTCCCAGCTAGCCAAATATCCACTTGCAGATTCCGCAAAAAGAGTGTTTCAAAACTGCTCCTTCAAAACGATGGTTGAGTTCTGTTAGTTGAGTACATACATCACAGATAAGTTTCTGAGAATGCTTCTGTCTAGTTTTTATGGGAGGATATTTCCTTTTTCAACACAAGCCTGAATGCGCTCCGAATGGACACTTCCAGATATGACAAAAGGCGTGTTTCAAACCTGCTCTCTCAAAGGGAATGTTCAACTCTGTGACTTCAATGCAAACATCACAAAGAAGTTTCTGAGAATGCTGCTGTCTGCTTTTTACATGTATTCCCGTTTCCAACGAAATCCTCAAAGCTGCCCTAATATCCACTTGCATATTCCACAAAAAGAGTGTTGCAAAACTGCTCTCTCAAAAGAAAGGTTCAACTCTGTTAGCTGAGTAGATCCATCACATAAAAGTTTCTGACATTGCTTCTATCTAGATTTTCTTGGAAGATATTTCCATTTTCACCGTCGTCCTGAAAGCGCTCCAAATGTCCACTTCCAGGGAATGCAGAAAGAGTGTTTCCAACCTGCTCTATAAAAGGGAATGTTCAACACTGGGACTTCAATCGAAACATCCCAACGAAGTTTCTGAGAATGCTTCTGTCTAGAGTTTATATGAAGCCATTCCCATTTGCAACGAAATCCTCAAAGCTATCCAAATATCCTCTTGCAGATTTTACAAAAAGAGTGTTTCAAAACTGCTCTATCAAAAGAAAGGTTCAACTCTGTTAGTTGAGGGCACACATCACAAATAAATTTCTGAGAATGCTTCTGTCTAGTTTTTACGGGAAGATATTTCCTTTTTCACCATAGGCCTGAAAGCGCTCCAAATGTCCTCATCCAGATACTACAAAAAGAGTGTTTCCAACCTGCTCTATGAAAGGGAATGCTCAACTCTGTGACTTGAATGCAGACATCACAAAGAAGTTTCTGAGAATGCTGCTGTCTCCTTTTTATATGTAATCCCGTTTCCAACGAAATCCTCAAAGCTAGCCAAATATCCACTTGCAGATTCCACGAAAACAGTGTTTCAAAACTGCTCCTTCAAAACGATGGTTCAATTCTGTTAGTTGAGCAAACACATCACAAGTAAGTTTCTGAGAATGCTTCCGTCTAGTTTTTATGGGAAGATATTTCCTTTTTCAACATAGGCCTGAAAGCGCTCCAAATGTCCACTTCCAGATACTACAAAAAGAGTGTTTCAAATCTGCTCTATGAATGGGAATGTTCTACTCTGTGACTTGAATGCAACATCCCAAAGAAGTTTCTGAGAATGCTTCTGTCTAGAGTTTATCTGAAGACATACCCGTTTCCAACGAAATCCTCCAAGCTATCCAAATATCCTCTTGCAGATTCTACAAAAAGAGTGTTTCAAAGCTGCTCTTTGCAAAGAAAGGTTCAACTCTGTCAGTAGAGGGCACACATCATGAACAAGTTTCTGAGAATGCTTCTGTCCAGTTTTTATGGGAAGATATTTCCTTTTTCACGTTAGGCCTGAAAGCACGCCAAATGTTCACTTATAGACACTACAAAAAGAGTGTTTCAAACCTGCTCTGTGAAAGGGAATGTTCAACACTGTGACTTCAATTGAAATATCCCAAAGAAGTTTCTGAGAATGCTTCTGTCTAGAGTTTATCTGAAGACATTCCCGTTTCCCAAGAAATCCTCAAAGCTATCCAAATATCCTCTTGCAGATTCTACAAAAAGAGTGTTTCAAAACTGGTCTTTGCAAAGAAAGGTTCAACTCTGTCAGTAGAGGGCACACATCACAAACAAGTTTCTGAGAATGCTTCTGTCTAGTTTTTATGGGAAGATATTTCCTTTTTCACCTTAGGCCTGAAAGCAATCCATATGTTCACTTACAGACACTACAAAAAGAGTGTTTCAAACCTGCTCTGTGAAAGGGAGTGTTCAATTCTGTGACTTGAATGCAAACATCACAAAGTAGTTTCTGACAATGCTGCTGTCTGCTTTTTATACGTATTCCCGTTTCCAACGAAATCCTCCAAGCTGGCCTAATACCCACTTGCATATTCCACAAAAAGAGTGTTTCAAAACTGCTCTCTCAAAAGAAAGGTTCAACTCTGTTTGCTGAGTAGATACATCATGAAAAAAGTTCTGACATTGCTTCTATCTAGTTTTTATTGGAAGATATCTCCTTTTTCACCGTAGACCTGAAAGCGCTCCAAATGTCCACTTCCAGATAGTACAAAAAGAGTGTTTCAAACCTGCTCTATGAATGGGAATGTTCAACACTGGGACTTCAATTGAAACATCCCAAAGCAGTTTCTGAGAATGCTTCTGTGTAGAGTTTACATGAAGACATTCCCGTTTCCAACGAAATCCTCAAAGCTATCCAAATATCCTCTTGCAGATTTTACAAAAAGTGTGTTTCAGAACTGCTCTATCAAAACAAAGGTTCAACACTGTCAGTTGAGGGCACACATCACAAATAAGTTTCTGAGAATGCTTCTGTCTAGTTTTCATGGGAAGATATTTCCTTTTTCACCATAGGCCTGAAAGCGATCCAAATGTCCACATCCAGATACTACAAAAAGAGTGTTTCAAACCTGCTCTATGAAAGGGAATGTTCAACTCTGTGACTTGAATGCAAACATCACAAAGAAGTTTCTGAGAATGCTGCTGTCTGCTTTTTGTATGTAATCCCGTTTCCAACGAAATCCTCCCAGCTAGCCAAATATCCACTTGCAGATTCCGCAAAAAGAGTGTTTCAAAACTGCTCCTTCAAAACGATGGTTTAGTTCTGTTAGTTGAGTACATACATCACAGATAAGTTTCTGAGAATGCTTCTGTCTAGTTTTTATGGGAGGATATTTCCTTTTTCAACACAAGCCTGAATGCGCTCCGAATGGACACTTCCAGATATGACAAAAGGCGTGTTTCAAACCTGCTCTCTCAAAGGGAATGTTCAACTCTGTGACTTCAATGCAAACATCACAAAGAAGTTTCTGAGAATGCTGCTGTCTGCTTTTTACATGTATTCCCGTTTCCAACGAAATCCTAAAAGCTGCCCTAATATCCACTTGCATATTCCACAAAAAGAGTGTTGCAAAACTGCTCTCTCAAAAGAAAGGTTCAACTCTGTTAGCTGAGTAGATCCATCACAGAAAAGTTTCTGACGTTGCTTCTATCTAGATTTTCTTGGAAGATATTTCCATTTTCACCGTCGTCCTGAAAGCGCTCCAAATGTCCACTTCCAGGGAATGCAGAAAGAGTGTTTCCAACCTGCTCTATAAAAGGGAATGTTCAACACTGGGACTTCAATCGAAACATCCCAACGAAGTTTCTGAGAATGCTTCTGTCTAGAGTTTATATGAAGCCATTCCCGTTTGCAACGAAATCCTCAAAGCTATCCAAATATCCTCTTGCAGATTTTACAAAAAGAGTGTTTCAAAACTGCTCTATCAAAAGAAAGGTTCAACTCTGTTAGTTGAGGGCACACATCACAAATAAATTTCTGAGAATGCTTCTGTCTAGTTTTTACGGGAAGATATTTCCTTTTTCACCATAGGCCTGAAAGCGCTCCAAATGTCCTCATCCAGATACTACAAAAAGAGTGTTTCCAACCTGCTCTATGAAAGGGAATGCTCAACTCTGTGACTTGAATGCAGACATCACAAAGAAGTTTCTGAGAATGCTGCTGTCTCCTTTTTATATGTAATCCCGTTTCCAACGAAATCCTCAAAGCTATCCAAATATCCTCTTGCAGATTCCACGAAAACAGTGTTTCAAAACTGCTCCTTCAAAACGATGGTTCAATTCTGTTAGTTGAGCAAACACATCACAAGTAAGTTTCTGAGAATGATTCCGTCTAGTTTTTATGGGAAGATATTTCCTTTTTCAACATAGGCCTGAAAGCGCTCCAAATGTCCACTTCCAGATACTACAAAAAGAGTGTTTCAAATCTGCTCTATGAATGGGAATGTTCTACTCTGTGACTTGAATGCAACATCCCAAAGAAGTTTCTGAGAATGCTTCTGTCTAGAGTTTATCTGAAGACATTCCCGTTTCCCAAGAAATCCTCAAAGCTATCCAAATATCCTCTTGCAGATTCTACAAAAAGAGTGTTTCAAAACTGCTCTTTGCAAAGAAAGGTTCAACTCTGTCAGTAGAGGGCACACATCACAAACAAGTTTCTGAGAATGCTTCTGTCTAGTTTTTATGGGAAGATATTTCCTTTTTCACCTTAGGCCTGAAAGCAATCCATATGTTCACTTACAGACACTACAAAAAGAGTGTTTCAAACCTGCTCTGTGAAAGGGAGTGTTCAATTCTGTGACTTGAATGCAAACATCACAAAGTAGTTTCTGACAATGCTGCTGTCTGCTTTTTATACGTATTCCCGTTTCCAACGAAATCCTCCAAGCTGGCCTAATACCCACTTGCATATTCCACAAAAAGAGTGTTTCAAAACTGCTCTCTCAAAAGAAAGGTTCAACTCTGTTTGCTGAGTAGATACATCATGAAAAAAGTTCTGACATTGCTTCTATCTAGTTTTTATTGGAAGATATCTCCTTTTTCACCGTAGACCTGAAAGCGCTCCAAATGTCCACTTCCAGATAGTACAAAAAGAGTGTTTCAAACCTGCTCTATGAATGGGAATGTTCAACACTGGGACTTCAATTGAAACATCCCAAAGCAGTTTCTGAGAATGCTTCTGTCTAGAGTTTACATGAAGACATTCCCGTTTCCAACGAAATCCTCAAAGCTATCCAAATATCCTCTTGCAGATTTTACAAAAAGTGTGTTTCAGAACTGCTCTATCAAAACAAAGGTTCAACACTGTCAGTTGAGGGCACACATCACAAATAAGTTTCTGAGAATGCTTCTGTCTAGTTTTCATGGGAAGATATTTCCTTTTTCACCATAGGCCTGAAAGCGATCCAAATGTCCACATCCAGATACTACAAAAAGAGTGTTTCAAACCTGCTCTATGAAAGGGAATGTTCAACTCTGTGACTTGAATGCAAACATCACAAAGAAGTTTCTGAGAATGCTGCTGTCTGCTTTTTGTATGTAATCCCGTTTCCAACGAAATCCTCCCAGCTAGCCAAATATCCACTTGCAGATTCCGCAAAAAGAGTGTTTCAAAACTGCTCCTTCAAAACGATGGTTTAGTTCTGTTAGTTGAGTACATACATCACAGATAAGTTTCTGAGAATGCTTCTGTCTAGTTTTTCTGGGAGGATATTTCCTTTTTCAACACAAGCCTGAATGCGCTCCGAATGGACACTTCCAGATATGACAAAAGGCGTGTTTCAAACCTGCTCTCTCAAAGGGAATGTTCAACTCTGTGACTTCAATGCAAACATCACAAAGAAGTTTCTGAGAATGCTGCTGTCTGCTTTTTACATGTATTCCCGTTTTCAACGAAATCCTCCAAGCTGGCCTAATACCCACTTGCATATTCCACAAAAAGAGTGATTCAAAACTGCTCTCTCAAAAGAAAGGTTCAACTCTGTTTGCTGAGTAGATACATCATGAAAAAAGTTCTGACATTGCTTCTATCTAGTTTTTATTGGAAGATATCTCCTTTTTCACCGTAGACCTGAAAGCGCTCCAAATGTCCACTTCCAGATAGTACAAAAAGAGTGTTTCAAACCTGCTCTATGAATGGGAATGTTCAACACTGGGACTTCAATTGAAACATCCCAAAGCAGTTTCTGAGAATGCTTCTGTGTAGAGTTTACATGAAGACATTCCCGTTTCCAACGAAATCCTCAAAGCTATCCAAATATCCTCTTGCAGATTTTACAAAAAGTGTGTTTCAGAACTGCTCTATCAAAACAAAGGTTCAACACTGTCAGTTGAGGGCACACATCACAAATAAGTTTCTGAGAATGCTTCTGTCTAGTTTTCATGGGAAGATATTTCCTTTTTCACCATAGGCCTGAAAGCGATCCAAATGTCCACATCCAGATACTACAAAAAGAGTGTTTCAAACCTGCTCTATGAAAGGGAATGTTCAACTCTGTGACTTGAATGCAAACATCACAAAGAAGTTTCTGAGAATGCTGCTGTCTGCTTTTTGTATGTAATCCCGTTTCCAACGAAATCCTCCCAGCTAGCCAAATATCCACTTGCAGATTCCGCAAAAAGAGTGTTTCAAAACTGCTCCTTCAAAACGATGGTTTAGTTCTGTTAGTTGAGTACATACATCACAGATAAGTTTCTGAGAATGCTTCTGTCTAGTTTTTATGGGAGGATATTTCCTTTTTCAACACAAGCCTGAATGCGCTCCGAATGGACACTTCCAGATATGACAAAAGGCGTGTTTCAAACCTGCTCTCTCAAAGGGAATGTTCAACTCTGTGACTTCAATGCAAACATCACAAAGAAGTTTCTGAGAATGCTGCTGTCTGCTTTTTACATGTATTCCCGTTTCCAACGAAATCCTCAAAGCTGCCCTAATATCCACTTGCATATTCCACAAAAAGAGTGTTGCAAAACTGCTCTCTCAAAAGAAAGGTTCAACTCTGTTAGCTGAGTAGATCCATCACATAAAAGTTTCTGACATTGCTTCTATCTAGATTTTATTGGAAGATATTTCCATTTTCACCGTCGTCCTGAAAGCGCTCCAAATGTCCACTTCCAGGGAATGCAGAAAGAGTGTTTCCAACCTGCTCTATAAAAGGGAATGTTCAACACTGGGACTTCAATCGAAACATCCCAACGAAGTTTCTGAGAATGCTTCTGTCTAGAGTTTATATGAAGCCATTCCCGTTTGCAACGAAATCCTCAAAGCTCTCCAAATATCCTCTTGCAGATTTTACAAAAAGAGTGTTTCAAAACTGCTCTATCAAAAGAAAGGTTCAACTCTGTTAGTTGAGGGCACACATCACAAATAAATTTCTGAGAATGCTTCTGTCTAGTTTTTACGGGAAGATATTTCCTTTTTCACCATACGCCTGAAAGCGCTCCAAATGTCCTCATCCAGATACTACAAAAAGAGTGTTTCAAACCTGCTCTATGAAAGGGAATGCTCAACTCTGTGACTTGAATGCAGACATCACAAAGAAGTTTCTGAGAATGCTGCTGTCTCCTTTTTATAGGTAATCCCGTTTCCAACGAAATCCTCAAAGCTAGCCAAATATCCACTTGCAGATTCCACGAAAACAGTGTTTCAAAACTGCTCCTTCAAAACGATGGTTCAATTCTGTTAGTTGAGCAAACACATCAGAAATAAGTTTCTGAGAATGCTTCCGTCTTGTTTTTATGGGAAGATATTTCCTTTTTCAACATAGGCCTGAAAGCGCTCCAAATGTCCACTTCCAGATACTACACAAAGAGTGTTTCAAATCTGCTCTATGAATGGGAATGTTCTACTCTGTGACTTGAATGCAACATCCCAAAGAAGTTTCTGAGAATGCTTCTGTCTAGAGTTTATCTGAAGACATACCCGTTTCCAACGAAACCCTCAAAGCTATCCACATATCCTCTTGCAGATTCTACAAAAAGAGTGTTTCAAAGCTGCTCTTTGCAAAGAAAGGTTCAACTCTGTCAGTAGAGGGCACACATCACGAACAAGTTTCTGAGAATGCTTCTGTCTAGTTTTTATGGGAAGATATTTCCTTTTTCACGTTAGGCCTGAAAGCACGCCAAATGTTCACTTATAGACACTACAAAAAGAGTGTTTCAAACCTGCTCTGTGAAAGGGAATGTTCAACACTGTGACTTCAATTGAAACATCCCAAAGAAGTTTCTGAGAATGCTTCTGTCTAGAGTTTATCTGAAGACATTCCCGTTTCCCAAGAAATCCTCAAAGCTATCCAAATATCCTCTTGCAGATTCTACAAAAAGAGTGTTTCAAAACTGCTCTTTGCAAAGAAAGGTTCAACTCTGTCAGTAGAGGGCACACATCACAAACAAGTTTCTGAGAATGCTTCTGTCTAGTTTTTATGGGAAGATATTTCCTTTTTCACCTTAGGCCTGAAAGCAATCCAAATGTTCACTTACAGACACTACAAAAAGAGTGTTTCAAACCTGCTCTGTGAAAGGGAGTGTTCAATTCTGTGACTTGAATGCAAACATCACAAAGTAGTTTCTGACAATGCTGCTGTCTGCTTTTTATACGTATTCCCGTTTCCAACGAAATCCTCCAAGCTGGCCTAATACCCACTTGCATATTCCACAAAAAGAGTGTTTCAAAACTGCTCTCTCAAAAGAAAGGTTCAACTCTGTTTGCTGAGTAGATACATCATGAAAAAAGTTCTGACATTGCTTCTATCTAGTTTTTATTGGAAGATATCTCCTTTTTCACCGTAGACCTGAAAGCGCTCCAAATGTCCACTTCCAGATAGTAGAAAAAGAGTGTTTCAAACCTGCTCTATGAATGGGAATGTTCAACACTGGGACTTCAATTGAAACATCCCAAAGCAGTTTCTGAGAATGCTTCTGTCTAGAGTTTACATGAAGACATTCCCGTTTCCAACGAAATCCTCAAAGCTATCCAAATATCCTCTTGCAGATTTTACAAAAAGTGTGTTTCAGAACTGCTCTATCAAAACAAAGGTTCAACACTGTCAGTTGAGTGCACACATCACAAATAAGTTTGCTGAGAATGCTTCTGTCTAGTTTTCATGGGAAGATATTTCCTTTTTCACCATAGGCCTGAAAGCGATCCAAATGTCCACATCCAGATACTACAAAAAGAGGGTTTCAAACCTGCTCTATGAAAGGGAATGTTCAACTCTGTGACTTGAATGTAAACATCACAAAGAAGTTTCTGAGAATGCTGCTGTCTGCTTTTTGTATGTAATCCCGTTTCCAACGAAATCCCCCAAGCTAGCCAAATATCCACTTGCAGATTCCGCAAAAAGAGTGTTTCAAAACTGCTCCTTCAAAACGATGGTTTAGTTCTGTTAGTTGAGTACATACATCACAAATAAGTTTCTGAGAATGCTTCTGTATAGTTTTTATGGGAGGATATTTCCTTTTTCAACACAAGCCTGAATGCGCTCCGAATGGACACTTCCAGATATGACAAAAGGCGTGTTTCAAACCTGCTCTCTCAAAGGGAATGTTCAACTCTGTGACTTCAATGCAAACATCACAAAGAAGTTTCTGAGAATGCTGCTGTCTGCTTTTTACATGTATTCCCGTTTCCAACGAAATCCTCAAAGCTGCCCTAATATCCACTTGCATATTCCACAAAAAGAGTGTTGCAAAACTGCTCTCTCAAAAGAAAGGTTCAACTCTGTTAGCTGAGTAGATCCATCACATAAAAGTTTCTGACGTTGCTTCTATCTAGATTTTCTTGGAAGATATTTCCATTTTCACCGTCGTCCTGAAAGCGCTCCAAATGTCCACTTCCAGGGAATGCAGAAAGAGTGTTTCCAACCTGCTCTATAAAAGGGAATGTTCAACACTGGGACTTCAATCGAAACATCCCAACGAAGTTTCTGAGAATGCTTCTGTCTAGAGTTTATATGAAGCCATTCCCGTTTGCAACGAAATCCTCAAAGCTATCCAAATATCCTCTTGCAGATTTTACAAAAAGAGTGTTTCAAAACTGCTCTATCAAAAGAAAAGTTCAACTCTGTTAGTTGAGGGCACACATCACAAATAAACTTCTGAGAATGCTTCTGTCTAGTTTTTACGGGAAGATATTTCCCTTTTCACCATTACGCCTGAAAGCGCTCCAAATGTCCTCATCCAGATACTACAAAAAGAGTGTTTCCAACCTGCTCTACGAAAGGGAATGCTCAACTCTGTGAATTGAATGCAGACATCACAAAGAAGTTTCTGAGAATGCTGCTGTCTCCTTTTTATATGTAATCCCGTTTCCAACGAAATCCTCAAAGCTAGCCAAATATCCACTTGCAGATTCCACGAAAACAGTGTTTCAAAACTGCTCCTTCAAAACGATGGTTCAATCCTGTTAGTTGAGCAAACACATCACAAATAAGTTTCTGAGAATGCTTCCGTCTAGTTTTTATGGGAAGATATTTCCTTTTTCAACATAGGCCTGAAAGCGCTCCAAATGTCCACTTCCAGATACTACAAAAAGAGTGTTTCAAATCTGCTCTATGAATGGGAATGTTCTACTCTGTGACTTGAATGCAACATCCCAAAGAAGTTTCTGAGAATGCTTCTGTCTAGAGTTTATCTGAAGACATTCCCGTTTCCCAAGAAATCCTCAAAGCTATCCAAATATCCTCTTGCACATTCTACAAAAAGAGTGTTTCAAAACTGCTCTTTGCAAAGAAAGGTTCAACTCTGTCAGTAGAGGGCACACATCACAAACAAGTTTCTGAGAATGCTTCTGTCTAGTTTTTATGGGAAGATATTTCCTTTTTCACGTTAGGCCTGAAAGCACGCCAAATGTTCACTTATAGACACTACAAAAAGAGTGTTTCAAACCTGCTCTGTGAAAGGGAATGTTCAACACTGTGACTTCAATTGAAACATCCCAAAGAAGTTTCTGAGAATGCTTCTGTCTAGAGTTTATCTGAAGACATTCCCGTTTCCCAAGAAATCCTCAAAGCTATCCAAATATCCTCTTGCAGATTCTACAAAAAGAGTGTTTCAAAACTGCTCTTTGCAAAGAAAGGTTCAACTCTGTCAGTAGAGGGCACACATCACAAACAAGTTTCTGAGAATGCTTCTGTCTAGTTTTTATGGGAAGATATTTCCTTTTTCACCTTAGGCCTGAAAGCAATCCAAATGTACACTTACAGACACTACAAAAAGAGTGTTTCAAACCTGCTCTGTGAAAGGGAGTGTTCAATTCTGTGACTTGAATGCAAACATCACAAAGTAGTTTCTGACAATGCTGCTGTCTGCTTTTTATACGTATTCCCGTTTCCAACGAAATCCTCCAAGCTGGCCTAATACCCACTTGCATATTCCACAAAAAGAGTGTTTCAAAACTGCTCTCTCAAA
Source organism: Homo sapiens (assembly GCF_000001405.40). NCBI lineage: Eukaryota > Metazoa > Chordata > Mammalia > Primates > Hominidae > Homo > Homo sapiens. The sequence goes on along the minus strand of NC_000020.11, from coordinate 26,751,506 downwards.
AGAAAGGTTCAACTCTGTTTGCTGAGTAGATACATCATGAAAAAAGTTCTGACATTGCTTCTATCTAGTTTTTATTGGAAGATATCTCCTTTTTCACCGTAGACCTGAAAGCGCTCCAAATGTCCACTTCCAGATAGTACAAAAAGAGTGTTTCAAACCTGCTCTATGAAAGGGAATGTTCAACACTGGGACTTCAATTGAAACATCCCAAAGCAGTTTCTGAGAATGCTTCTGTCTAGAGTTTACATGAAGACATTCCCGTTTCCAACGAAATCCTCAAAGCTATCCAAATATCCTCTTGCAGATTTTACAAAAAGTGTGTTTCAGAACTGCTCTATCAAAACAAAGGTTCAACACTGTCAGTTGAGGGCACACATCACAAATAAGTTTCTGAGAATGCTTCTGTCTAGTTTTCATGGGAAGATATTTCCTTTTTCACCATAGGCCTGAAAGCGATCCAAATGTCCACATCCAGATACTACAAAAAGAGGGTTTCAAACCTGCTCTATGAAAGGGAATGTTCAACTCTGTGACTTGAATGTAAACATCACAAAGAAGTTTCTGAGAATGCTGCTGTCTGCTTTTTGTATGTAATCCCGTTTCCAACGAAATCCCCCAAGCTAGCCAAATATCCACTTGCAGATTCCGCAAAAAGAGTGTTTCAAAACTGCTCCTTCAAAACGATGGTTTAGTTCTGTTAGTTGAGTACATACATCACAAATAAGTTTCTGAGAATGCTTCTGTCTAGTTTTTATGGGAGGATATTTCCTTTTTCAACACAAGCCTGAATGCGCTCCGAATGGACACTTCCAGATATGACAAAAGGCGTGTTTCAAACCTGCTCTCTCAAAGGGAATGTTCAACTCTGTGACTTCAATGCAAACATCACAAAGAAGTTTCTGAGAATGCTGCTGTCTGCTTTTTACATGTATTCCCGTTTCCAACGAAATCCTCAAAGCTGCCCTAATATCCACTTGCATATTCCACAAAAAGAGTGTTGCAAAACTGCTCTCTCAAAAGAAAGGTTCAACTCTGTTAGCTGAGTAGATCCATCACAGAAAAGTTTCTGACATTGCTTCTATCCAGATTTTATTGGAAGATATTTCCATTTTCACCGTCGTCCTGAAAGCGCTCCAAATGTCCACTTCCAGGGAATGCAGAAAGACTGTTTCCAACCTGCTCTATAAAAGGGAATGTTCAACACTGGGACTTCAATCGAAACATCCCAACGAAGTTTCTGAGAATGCTTCTGTCTAGAGTTTATATGAAGCCATTCCCGTTTGCAATGAAATCCTCAAAGCTATCCAAATATCCTCTTGCAGATTTTACAAAAAGAGTGTTTCAAAACTGCTCTATCAAAAGAAAGGTTCAACTCTGTTAGTTGAGGGCACACATCACAAATAAATTTCTGAGAATGCTTCTGTCTAGTTTTTACGGGAAGATATTTCCTTTTTCACCATACGCCTGAAAGCGCTCCAAATGTCCTCATCCAGATACTACAAAAAGAGTGTTTCCAACCTGCTCTATGAAAGGGAATGCTCAACTCTGTGAATTGAATGCAGACATCACAAAGAAGTTTCTGAGAATGCTGCTGTCTCCTTTTTATATGTAATCCCGTTTCCAACGAAATCCTCAAAGCTAGCCAAATATCCACTTGCAGATTCCACGAAAACAGTGTTTCAAAACTGCTCCTTTAAAACGATGGTTCAATTCTGTTAGTTGAGCAAACACATCACAAGTAAGTTTCTGAGAATGCTTCCGTCTAGTTTTTATGGGAAGATATTTCCTTTTTCAACATAGGCCTGAAAGCGCTCCAAATGTCCACTTCCAGATACTACAAAAAGAGTGTTTCAAATCTGCTCTATGAATGGGAATGTTCTACTCTGTGACTTGAATGCAACATCCCAAAGAAGTTTCTGAGAATGCTTCTGTCTAGAGTTTATCTGAAGACATACCCGTTTCCAACGAAATCCTCCAAGCTATCCAAATATCCTCTTGCAGATTCTACAAAAAGAGTGTTTCAAAGCTGCTCTTTGCAAAGAAAGGTTCAACTCTGTCAGTAGAGGGCACACATCATGAACAAGTTTCTGAGAATGCTTCTGTCTAGTTTTTATGGGAAGATATTTCCTTTTTCACGTTAGGCCTGAAAGCACGCCAAATGTTCACTTATAGACACTACAAAAAGAGTGTTTCAAACCTGCTCTGTGAAAGGGAATGTTCAACACTGTGACTTCAATTGAAACATCCCAAAGAAGTTTCTGAGAATGCTTCTGTCTAGAGTTTATCTGAAGACATACCCGTTTCCAACGAAATCCTCAAAGCTATCCACATATCCTCTTGCAGATTCTACAAAAAGAGTGTTTCAAAGCTGCTCTTTGCAAAGAAAGGTTCAACTCTGTCAGTAGAGGGCACACATCACGAACAAGTTTCTGAGAATGCTTCTGTCTAGTTTTTATGGGAAGATATTTCCTTTTTCACGTTAGGCCTGAAAGCACGCCAAATGTTCAATTATAGACACTACAAAAAGAGTGTTTCAAACCTGCTCTGTGAAAGGGAATGTTCAACACTGTGACTTCAATTGAAACATCTCAAAGAAGTTTCTGAGAATGCTTCTGTCTAGAGTTTATCTGAAGACATTCCCGTTTCCCAAGAAATCCTCAAAGCTATCCAAATATCCTCTTGCAGATTCTACAAAAAGAGTGTTTCAAAACTGCTCTTTGCAAAGAAAGGTTCAACTCTGTCAGTAGAGGGCACACATCACAAACAAGTTTCTGAGAATGCTTCTGTCTAGTTTTTATGGGAAGATATTTCCTTTTTCACCTTAGGCCTGAAAGCAATCCAAATGTTCACTTACAGACACTACAAAAAGAGTGTTTCAAACCTGCTCTGTGAAAGGGAGTGTTCAATTCTGTGACTTGAATGCAAACATCACAAAGCAGTTTCTGACAATGCTGCTGTCTGCTTTTTTTACGTATTCCCGTTTCCAACGAAATCCTCCAAGCTGGCCTAATACCCACTTGCATATTCCCCAAAAAGAGTGTTTCAAAACTGCTCTCTCAAAAGAAAGGTTCAACTCTGTTTGCTGAGTAGATACATCATGAAAAAAGTTCTGACATTGCTTCTATCTAGTTTTTATTGGAAGATATCTCCTTTTTCACCGTAGACCTGAAAGCGCTCCAAATGTCCACTTCCAGATAGTACAAAAAGAGTGTTTCAAACCTGCTCTATGAAAGGGAATGTTCAACACTGGGACTTCAATTGAAACATCCCAAAGCAGTTTCTGAGAATGCTTCTGTCTAGAGTTTACATGAAGACATTCCCGTTTCCAACGAAATCCTCAAAGCTATCCAAATATCCTCTTGCAGATTTTACAAAAAGTGTGTTTCAGAACTGCTCTATCAAAACAAAGGTTCAACACTGTCAGTTGAGGGCACACATCACAAATAAGTTTCTGAGAATGCTTCTGTCTAGTTTTCATGGGAAGATATTTCCTTTTTCACCATAGGCCTGAAAGCCATCCAAATGTCCACATCCAGATACTACAAAAAGAGTGTTTCCAACCTGCTCTATGAAAGGGAATGTTCAACTCTGTGACTTGAATGCAAACATCACAAAGAAGTTTCTGAGAATGCTGCTGTCTGCTTTTTGTATGTAATCCCGTTTCCAACGAAATCCTCCCAGCTAGCCAAATATCCACTTGCAGATTCCGCAAAAAGAGTGTTTCAAAACTGCTCCTTCAAAACGATGGTTTAGTTCTGTTAGTTGAGTACATACATCACAGATAAGTTTCTGAGAATGCTTCTGTCTAGTTTTTCTGGGAGGATATTTCCTTTTTCAACACAAGCCTGAATGCGCTCCGAATGGACACTTCCAGATATGACAAAAGGCGTGTTTCAAACCTGCTCTCTCAAAGGGAATGTTCAACTCTGTGACTTCAATGCAAACATCACAAAGAAGTTTCTGAGAATGCTGCTGTCTGCTTTTTACATGTATTCCCGTTTCCAACGAAATCCTCAAAGCTGCCCTAATATCCACTTGCATATTCCACAAAAAGAGTGTTGCAAAACTGCTCTCTCAAAAGAAAGGTTCAACTCTGTTAGCTGAGTAGATCCATCACAGAAAAGTTTCTGACATTGCTTCTATCCAGATTTTATTGGAAGATATTTCCATTTTCACCGTCGTCCTGAAAGCGCTCCAATTGTCCACTTCCAGGGAATGCAGAAAGAGTGTTTCCAACCTGCTCTATAAAAGGGAATGTTCAACACTGGGACTTCAATCGAAACATCCCAACGAAGTTTCTGAGAATGCTTCTGTCTAGAGTTTATATGAAGCCATTCCCGTTTGCAACGAAATCCTCAAAGCTATCCAAATATCCTCTTGCAGATTTTACAAAAAGAGTGTTTCAAAACTGCTCTATCAAAAGAAAGGTTCAACTCTGTTAGTTGAGGGCACACATCACAAATAAATTTCTGAGAATGCTTCTGTCTAGTTTTTACGGGAAGATATTTCCTTTTTCACCATACGCCTGAAAGCGCTCCAAATGTCCTCATCCAGATACTACAAAAAGAGTGTTTCCAACCTGCTCTATGAAAGGGAATGCTCAACTCTGTGACTTGAATGCAGACATCACAAAGAAGTTTCTGAGAATGCTGCTGTCTCCTTTTTATATGTAATCCCGTTTCCAACGAAATCCTCAAAGCTAGCCAAATATCCACTTGCAGATTCCACGAAAACAGTGTTTCAAAACTGCTCCTTCAAAACGATGGTTCAATTCTGTTAGTTGAGCAAACACAAGTAAGTTTCTGAGAATGCTTCCGTCTAGTTTTTATGGGAAGATATTTCCTTTTTCAACATAGGCCTGAAGCGCTCCAAATGTCCACTTCCAGATACTACAAAAAGAGTGTTTCAAATCTGCTCTATGAATGGGAATGTTCTACTCTGTGACTTGAATGCAACATCCCAAAGAAGTTTCTGAGAATGCTTCTGTCTAGAGTTTATCTGAAGACATACCCGTTTCCAACGAAATCCTCCAAGCTATCCAAATATCCTCTTGCAGATTCTACAAAAAGAGTGTTTCAAAGCTGCTCTTTGCAAAGAAAGGTTCAACTCTGTCAGTAGAGGGGACACATCAAGAACAAGTTTCTGAGAATGCTTCTGTCTAGTTTTTATGGGAAGAATATTTCCTTTTTCACGTTAGGCCTGAAAGCACGCCAAATGTTCACTTATAGACACTACAAAAAGAGTGTTTCAAACCTGCTCTGTGAAAGGGAATGTTCAACACTGTGACTTCAATTGAAACATCCCAAAGAAGTTTCTGAGAATGCTTCTGTCTAGAGTTTATCTGAAGACATTCCCGTTTCCCAAGAAATCCTCAAAGCTATCCAAATATCCTCTTGCAGATTCTACAAAAAGAGTGTTTCAAAACTGCTCTTTGCAAAGAAAGGTTCAACTCTGTCAGTAGAGGGCACACATCACAAACAAGTTTCTGAGAATGCTCTGTCTAGTTTTTATGGGAAGATATTTCCTTTTTCACCTTAGGCCTGAAAGCAATCCAAATGTTCACTTACAGACACTACAAAAAGAGTGTTTCAAACCTGCTCTGTGAAAGGGAGTGTTCAATTCTGTGACTTGAATGCAAACATCACAAAGTAGTTTCTGACAATGCTGGCTGTCTGCTTTTTATACGTATTCCCGTTTCCAACGAAATCCTCCAAGCTGGCCTAATACCCACTTGCATATTCCACAAAAATAGTGTTTCAAAACTGCTCCCTCAAAAGAAAGGTTCAACTCTGTTTGCTGAGTAGATACATCATGAAGAAAGTTCTGACATTGCTTCTATCTAGTTTTTATTGGAAGATATCTCCTTTTTCACCGTAGACCTGAAAGCGCTCCAAATGTCCACTTCCAGATAGTACAAAAAGAGTGTTTCAAACCTGCTCTATGAATGGGAATGTTCAACACTGGGACTTCAATTGAAACATCCCAAAGCAGTTTCTGAGAATGCTTCTGTCTAGAGTTTACATGAAGACATTCCCGTTTCCAACGAAATCCTCAAAGCTATCCAAATATCCTCTTGCAGATTTTACAAAAAGTGTGTTTCAGAACTGCTCTATCAAAACAAAGGTTCAACACTGTCAGTTGAGGGCACACATCACAAATAAGTTTCTGAGAATGCTTCTGTCTAGTTTTCATGGGAAGATATTTCCTTTTTCACCATAGGCCTGAAAGCGATCCAAATGTCCACATCCAGATACTACAAAAAGAGTGTTTCAAACCTGCTCTATGAAAGGGAATGTTCAACTCTGTGACTTGAATGCAAACATCACAAAGAAGTTTCTGAGAATGCTGCTGTCTGCTTTTTGTATGTAATCCCGTTTCCAACGAAATCCTCCCAGCTAGCCAAATATCCACTTGCAGATTCCGCAAAAAGAGTGTTTCAAAACTGCTCCTTCAAAACGATGGTTTAGTTCTGTTAGTTGAGTACATACATCACAGATAAGTTTCTGAGAATGCTTCTGTCTAGTTTTTATGGGAGGATATTTCCTTTTTCAACACAAGCCTGAATGCGCTCCGAATGGACACTTCCAGATATGACAAAAGGCGTGTTTCAAACCTGCTCTCTCAAAGGGAATGTTCAACTCTGTGACTTCAATGCAAACATCACAAAGAAGTTTCTGAGAATGCTGCTGTCTGCTTTTTACATGTATTCCCGTTTCCAACGAAATCCTCAAAGCTGCCCTAATATCCACTTGCATATTCCACAAAAAGAGTGTTGCAAAACTGCTCTCTCAAAAGAAAGGTTCAACTCTGTTAGCTGAGTAGATCCATCACATAAAAGTTTCTGACATTGCTTCTATCTAGATTTTCTTGGAAGATATTTCCATTTTCACCATCGTCCTGAAAGCGCTCCAAATGTCCACTTCCAGGGAATGCAGAAAGAGTGTTTCCAACCTGCTCTATAAAAGGGAATGTTCAACACTGGGACTTCAATCGAAACATCCCAACGAAGTTTCTGAGAATGCTTCTGTCTAGAGTTTATATGAAGCCATTCCCGTTTGCAACGAAATCCTCAAAGCTATCCAAATATCCTCTTGCAGATTTTACAAAAAGAGTGTTTCAAAACTGCTCTATCAAAAGAAAAGTTCAACTCTGTTAGTTGAGGGCACACATCACAAATAAATTTCTGAGAATGCTTCTGTCTAGTTTTTACGGGAAGATATTTCCTTTTTCACCATACGCCTGAAAGCGCTCCAAATGTCCTCATCCAGATACTACAAAAAGAGTGTTTCCAACCTGCTCTATGAAAGGGAATGCTCAACTCTGTGACTTGAATGCAGACATCACAAAGAAGTTTCTGAGAATGCTGCTGTCTCCTTTTTATATGTAATCCCGTTTCCAACGAAATCCTCAAAGCTAGCCAAATATCCACTTGCAGATTCCACGAAAACAGTGTTTCAAAACTGCTCCTTCAAAACGATGGTTCAATTCTGTTAGTTGAGCAAACACATCACAAGTAAGTTTCTGAGAATGCTTCCGTCTAGTTTTTATGGGAAGATATTTCCTTTTTCAACATAGGCCTGAAAGCGCTCCAAATGTCCACTTCCAGATACTACAAAAAGAGTGTTTCAAATCTGCTCTATGAATGGGAATGTTCTACTCTGTGACTTGAATGCAACATCCCAAAGAAGTTTCTGAGAATGCTTCTGTCTAGAGTTTATCTGAAGACATACCCGTTTCCAACGAAATCCTCAAAGCTATCCAAATATCCTCTTGCAGATTCTACAAAAAGAGTGTTTCAAAGCTGCTCTTTGCAAAGAAAGGTTCAACTCTGTCAGTAGAGGGCACACATCACGAACAAGTTTCTGAGAATGCTTCTGTCTAGTTTTTATGGGAAGATATTTCCTTTTTCACGTTACAACTGAAAGCACGCCAAATGTTCACTTATAGACACTACAAAAAGAGTGTTTCAAACCTGCTCTGTGAAAGGGAATGTTCAACACTGTGACTTCAATTGAAACATCCCAAAGAAGTTTCTGAGAATGCTTCTGTCTAGAGTTTATCTGAAGACATTCCCGTTTCCCAAGAAATCCTCAAAGCTATCCAAATATCCTCTTGCAGATTCTACAAAAAGAGTGTTTCAAAACTTCTCTTTGCAAAGAAAGGTTCAACTCTGTCAGTAGAGGGCACACATCACAAACAAGTTTCTGAGAATGCTTTCTGTCTAGTTTTTATGGGAAGATATTTCCTTTTTCACATAGGCCTGAAAGCAATCCAAATGTTCACTTACAGACACTACAAAAAGAGTGTTTCAAACCTGCTCTGTGAAAGGGAGTGTTCAATTCTGTGACTTGAATGCAAACATCACAAAGTAGTTTCTGACAATGCTGCTGTCTGCTTTTTATACGTATTCCCGTTTCCAACGAAATCCTCCAAGCTGGCCTAATACCCACTTGCATATTCCACAAAAAGAGTGTTTCAAAACTGCTCTCTCAAAAGAAAGGTTCAACTCTGTTTGCTGAGTAGATACATCATGAAAAAAGTTCTGACATTGCTTCTATCTAGTTTTTATTGGAAGATATCTCCTTTTTCACCGTAGACCTGAAAGCGCTCCAAATGTCCACTTCCAGATAGTACAAAAAGAGTGTTTCAAACCTGCTCTATGAATGGGAATGTTCAACACTGGGACTTCAATTGAAACATCCCAAAGCAGTTTCTGAGAATGCTTCTGTCTAGAGTTTACATGAAGACATTCCCGTTTCCAACGAAATCCTCAAAGCTATCCAAATATCCTCTTGCAGATTTTACAAAAAGTGTGTTTCAGAACTGCTCTATCAAAACAAAGGTTCAACACTGTCAGTTGAGGGCACACATCACAAATAAGTTTCTGAGAATGCTTCTGTCTAGTTTTCATGGGAAGATATTTCCTTTTTCACCATAGGCCTGAAAGCGATCCAAATGTCCACATCCAGATACTACAAAAAGAGTGTTTCAAACCTGCTCTATGAAAGGGAATGTTCAACTCTGTGACTTGAATGCAAACATCACAAAGAAGTTTTCTGAGAATGCTGGCTGTCTGCTTTTTGTATGTAATCCCGTTTCCAACGAAATCCTCCCAGCTAGCCAAATATCCACTTGCGGATTCCGCAAAAAGAGTGTTTCAAAACTGCTCCTTCAAAACGATGGTTTAGTTCTGTTAGTTGAGTACATACATCACAGATAAGTTTCTGAGAATGCTTCTGTCTAGTTTTTATGGGAGGATATTTCCTTTTTCAACACAAGCCTGAATGCGCTCCGAATGGACACTTCCAGATATGACAAAAGGCGTGTTTCAAACCTGCTCTCTCAAAGGGAATGTTCAACTCTGTGACTTCAATGCAAACATCACAAAGAAGTTTCTGAGAATGCTGCTGTCTGCTTTTTACATGTATTCCCGTTTCCAACGAAATCCTCAAAGCTGCCCTAATATCCACTTGCATATTCCACAAAAAGAGTGTTGCAAAACTGCTCTCTCAAAAGAAAGGTTCAACTCTGTTAGCTGAGTAGATCCATCACATAAAAGTTTCTGACGTTGCTTCTATCTAGATTTTCTTGGAAGATATTTCCATTTTCACCGTCGTCCTGAAAGCGCTCCAAATGTCCACTTCCAGGGAATGCAGAAAGAGTGTTTCCAACCTGCTCTATAAAAGGGAATGTTCAACACTGGGACTTCAATCGAAACATCCCAACGAAGTTTCTGAGAATGCTTCTGTCTAGAGTTTATATGAAGCCATTCCCGTTTGCAATGAAATCCTCAAAGCTATCCAAATATCCTCTTGCAGATTTTACAAAAAGAGTGTTTCAAAACTGCTCTATCAAAAGAAAGGTTCAACTCTGTTAGTTGAGGGCACACATCACAAATAAATTTCTGAGAATGCTTCTGTCTAGTTTTTACGGGAAGATATTTTCTTTTTCACCATACGCCTGAAAGCGCTCCAAATGTCCTCATCCAGATACTACAAAAAGAGTGTTTCCAACCTGCTCTATGAAAGGGAATGCTCAACTCTGTGATTTGAATGCAGACATCACAAAGAAGTTTCTGAGAATGCTGCTGTCTCCTTTTTATATGTAATCCCGTTTCCAACGAAATCCTCAAAGCTAGCCAAATATCCACTTGCAGATTCCACGAAAACAGTGTTTCAAAACTGCTCCTTCAAAACGATGGTTCAATCCTGTTAGTTGAGCAAACACATCACAAATAAGTTTCTGAGAATGCTTCCGTCTAGTTTTTATGGGAAGATATTTCCTTTTTCAACATAGGCCTGAAAGCGCTCCAAATGTCCACTTCCAGATACTACAAAAAGAGTGTTTCAAATCTGCTCTATGAATGGGAATGTTCTACTCTGTGACTTGAATGCAACATCCCAAAGAAGTTTCTGAGAATGCTTCTGTCTAGAGTTTATCTGAAGACATACCCGTTTACAACGAAATCCTCCAAGCTATCCAAATATCCTCTTGCAGATTCTACAGAAAGAGTGTTTCAAAGCTGCTCTTTGCAAAGAAAGGTTCAACTCTGTCAGTAGAGGGCACACATCACGAACAAGTTTCTGAGAATGCTTCTGTCTAGTTTTTATGGGAAGATATTTCCTTTTTCACGTTAGGCCTGAAAGCACGCCAAATGTTCACTTATAGACACTACAAAAAGAGTGTTTCAAACCTGCTCTGTGAAAGGGAATGTTCAACACTGTGACTTCAATTGAAACATCCCAAAGAAGTTTCTGAGAATGCTTCTGTCTAGAGTTTATCTGAAGACATTCCCGTTTCCCAAGAAATCCTCAAAGCTATCCAAATATCCTCTTGCAGATTCTACAAAAAGAGTGTTTCAAAACTGGTCTTTGCAAAGAAAGGTTCAACTCTGTCAGTAGAGGGCACACATCACAAACAAGTTTCTGAGAATGCTTCTGTCTAGTTTTTATGGGAAGATATTTCCTTTTTCACCTTAGGCCTGAAAGCAATCCAAATGTTCACTTACAGACACTACAAAAAGAGTGTTTCAAACCTGTTCTGTGAAAGGGAGTGTTCAATTCTGTGACTTGAATGTAAACATCACAAAGTAGTTTCTGACAATGCTGCTGTCTGCTTTTTATACGTATTCCCGTTTCCAACGAAATCCTCCAAGCTGGCCTAATACCCACTTGCATATTCCACAAAAAGAGTGTTTCAAAACTGCTCTCTCAAAAGAAAGGTTCAACTCTGTTTGCTGAGTAGATACATCATGAAAAAAGTTCTGACATTGCTTCTATCTAGTTTTTATTGGAAGATATCTCCTTTTTCACCTTAGACCTGAAAGCGCTCCAAATGTCCACTTCCAGATAGTACAAAAAGAGTGTTTCAAACCTGCTCTATGAAAGGGAATGTTCAACACTGGGACTTCAATTGAAACATCCCAAAGCAGTTTCTGAGAATGCTTCTGTCTAGAAGTTTACATGAAGACATTCCCGTTTCCAACGAAATCCTCAAAGCTATCCAAATATCCTCTTGCAGATTTTACAAAAAGTGTGTTTCAGAACTGCTCTATCAAAACAAAGGTTCAACACTGTCAGTTGAGGGCACACATCACAAATAAGTTTCTGAGAATGCTTCTGTCTAGTTTTCATGGGAAGATATTTCCTTTTTCACCATAGGCCTGAAAGCGATCCAAATGTCCACATCCAGATACTACAAAAAGAGTGTTTCAAACCTGCTCTATGAAAGGGAATGTTCAACTCTGTGACTTGAATGCAAACATCACAAAGAAGTTTCTGAGAATGCTGCTGTCTGCTTTTTGTATGTAATCCCGTTTCCAACGAAATCCTCCCAGCTAGCCAAATATCCACTTGCAGATTCCGCAAAAAGAGTGTTTCAAAACTGCTCCTTCAAAACGATGGTTTAGTTCTGTTAGTTGAGTACATACATCACAGATAAGTTTCTGAGAATGCTTCTGTCTAGTTTTTATGGGAGGATATTTCCTTTTTCAACACAAGCCTGAATGCGCTCCGAATGGACACTTCCAGATATGACAAAAGGCGTGTTTCAAACCTGCTCTCTCAAAGGGAATGTTCAACTCTGTGACTTCAATGCAAACATCACAAAGAAGTTTCTGAGAATGCTGCTGTCTGCTTTTTACATGTATTCCCGTTTCCAACGAAATCCTCAAAGCTGCCCTAATATCCACTTGCATATTCCACAAAAAGAGTGTTGCAAAACTGCTCTCTCAAAAGAAAGGTTCAACTCTGTTAGCTGAGTAGATCCATCACAGAAAAGTTTCTGACGGTTGCTCTATCCAGATTTTATTGGAAGATATTTCCATTTTCACCGTCGTCCTGAAAGCGCTCCAATTGTCCACTTCCAGGGAATGCAGAAAGAGTGTTTCCAACCTGCTCTATAAAAGGGAATGTTCAACACTGGGACTTCAATCGAAACATCCCGACGAAGTTTCTGAGAATGCTTTCTGTCTAGAGTTTATATGAAGCCATTCCCGTTTGCAACGAAATCCTCAATGCTATCCAAATATCCTCTTGCAGATTTTACAAAAAGAGTGTTTCAAAACTGCTCTATCAAAAGAAAGGTTCAACTCTGTTAGTTGAGGGCACACATCACAAATAAATTTCTGAGAATGCTTCTGTCTAGTTTTTACGGGAAGATATTTCCTTTTTCACCATAGGCCTGAAAGCGCTCCAAATGTCCTCATCCAGATACTACAAAAAGAGTGTTTCCAACCTGCTCTATGAAAGGGAATGCTCAACTCTGTGACTTGAATGCAGACATCACAAAGAAGTTTCTGAGAATGCTGCTGTCTCCTTTGTATATGTAATCCCGTTTCCAACGAAATCCTCAAAGCTAGCCAAATATCCACTTGCAGATTCCACGAAAACAGTGTTTCAAAACTGCTCCTTCAAAACGATGGTTCAATTCTGTTAGTTGAGCAAACACATCACAAGTAAGTTTCTGAGAATGCTTCCGTCTAGTTTTTATGGGAAGATATTTCCTTTTTCAACATAGGCCTGAAAGCGCTCCAAATGTCCACTTCCAGATACTACAAAAAGAGTGTTTCAAATCTGCTCTATGAATGGGAATGTTCTACTCTGTGACTTGAATGCAACATCCCAAAGAAGTTTCTGAGAATGCTTCTGTCTAGAGTTTATCTGAAGACATACCCGTTTCCAACGAAATCCTCAAAGCTATCCAAATATCCTCTTGCAGGTTCTACAAAAAGTGTGTTTCAAAGCTGCTCTTTGCAAAGAAAGGTTCAACTCTGTCAGTAGAGGGCACACATCACGAACAAGTTTCTGAGAATGCTTCTGTCTAGTTTTTATGGGAAGATATTTCCTTTTTCACGTTAGGCCTGAAAGCACGCCAAATGTTCACTTATAGACACTACAAAAAGAGTGTTTCAAACCTGCTCTGTGAAAGGGAATGTTCAACACTGTGACTTCAATTGAAACATCCCAAAGAAGTTTCTGAGAATGCTTCTGTCTAGAGTTTATCTGAAGACATACCCGTTTCCAACGAAATCCTCAAAGCTATCCACATATCCTCTTGCAGATTCTACAAAAAGAGTGTTTCAAAGCTGCTCTTTGCAAAGAAAGGTTCAACTCTGTCAGTAGAGGGCACACATCACGAACAAGTTTCTGAGAATGCTTCTGTCTAGTTTTTATGGGAAGATATTTCCTTTTTCACCTTAGGCCTGAAAGCACGCCAAATGTTCAATTATAGACACTACAAAAAGAGTGTTTCAAACCTGCTCTGTGAAAGGGAATGTTCAACACTGTGACTTCAATTGAAACATCTCAAAGAAGTTTCTGAGAATGCTTCTGTCTAGAGTTTATCTGAAGACATTCCCGTTTCCCAAGAAATCCTCAAAGCTATCCAAATATCCTCTTGCAGATTCTACAAAAAGAGTGTTTCAAAACTGCTCTTTGCAAAGAAAGGTTCAACTCTGTCAGTAGAGGGCACACATCACAAACAAGTTTCTGAGAATGCTTCTGTCTAGTTTTTATGGGAAGATATTTCCTTTTTCACCTTAGGCCTGAAAGCAATCCAAATGTTCACTTACAGACACTACAAAAAGAGTGTTTCAAACCTGCTCTGTGAAAGGGAGTGTTCAGTTCTGTGACTTGAATGCAAACATCACAAAGTAGTTTCTGACAATGCTGCTGTCTGCTTTTTATACGTATTCCCGTTTCCAACGAAATCCTCCAAGCTGGCCTAATACCCACTTTCATATTCCACAAAAAGAGTGTTTCAAAACTGCTCTCTCAAAAGAAAGGTTCAACTCTGTTTGCTGAGTAGATACATCATGAAAAATGTTCTGACATTGCTTCTATCTAGTTTTTATTGGAAGATATCTCCTTTTTCACCGTAGACCTGAAAGCGCTCCAAATGTCCACTTCCAGATAGTACAAAAAGAGTGTTTCAAACCTGCTCTATGAATGGGAATGTTCAACACTGGGACTTCAATTGAAACATCCCAAAGCAGTTTCTGAGAATGCTTCTGTCCAGAGTTTACATGAAGACATTCCCGTTTCCAACGAAATCCTCAAAGCTATCCAAATATCCTCTTGCAGATTTTACAAAAAGTGTGTTTCAGAACTGCTCTATCAAAACAAAGGTTCAACACTGTCAGTTGAGGGCACACATCGCAAATAAGTTTCTGAGAATGCTTCTGTCTAGTTTTCATGGGAAGATATTTCCTTTTTCACCATAGGCCTGAAAGCGATCCAAATGTCCACATCCAGATACTACAAAAAGAGTGTTTCAAACCTGCTCTATGAAAGGGAATGTTCAACTCTGTGACTTGAATGCAAACATCACAAAGAAGTTTCTGAGAATGCTGCTGTCTGCTTTTTGTATGTAATCCCGTTTCCAACGAAATCCTCCCAGCTAGCCAAATATCCACTTGCAGATTCCGCAAAAGGAGTGTTTCAAAACTGCTCCTTCAAAACGATGGTTTAGTTCTGTTAGTTGAGTACATACATCACAGATAAGTTTCTGAGAATGCTTCTGTCTAGTTTTTATGGGAGGATATTTCCTTTTTCAACACAAGCCTGAATGCGCTCCGAATGGACACTTCCAGATATGACAAAAGGCGTGTTTCAAACCTGCTCTCTCAAAGGGAATGTTCAACTCTGTGACTTCAATGCAAACATCACAAAGAAGTTTCTGAGAATGCTGCTGTCTGCTTTTTACATGTATTCCCGTTTCCAACGAAATCCTCAAAGCTGCCCTAATATCCACTTGCATATTCCACAAAAAGAGTGTTGCAAAACTGCTCTCTCAAAAGAAAGGTTCAACTCTGTTAGCTGAGTAGATCCATCACATAAAAGTTTCTGACATTGCTTCTATCTAGATTTTCTTGGAAGATATTTCCATTTTCACCGTCGTCCTGAAAGCGCTCCAAATGTCCACTTCCAGGGAATGCAGAAAGAGTGTTTCCAACCTGCTCTATAAAAGGGAATGTTCAACACTGGGACTTCAATCGAAACATCCCAACGAAGTTTCTGAGAATGCTTCTGTCTAGAGTTTATATGAAGCCATTCCCGTTTGCAACGAAATCCTCAAAGCTATCCAAATATCCTCTTGCAGATTTTACAAAAAGAGTGTTTCAAAACTGCTCTATCAAAAGAAAGGTTCAACTCTGTTAGTTGAGGGCACACATCACAAATAAACTTCTGAGAATGCTTCTGTCTAGTTTTTACGGGAAGATATTTCCTTTTTCACCATACGCCTGAAAGCGCTCCAAATGTCCTCATCCAGATACTACAAAAAGAGTGTTTCCAACCTGCTCTATGAAAGGGAATGCTCAACTCTGTGAATTGAATGCAGACATCACAAAGAAGTTTCTGAGAATGCTGCTGTCTCCTTTTTATATGTAATCCCGTTTCCAACGAAATCCTCAAAGCTAGCCAAATATCCACTTGCAGATTCCACGAAAACAGTGTTTCAAAACTGCTCCTTCAAAACGATGGTTCAATCCTGTTAGTTGAGCAAACACATCACAAATAAGTTTCTGAGAATGCTTCCGTCTAGTTTTTATGGGAAGATATTTCCTTTTTCAACATAGGCCTGAAAGCGCTCCAAATGTCCACTTCCAGATACTACAAAAAGAGTGTTTCAAATCTGCTCTATGAATGGGAATGTTCTACTCTGTGACTTGAATGCAACATCCCAAAGAAGTTTCTGAGAATGCTTCTGTCTAGAGTTTATCTGAAGACATACCCGTTTCCAACGAAATCCTCCAAGCTATCCAAATATCCTCTTGCAGATTCTACAGAAAGAGTGTTTCAAAGCTGCTCTTTGCAAAGAAAGGTTCAACTCTGTCAGTAGAGGGCACACATCACGAACAAGTTTCTGAGAATGCTTCTGTCTAGTTTTTATGGGAAGATATTTCCTTTTTCACGTTAGGCCTGAAAGCACGCCAAATGTTCACTTATAGACACTACAAAAAGAGTGTTTCAAACCTGCTCTGTGAAAGGGAATGTTCAACACTGTGACTTCAATTGAAACATCCCAAAGAAGTTTCTGAGAATGCTTCTGTCTAGAGTTTATCTGAAGACATTCCCGTTTCCCAAGAAATCCTCAAAGCTATCCAAATATCCTCTTGCAGATTCTACAAAAAGAGTGTTTCAAAACTGCTCTTTGCAAAGAAAGGTTCAACTCTGTCAGTAGAGGGCACACATCACAAACAAGTTTCTGAGAATGCTTCTGTCTAGTTTTTATGGGAAGATATTTCCTTTTTCACCTTAGGCCTGAAAGCAATCCAAATGTTCACTTACAGACACTACAAAAAGAGTGTTTCAAACCTGCTCTGTGAAAGGGAGTGTTCAATTCTGTGACTTGAATGCAAACATCACAAAGTAGTTTCTGACAATGCTGCTGTCTGCTTTTTATACGTATTCCCGTTTCCAACGAAATCCTCCAAGCTGGCCTAATACCCACTTGCATATTCCACAAAAAGAGTGTTTCAAAACTGCTCTCTCAAAAGAAAGGTTCAACTCTGTTTGCTGAGTAGATACATCATGAAAAAAGTTCTGACATTGCTTCTATCTAGTTTTTATTGGAAGATATCTCCTTTTTCACCGTAGACCTGAAAGCGCTCCAAATGTCCACTTCCAGATAGTACAAAAAGAGTGTTTCAAACCTGCTCTATGAAAGGGAATATTCAACACTGGGACTTCAATTGAAACATCCCAAAGCAGTTTCTGAGAATGCTTCTGTCCAGAGTTTACATGAAGACATTCCCGTTTCCAACGAAATCCTCAAAGCTATCCAAATATCCTCTTGCAGATTTTACAAAAAGTGTGTTTCAGAACTGCTCTATCAAAACAAAGGTTCAACACTGTCAGTTGAGTGCACACATCACAAATAAGTTTCTGAGAATGCTGCTGTCTGCTTTTTGTATGTAATCCCGTTTCCAACGAAATCCTCCCAGCTAGCCAAATATCCACTTGCAGATTCCGCAAAAAGAGTGTTTCAAAACTGCCCTTCAAAACGATGGTTTAGTTCTGTTAGTTGAGTACATACATCACAGTTAAGTTTCTGAGAATGCTGCTGTCTGCTTTTTGTATGTAATCCCGTTTCCAACGAAATCCTCCCAGCTAGCCAAATATCCACTTGCAGATTCCGCAAAAAGAGTGTTTCAAAACTGCTCCTTCAAAACGATGGTTTAGTTCTGTTAGTTGAGTACATACATCACAGATAAGTTTCTGAGAATGCTTCTGTCTAGTTTTTATGGGAGGATATTTCCTTTTTCAACACAAGCCTGAATGCGCTCCGAATGGACACTTCCAGATATGACAAAAGGCGTGTTTCAAACCTGCTCTCTCAAAGGGAATGTTCAACTCTGTGACTTCAATGCAAACATCACAAAGAAGTTTCTGAGAATGCTGCTGTCTGCTTTTTACATGTATTCCCGTTTCCAACGAAATCCTCAAAGCTGCCCTAATATCCACTTGCATATTCCACAAAAAGAGTGTTGCAAAACTGCTCTCTCAAAAGAAAGGTTCAACTCTGTTAGCTGAGTAGATCCATCACAGAAAAGTTTCTGACGTTGCTTCTATCTAGATTTTCTTGGAAGATATTTCCATTTTCACCGTCGTCCTGAAAGCGCTCCAAATGTCCACTTCCAGGGAATGCAGAAAGAGTGTTTCCAACCTGCTCTATAAAAGGGAATGTTCAACACTGGGACTTCAATCGAAACATCCCAACGAAGTTTCTGAGAATGCTTCTGTCTAGAGTTTATATGAAGCCATTCCCGTTTGCAACGAAATCCTCAAAGCTATCCAAATATCCTCTTGCAGATTTTACAAAAAGAGTGTTTCAAAACTGCTCTATCAAAAGAAAGGTTCAACTCTGTTAGTTGAGGGCACACATCACAAATAAATTTCTGAGAATGCTTCTGTCTAGTTTTTACGGGAAGATATTTCCTTTTTCACCATACGCCTGAAAGCGCTCCAAATGTCCTCATCCAGATACTACAAAAAGAGTGTTTCCAACCTGCTCTATGAAAGGGAATGCTCAACTCTGTGACTTGAATGCAGACATCACAAAGAAGTTTCTGAGAATGCTGCTGTCTCCTTTGTACATGTAATCCCGTTTCCAACGAAATCCTCAAAGCTAGCCAAATATCCACTTGCAGATTCCACGAAAACAGTGTTTCAAAACTGCTCCTTCAAAACGATGGTTCAATTCTGTTAGTTGAGCAAACACATCACAAGTAAGTTTCTGAGAATGCTTCCGTCTAGTTTTTATGGGAAGATATTTCCTTTTTCAACATAGGCCTGAAAGCGCTCCAAATGTCCACTTCCAGATACTACAAAAAGAGTGTTTCAAATCTGCTCTATGAATGGGAATGTTCTACTCTGTGACTTGAATGCAACATCCCAAAGAAGTTTCTGAGAATGCTTCTGTCTAGAGTTTATCTGAAGACATACCCGTTTCCAACGAAATCCTCCAAGCTATCCAAATATCCTCTTGCAGATTCTACAAAAAGAGTGTTTCAAAGCTGTTCTTTGCAAAGAAAGGTTCAACTCTGTCAGTAGAGGGGACACATCAAGAACAAGTTTCTGAGAATGCTTCTGTCTAGTTTTTATGGGAAGATATTTCCTTTTTCACGTTACGCCTGAAAGCACGCCAAATGTTCACTTATAGACACTACAAAAAGAGTGTTTCAA
Source organism: Homo sapiens (assembly GCF_000001405.40). Lineage (NCBI taxonomy): Eukaryota > Metazoa > Chordata > Mammalia > Primates > Hominidae > Homo > Homo sapiens. Next base: position 26,732,319 of record NC_000020.11, on the reverse strand, counting down.
ACCTGCTCTGTGAAAGGGAATGTTCAACACTGACTTCAATTGAAACATCCCAAAGAAGTTTCTGAGAATGCTTCTGTCTAGAGTTTATCTGAAGACATTCCCGTTTCCCAAGAAATCCTCAAAGCTATCCAAATATCCTCTTGCAGATTCTACAAAAAGAGTGTTTCAAAACTGCTCTTTGCAAAGAAAGTTTCAACTCTGTCAGTAGAGGGCACACATCACAAACAAGTTTCTGAGAATGCTTCTGTCTAGTTTTTATGGGAAGATATTTCCTTTTTCACCTTAGGCCTGAAAGCAATCCAAATGTTCACTTACAGACACTACAAAAAGAGTGTTTCAAACCTGCTCTGTGAAAGGGAGTGTTCAATTCTGTGACTTGAATGCAAACATCACAAAGTAGTTTCTGACAATGCTGCTGTCTGCTTTTTATACGTATTCCCGTTTCCAACGAAATCCTCCAAGCTGGCCTAATACCCACTTGCATATTCCACAAAAAGAGTGTTTCAAAACTGCTCTCTCAAAAGAAAGGTTCAACTCTGTTTGCTGAGTAGATACATCATGAAAAAAGTTCTGACATTGCTTCTATCTAGTTTTTATTGGAAGATATCTCCTTTTTCACCGTAGACCTGAAAGCGCTCCAAATGTCCACTTCCAGATAGTACAAAAAGAGTGTTTCAAACCTGCTCTATGAAAGGGAATGTTCAACACTGGGACTTCAATTGAAACATCCCAAAGCAGTTTCTGAGAATGCTTCTGTCCAGAGTTTACATGAAGACATTCCCGTTTCCAACGAAATCCTCAAAGCTATCCAAATATCCTCTTGCAGATTTTACAAAAAGTGTGTTTCAGAACTGCTCTATCAAAACAAAGGTTCAACACTGTCAGTTGACGGCACACATCGCAAATAAGTTTCTGAGAATGCTGCTGTCTGCTTTTTGTATGTAATCCCGTTTCCAACGAAATCCTCCCAGCTAGCCAAATATCCACTTGCAGATTCCGCAAAAAGAGTGTTTCAAAACTGCTCCTTCAAAACGGATGGTTTAGTTCTGTTAGTTGAGTACATACATCACAGATAAGTTTCTGAGAATGCTTCTGTCTAGTTTTTATGGGAGGATATTTCCTTTTTCAACACAAGCCTGAATGCGCTCCGAATGGACACTTCCAGATATGACAAAAGGCGTGTTTCAAACCTGCTCTCTCAAAGGGAATGTTCAACTCTGTGACTTCAATGCAAACATCACAAAGAAGTTTCTGAGAATGCTGCTGTCTGCTTTTTACATGTATTCCCGTTTCCAACGAAATCCTCAAAGCTGCCCTAATATCCACTTGCATATTCCACAAAAAGAGTGTTGCAAAACTGCTCTCTCAAAAGAAAGGTTCAACTCTGTTAGCTGAGTAGATCCATCACAGAAAAGTTTCTGACGTTGCTCTATCCAGATTTTATTGGAAGATATTTCCATTTTCACCGTCGTCCTGAAAGCGCTCCAATTGTCCACTTCCAGGGAATGCAGAAAGAGTGTTTCCAACCTGCTCTATAAAAGGGAATGTTCAACACTGGGACTTCAATCGAAACATCCCGACGAAGTTTCTGAGAATGCTTTCTGTCTAGAGTTTATATGAAGCCATTCCCGTTTGCAACGAAATCCTCAAAGCTATCCAAATATCCTCTTGCAGATTTTACAAAAAGAGTGTTTCAAAACTGCTCTATCAAAAGAAAGGTTCAACTCTGTTAGTTGAGGGCACACATCACAAATAAATTTCTGAGAATGCTTCTGTCTAGTTTTTACGGGAAGATATTTCCTTTTTCACCATACGCCTGAAAGCGCTCCAAATGTCCTCATCCAGATACTACAAAAAGAGTGTTTCCAACCTTCTCTATGAAAGGGAATGCTCAACTCTGTGACTTGAATGCAGACATCACAAAGAAGTTTCTGAGAATGCTGCTGTCTCCTTTTTATATGTAATCCCGTTTCCAACGAAATCCTCAAAGCTAGCCAAATATCCACTTGCAGATTCCACGAAAACAGTGTTTCAAAACTGCTCCTTCAAAACGATGGTTCAATTCTGTTAGTTGAGCAAACACATCACAAGTAAGTTTCTGAGAATGCTTCCGTCTAGTTTTTATGGGAAGATATTTCCTTTTTCAACATAGGCCTGAAAGCGCTCCAAATGTCCACTTCCAGATACTACAAAAAGAGTGTTTCAAATCTGCTCTATGAATGGGAATGTTCTACTCTGTGACTTGAATGCAACATCCCAAAGAAGTTTCTGAGAATGCTTCTGTCTAGAGTTTATCTGAAGACATACCCGTTTCCAACGAAATCCTCCAAGCTATCCAAATATCCTCTTGCAGATTCTACAAAAAGAGTGTTTCAAAGCTGCTCTTTGCAAAGAAAGGTTCAACTCTGTCAGTAGAGGGCACACATCATGAACAAGTTTCTGAGAATGCTTCTGTCTAGTTTTTATGGGAAGATATTTCCTTTTTCACGTTAGGCCTGAAAGCACGCCAAATGTTCACTTATAGACACTACAAAAAGAGTGTTTCAAACCTGCTCTGTGAAAGGGAATGTTCAACACTGTGACTTCAATTGAAACATCCCAAAGAAGTTTCTGAGAATGCTTCTGTCTAGAGTTTATCTGAAGACATACCCGTTTCCAACGAAATCCTCAAAGCTATCCACATATCCTCTTGCAGATTCTACAAAAAGAGTGTTTCAAAGCTGCTCTTTGCAAAGAAAGGTTCAACTCTGTCAGTAGAGGGCACACATCACAAACAAGTTTCTGAGAATGCTTCTGTCTAGTTTTTATGGGAAGATATTTCCTTTTTCACCTTAGGCCTGAAAGCAATCCAAATGTTCACTTACAGACACTACAAAAAGAGTGTTTCAAACCTGCTCTGTGAAAGGGAGTGTTCAGTTCTGTGACTTGAATGCAAACATCACAAAGTAGTTTCTGACAATGCTGCTGTCTGCTTTTTATACGTATTCCCGTTTCCAACGAAATCCTCCAAGCTGGCCTAATACCCACTTTCATATTCCACAAAAAGAGTGTTTCAAAACTGCTCTCTCAAAAGAAAGGTTCAACTCTGTTTGCTGAGTAGATACATCATGAAAAAAGTTCTGACATTGCTTCTATCTAGTTTTTATTGGAAGATATCTCCTTTTTCACCGTAGACCTGAAAGCGCTCCAAATGTCCACTTCCAGATAGTACAAAAAGAGTATTTCAAACCTGCTCTATGAAAGCGAATGTTCAACACTGGGACTTCAATTGAAACATCCCAAAGCAGTTTCTGAGAATGCTTCTGTCTAGAGTTTACATGAAGACATTCCCGTTTCCAACGAAATCCTCAAAGCTATCCAAATATCCTCTTGCAGATTTTACAAAAAGTGTGTTTCAGAACTGCTCTATCAAAACAAAGGTTCAACACTGTCAGTTGAGGGCACACATCACAAATAAGTTTCTGAGAATGCTTCTGTCTAGTTTTCATGGGAAGATATTTCCTTTTTCACCATAGGCCTGAAAGCGATCCAAATGTCCACATCCAGATACTACAAAAAGAGTGTTTCAAACCTGCTCTATGAAAGGGAATGTTCAACTCTGTGACTTGAATGCAAACATCACAAAGAAGTTTCTGAGAATGCTGCTGTCTGCTTTTTGTATGTAATCCCGTTTCCAACGAAATCCTCCCAGCTAGCCAAATATCCACTTGCAGATTCCGCAAAAAGAGTGTTTCAAAACTGCTCCTTCAAAACGATGGTTTAGTTCTGTTAGTTGAGTACATACATCACAGATAAGTTTCTGAGAATGCTTCCGTCCTAGTTTTTATGGGAGGATATTTCCTTTTTCAACACAAGCCTGAATGCGCTCCGAATGGACACTTCCAGATATGACAAAAGGCGTGTTTCAAACCTGCTCTCTCAAAGGGAATGTTCAACTCTGTGACTTCAATGCAAACATCACAAAGAAGTTTCTGAGAATGCTGCTGTCTGCTTTTTACATGTATTCCCGTTTCCAACGAAATCCTCAAAGCTGCCCTAATATCCACTTGCATATTCCACAAAAAGAGTGTTGCAAAACTGCTCTCTCAAAAGAAAGGTTCAACTCTGTTAGCTGAGTAGATCCATCACATAAAAGTTTCTGACGTTGCTTCTATCTAGATTTTCTTGGAAGATATTTCCATTTTCACCGTCGTCCTGAAAGCGCTCCAAATGTCCACTTCCAGGGAATGCAGAAAGAGTGTTTCCAACCTGCTCTATAAAAGGGAATGTTCAACACTGGGACTTCAATCGAAACATCCCAACGAAGTTTCTGAGAATGCTTCTGTCTAGAGTTTATATGAAGCCATTCCCGTTTGCAACGAAATCCTCAAAGCCATCCAAATATCCTCTTGCAGATTTTACAAAAAGAGTGTTTCAAAACTGCTCTATCAAAAGAAAGGTTCAACTCTGTTAGTTGAGGGCACACATCACAAATAAATTTCTGAGAATGCTTCTGTCTAGTTTTTACGGGAAGATATTTCCTTTTTCACCATACGCCTGAAAGCGCTCCAAATGTCCTCATCCAGATACTACAAAAAGAGTGTTTCAAACCTGCTCTATGAAAGGCAATGATCAACTCTGTGACTTGAATGCAGACATCACAAAGAAGTTTCTGAGAATGCTGCTGTCTCCTTTTTATATGTAATCCCGTTTCCAACGAAATCCTCAAAGCTAGCCAAATATCCACTTGCAGATTCCACGAAAACAGTGTTTCAAAACTGCTCCTTCAAAACGATGGTTCAATTCTGTTAGTTGAGCAAACACATCACAAGTAAGTTTCTGAGAATGCTTCCGTCTAGTTTTTATGGGAAGATATTTCCTTTTTCAACATAGGCCTGAAAGCGCTCCAAATGTCCACTTCCAGATACTACAAAAAGAGTGTTTCAAATCTGCTCTATGAATGGGAATGTTCTACTCTGTGACTTGAATGCAACATCCCAAAGAAGTTTCTGAGAATGCTTCTGTCTAGAGTTTATCTGAAGACATACCCGTTTCCAACGAAATCCTCAAAGCTATCCAAATATCCTCTTGCAGATTCTACAAAAAGAGTGTTTCAAAGCTGCTCTTTGCAAAGAAAGGTTCAACTCTGTCAGTAGAGGGCACACATCACGAACAAGTTTCTGAGAATGCTTCTGTCTGGTTTTTATGGGAAGATATTTCCTTTTTCACGTTACGCCTGAAAGCACGCCAAATGTTCACTTATAGACACTACAAAAAGAGTGTTTCAAACCTGCTCTGTGAAAGGGAATGTTCAACACTGTGACTTCAATTGAAACATCCCAAAGAAGTTTCTGAGAATGCTTCTGTCTAGAGTTTATCTGAAGACATTCCCGTTTCCCAAGAAATCCTCAAAGCTATCCAAATATCCTCTTGCAGATTCTACAAAAAGAGTGTTTCAAAACTGCTCTTTGCAAAGAAAGGTTCAACTCTGTCAGTAGAGGGCACACATCACGAACAAGTTTCTGAGAATGCTCTGTCTAGTTTTTATGGGAAGATATTTCCTTTTTCACGTTACGCCTGAAAGCACGCCAAATGTTCACTTATAGACACTACAAAAAGAGAGTTTCAAACCTGCTCTGTGAAAGGGAGTGTTCAATTCTGTGACTTGAATGCAAACATCACAAAGTAGTTTCTGACAATGCTGGCTGTCTGCTTTTTATACGTATTCCCGTTTCCAACGAAATCCTCCAAGCTGGCCTAATACCCACTTGCATATTCCACAAAAAGAGTGTTTCAAAACTGCTCTCTCAAAAGAAAGGTTCAACTCTCTTTGCTGAGTAGATACATCATGAAAAAAGTTCTGACATTGCTTCTATCTAGTTTTTATTGGAAGATATCTCCTTTTTTCACCGTAGACCTGAAAGCGCTCCAAATGTCCACTTCCAGATAGTACAAAAAGAGTGTTTCAAACCTGCTCTATGAAAGGGAATGTTCAACACTGGGACTTCAATTGAAACATCCCAAAGCAGTTTACTGAGAATGCTTCTGTCTAGAGTTTACATGAAGACATTCCCGTTTCCAACGAAATCCTCAAAGCTATCCAAATATCCTCTTGCAGATTTTACAAAAAGTGTGTTTCAGAACTGCTCTATCAAAACAAAGGTTCAACACTGTCAGTTGAGGGCACACATCACAAATAAGTTTCTGAGAATGCTTCTGTCTAGTTTTCATGGGAAGATATTTCCTTTTTCACCATAGGCCTGAAAGCGATCCAAATGTCCACATCCAGATAGTACAAAAAGAGTGTTTCAAACCTGCTCTATGAAAGGGAATGTTCAACTCTGTGACTTGAATGCAAACATCACAAAGAAGTTTCTGAGAATGCTGCTGTCTGCTTTTTGTATGTAATCCCGTTTCCAACGAAATCCTCCCAGCTAGCCAAATATCCACTTGCAGATTCCGCAAAAAGAGTGTTTCAAAACTGCTCCTTCAAAACGATGGTTTAGTTCTGTTAGTTGAGTACATACATCACAGATAAGTTTCTGAGAATGCTTCTGTCTAGTTTTTATGGGAGGATATTTCCTTTTTCAACACAAGCCTGAATGCGCTCCGAATGGACACTTCCAGATATGACAAAAGGCGTGTTTCAAACCTGCTCTCTCAAAGGGAATGTTCAACTGCTGTGACTTCAATGCAAACATCACAAAGAAGTTTCTGAGAATGCTGCTGTCTGCTTTTTACATGTATTCCCGTTTCCAACGAAATCCTCAAAGCTGCCCTAATATCCACTTGCATATTCCACAAAAAGAGTGTTGCAAAACTGCTCTCTCAAAAGAAAGGTTCAACTCTGTTAGCTGAGTAGATCCATCACATAAAAGTTTCTGACATTGCTTCTATCTAGATTTTCTTGGAAGATATTTCCATTTTCACCGTCGTCCTGAAAGCGCTCCAAATGTCCACTTCCAGGGAATGCAGAAAGAGTGTTTCCAACCTGCTCTATAAAAGGGAATGTTCAACACTGGGACTTCAATCGAAACATCCCAACGAAGTTTCTGAGAATGCTTCTGTCTAGAGTTTATATGAAGCCATTCCCGTTTGCAACGAAATCCTCAAAGCTATCCAAATATCCTCTTGCAGATTTTACAAAAAGAGTGTTTCAAAACTGCTCTATCAAAAGAAAGGTTCAACTCTGTTAGTTGAGGGCACACATCACAAATAAACTTCTGAGAATGCTTCTGTCTAGTTTTTACGGGAAGATATTTCCTTTTTCACCATACGCCTGAAAGCGCTCCAAATGTCCTCATCCAGATACTACAAAAAGAGTGTTTCCAACCTGCTCTATGAAAGGGAATGCTCAACTCTGTGAATTGAATGCAGACATCACAAAGAAGTTTCTGAGAATGCTGCTGTCTCCTTTTTATATGTAATCCCGTTTCCAACGAAATCCTCAAAGCTAGCCAAATATCCACTTGCAGATTCCACGAAAACAGTGTTTCAAAACTGCTCCTTCAAAACGATGGTTCAATCCTGTTAGTTGAGCAAACACATCACAAATAAGTTTCAGAGAATGCTTCCGTCTAGTTTTTATGGGAAGATATTTCCTTTTTCAACATAGGCCTGAAAGCGCTCCAAATGTCCACTTCCAGATACTACAAAAAGAGTGTTTCAAATCTGCTCTATGAATGGGAATGTTCTACTCTGTGACTTGAATGCAACATCCCAAAGAAGTTTCTGAGAATGCTTCTGTCTAGAGTTTATCTGAAGACATACCCGTTTCCAACGAAATCCTCAAAGCTATCCAAATATCCTCTTGCAGATTCTACAAAAAGTGTGTTTCAAAGCTGCTCTTTGCAAAGAAAGGTTCAACTCTGTCAGTAGAGGGCACACATCACGAACAAGTTTCTGAGAATGCTTCTGTCTAGTTTTTATGGGAAGATATTTCCTTTTTCACGTTAGGCCTGAAAGCACGCCAAATGTTCACTTATAGACACTACAAAAAGAGTGTTTCAAACCTGCTCTGTGAAAGGGAATGTTCAACACTGTGACTTCAATTGAAATATCCCAAAGAAGTTTCTGAGAATGCTTCTGTCTAGAGTTTATCTGAAGACATTCCCGTTTCCCAAGAAATCCTCAAAGCTATCCAAATATCCTCTTGCAGATTCTACAAAAAGAGTGTTTCAAAACTGCTCTTTGCAAAGAAAGGTTCAACTCTGTCAGTAGAGGGCACACATCACAAACAAGTTTCTGAGAATGCTTCTGTCTAGTTTTTATGGGAAGATATTTCCTTTTTCACCTTAGGCCTGAAAGCAATCCATATGTTCACTTACAGACACTACAAAAAGAGTGTTTCAAACCTGCTCTGTGAAAGGGAGTGTTCAATTCTGTGACTTGAATGCAAACATCACAAAGTAGTTTCTGACAATGCTGCTGTCTGCTTTTTATACGTATTCCCGTTTCCAACGAAATCCTCCAAGCTGGCCTAATACCCACTTGCATATTCCACAAAGACAGTGTCAAAACTGCTCTCTCAAAAGAAAGGTTCAACTCTGTTTGCTGAGTAGATACATCATGAAAAAAGTTCTGACATTGCTTCTATCTAGTTTTTATTGGAAGATATCTCCTTTTTCACCGTAGACCTGAAAGCGCTCCAAATGTCCACTTCCAGATAGTAGAAAAAGAGTGTTTCAAACCTGCTCTATGAATGGGAATGTTCAACACTGGGACTTCAATTGAAACATCCCAAAGCAGTTTCTGAGAATGCTTCTGTCCAGAGTTTACATGAAGACATTCCCGTTTCCAACGAAATCCTCAAAGCTATCCAAATATCCTCTTGCAGATTTTACAAAAAGTGTGTTTCAGAACTGCTCTATCAAAACAAAGGTTCAACACTGTCAGTTGAGGGCACACATCACAAATAAGTTTCTGAGAATGCTTCTGTCTAGTTTTCATGGGAAGATATTTCCTTTTTCACCATAGGCCTGAAAGCGATCCAAATGTCCACATCCAGATACTACAAAAAGAGTGTTTCAAACCTGCTCTATGAAAGGGAATGTTCAACTCTGTGACTTGAATGCAAACATCACAAAGAAGTTTCTGAGAATGCTGCTGTCTGCTTTTTGTATGTAATCCCGTTTCCAACGAAATCCTCCCAGCTAGCCAAATATCCACTTGCAGATTCCGCAAAAAGAGTGTTTCAAAACTGCTCCTTCAAAACGATGGTTTAGTTCTGTTAGTTGAGTACATACATCACAGATAAGTTTCTGAGAATGCTTCTGTCTAGTTTTTATGGGACGATATTTCCTTTTTCAACACAAGCCTGAATGCGCTCCGAATGGACACTTCCAGATATGACAAAAGGCGTGTTTCAAACCTGCTCTCTCAAAGGGAATGTTCAACTCTGTGACTTCAATGCAAACATCACAAAGAAGTTTCTGAGAATGCTGCTGTCTGCTTTTTACATGTATTCCCGTTTCCAACGAAATCCTCAAAGCTGCCCTAATATCCACTTGCATATTCCACAAAAAGAGTGTTGCAAAACTGCTCTCTCAAAAGAAAGGTTCAACTCTGTTAGCTGAGTAGATCCATCACAGAAAAGTTTCTGACGTTGCTTCTATCTAGATTTTCTTGGAAGATATTTCCATTTTCACCGTCGTCCTGAAAGCGCTCCAAATGTCCACTTCCAGGGAATGCAGAAAGAGTGTTTCCAACCTGCTCTATAAAAGGGAATGTTCAACACTGGGACTTCAATCGAAACATCCCAACGAGGTTTCTGAGAATGCTTCTGTCTAGAGTTTATATGAAGCCATTCCCGTTTGCAACGAAATCCTCAAAGCTATCCAAATATCCTCTTGCAGATTTTACAAAAAGAGTGTTTCAAAACTGCTCTATCAAAAGAAAGGTTCAACTCTGTTAGTTGAGGGCACACATCACAAATAAATTTCTGAGAATGCTTCTGTCTAGTTTTTACGGGAAGATATTTCCTTTTTCACCATAGGCCTGAAAGCGCTCCAAATGTCCTCATCCAGATACTACAAAAAGAGTGTTTCCAACCTGCTCTATGAAAGGGAATGCTCAACTCTGTGACTTGAATGCAGACATCACAAAGAAGTTTCTGAGAATGCTGCTGTCTCCTTTGTATATGTAATCCCGTTTCCAACGAAATCCTCAAAGCTAGCCAAATATCCACTTGCAGATTCCACAAAAACAGTGTTTCAAAACTGCTCCTTCAAAACGATGGTTCAATTCTGTTAGTTGAGCAAACACATCACAAGTAAGTTTCTGAGAATGCTTCCGTCTAGTTTTTATGGGAAGATATTTCCTTTTTCAACATAGGCCTGAAAGCGCTCCAAATGTCCACTTCCAGATACTACAAAAAGAGTGTTTCAAATCTGCTCTATGAATGGGAATGTTCTACTCTGTGACTTGAATGCAACATCCCAAAGAAGTTTCTGAGAATGCTTCTGTCTAGAGTTTATCTGAAGACATACCCGTTTCCAACGAAATCCTCAAAGCTATCCAAATATCCTCTTGCAGATTCTACAAAAAGAGTGTTTCAAAGCTGCTCTTTGCAAAGAAAGGTTCAACTCTGTCAGTAGAGGGCACACATCATGAACAAGTTTCTGAGAATGCTTCTGTCTAGTTTTTATGGGAAGATATTTCCTTTTTCACGTTAGGCCTGAAAGCACGCCAAATGTTCACTTATACACACTACAAAAAGAGTGTTTCAAACCTGCTCTGTGAAAGGGAATGTTCAACACTGTGACTTCAATTGAAACATCCCAAAGAAGTTTCTGAGAATGCTTCTGTCTAGAGTTTATCTGAAGACATTCCCGTTTCCCAAGAAATCTTCAAAGCTATCCAAATATCCTCTTGCAGATTCTACAAAAAGAGTGTTTCAAAACTGCTCTTTGCAAAGAAAGGTTCAACTCTGTCAGTAGAGGGCACACATCACAAACAAGTTTCTGAGAATGCTTCTGTCTAGTTTTTATGGGAAGATATTTCCTTTTTCACCTTAGGCCTGAAAGCAATCCATATGTTCACTTACAGACACTACAAAAAGAGTGTTTCAAACCTGCTCTGTGAAAGGGAGTGTTCAATTCTGTGACTTGAATGCAAACATCACAAAGTAGTTTCTGACAATGCTGCTGTCTGCTTTTTATACGTATTCCCGTTTCCAACGAAATCCTCCAAGCTGGCCTAATACCCACTTGCATATTCCACAAAAAGAGTGTTTCAAAACTGCTCTCTCAAAAGAAAGGTTCAACTCTGTTAGCTGAGTAGATATATCATGAAAAAAGTTCTGACATTGCTTCTATCTAGTTTTTACTGGAAGATATCTCCTTTTTCACCGTAGACCTGAAAGCGCTCCAAATGTCCACTTCCAGATAGTACAAAAAGAGTGTTTCAAACCTGCTCTATGAATGGGAAGGTTCAACACTGGGACTTCAATTGAAACATCCCAAAGCAGTTTCTGAGAATGCTTCTGTGTAGAGTTTACATGAAGACATTTCCGTTTCCAACGAAATCCTCAAAGCTATCCAAATATCCTCTTGCAGATTTTACAAAAAGTGTGTTTCAGAACTGCTCTATCAAAACAAAGGTTCAACACTGTCAGTTGAGGGCACACATCACAAATAAGTTTCTGAGAATGCTTCTGTCTAGTTTTCATGGGAAGATATTTCCTTTTTCACCATAGGCCTGAAAGCGATCCAAATGTCCACATCCAGATACTACAAAAAGAGTGTTTCAAACCTGCTCTATGAAAGGGAATGTTCAACTCTGTGACTTGAATGCAAACATCACAAAGAAGTTTCTGAGAATGCTGCTGTCTGCTTTTTGTATGTAATCCCGTTTCCAACGAAATCCTCCCAGCTAGCCAAATATCCACTTGCAGATTCCGCAAAAAGAGTGTTTCAAAACTGCTCCTTCAAAACGATGGTTTAGTTCTGTTAGTTGAGTACATACATCACAGATAAGTTTCTGAGAATGCTTCTGTCTAGTTTTTATGGGAGGATATTTCCTTTTTCAACACAAGCCTGAATGCGCTCCGAATGGACACTTCCAGATATGACAAAAGGCGTGTTTCAAACCTGCTCTCTCAAAGGGAATGTTCAACTCTGTGACTTCAATGCAAACATCACAAAGAAGTTTCTGAGAATGCTGCTGTCTGCTTTTTACATGTATTCCCGTTTCCAACGAAATCCTCAAAGCTGCCCTAATATCCACTTGCATATTCCACAAAAAGAGTGTTGCAAAACTGCTCTCTCAAAAGAAAGCTTCAACTCTGTTAGCTGAGTAGATCCATCACATAAAAGTTTCTGACGTTGCTTCTATCTAGATTTTCTTGGAAGATATTTCCATTTTCACCGTCGTCCTGAAAGCGCTCCAAATGTCCACTTCCAGGGAATGCAGAAAGAGTGTTTCCAACCTGCTCTATGAAAGGGAATGTTCAACACTGGGACTTCAATCGAAACATCCCAACGAAGTTTCTGAGAATGCTTCTGTCTAGAGTTTATATGAAGCCATTCCCGTTTGCAACGAAATCCTCAAAGCTATCCAAATATCCTCTTGCAGATTTTACAAAAAGAGTGTTTCAAAACTGCTCTATCAAAAGAAAGGTTCAACTCTGTTAGTTGAGGGCACACATCACAAATAAATTTCTGAGAATGCTTCTGTCTAGTTTTTACGGGAAGATATTTCCTTTTTCACCATACGCCTGAAAGCGCTCCAAATGTCCTCATCCAGATACTACAAAAAGAGTGTTTCCAACCTGCTCTATGAAAGGGAATGCTCAAGTCTGTGACTTGAATGCAGACATCACAAAGAAGTTTCTGAGAATGCTGGCTGTCTCCTTTTTATATGTAATCCCGTTTCCAACGAAATCCTCAAAGCTAGCCAAATATCCACTTGCAGATTCCACGAAAACAGTGTTTCAAAACTGCTCCTTCAAAACGATGGTTCAATCCTGTTAGTTGAGCAAACTCATCACAAATAAGTTTCTGAGAATGCTTCCGTCTAGTTTTTATGGGAAGATATTTCCTTTTTCAACATAGGCCTGAAAGCGCTCCAAATGTCCACTTCCAGATACTACAAAAAGAGTGTTTCAAATCTGCTCTATGAATGGGAATGTTCTACTCTGTGACTTGAATGCAACATCCCAAAGAAGTTTCTGAGAATGCTTCTGTCTAGAGTTTATCTGAAGACATACCCGTTTCCAACGAAATCCTCCAAGCTATCCAAATATCCTCTTGCAGATTCTACAAAAAGTGTGTTTCAAAGCTGCTCTTTGCAAAGAAAGGTTCAACTCTGTCAGTAGAGGGCACACATCACGAACAAGTTTCTGAGAATGCTTCTGTCTAGTTTTTATGGGAAGATATTTCCTTTTTCACGTTAGGCCTGAAAGCACGCCAAATGTTCACTTATAGACACTACAAAAAGAGTGTTTCAAACCTGCTCTGTGAAAGGGAATGTTCAACACTGTGACTTCAATTGAAACATCCCAAAGAAGTTTCTGAGAATGCTTCTGTCTAGAGTTTATCTGAAGACATTCCCGTTTCCCAAGAAATCCTCAAAGCTATCCAAATATCCTCTTGCAGATTCTACAAAAAGAGTGTTTCAAAACTGCTCTTTGCAAAGAAAGGTTCAACTCTGTCAGTAGAGGGCACACATCACAAACAAGTTTCTGAGAATGCTTCTGTCTAGTTTTTATGGGAAGATATTTCCTTTTTCACCTTAGGCCTGAAAGCAATCCAAATGTTCACTTACAGACACTACAAAAAGAGTGTTTCAAACCTGCTCTGTGAAAGGGAGTGTTCAGTTCTGTGACTTGAATGCAAACATCACAAAGTAGTTTCTGACAATGCTGCTGTCTGCTTTTTATACGTATTCCCGTTTCCAACGAAATCCTCCAAGCTGGCCTAATACCCACTTTCATATTCCACAAAAAGAGTGTTTCAAAACTGCTCTCTCAAAAGAAAGGTTCAACTCTGTTTGCTGAGTAGATACATCATGAAAAAAGTTCTGACATTGCTTCTATCTAGTTTTTATTGGAAGATATCTCCTTTTTCACCGTAGACCTGAAAGCGCTCCAAATGTCCACTTCCAGATAGTACAAAAAGAGTGTTTCAAACCTGCTCTATGAATGGGAATGTTCAACACTGGGACTTCAATTGAAACATCCCAAAGCAGTTTCTGAGAATGCTTCTGTGTAGAGTTTACATGAAGACATTCCCGTTTCCAACGAAATCCTCAAAGCTATCCAAATATCCTCTTGCAGATTTTACAAAAAGTGTGTTTCAGAACTGCTCTATCAAAACAAAGGTTCAACACTGTCAGTTGAGGGCACACATCACAAATAAGTTTCTGAGAATGCTTCTGTCTAGTTTTCATGGGAAGATATTTCCTTTTTCACCATAGGCCTGAAAGCGATCCAAATGTCCACATCCAGATACTACAAAAAGAGTGTTTCAAACCTGCTCTATGAAAGGGAATGTTCAACTCTGTGACTTGAATGCAAACATCACAAAGAAGTTTCTGAGAATGCTGCTGTCTGCTTTTTGTATGTAATCCCGTTTCCAACGAAATCCTCCCAGCTAGCCAAATATCCACTTGCAGATTCCGCAAAAAGAGTGTTTCAAAACTGCTCCTTCAAAACGATGGTTTAGTTCTGTTAGTTGAGTACATACATCACAGATAAGTTTCTGAGAATGCTTCTGTCTAGTTTTTATGGGAGGATATTTCCTTTTTCAACACAAGCCTGAATGCGCTCCGAATGGACACTTCCAGATATGACAAAAGGCGTGTTTCAAACCTGCTCTCTCAAAGGGAATGTTCAACTCTGTGACTTCAATGCAAACATCACAAAGAAGTTTCTGAGAATGCTGCTGTGTGCTTTTTACATGTATTCCCGTTTCCAACGAAATCCTCAAAGCTGCCCTAATATCCACTTGCATATTCCACAAAAAGAGTGTTGCAAAACTGCTCTCTCAAAAGAAAGGTTCAACTCTGTTAGCTGAGTAGATCCATCACATAAAAGTTTCTGACATTGCTTCTATCTAGATTTTCTTGGAAGATATTTCCATTTTCACCGTCGTCCTGAAAGCGCTCCAAATGTCCACTTCCAGGGAATGCAGAAAGAGTGTTTCCAACCTGCTCTATAAAAGGGAATGTTCAACACTGGGACTTCAATCGAAACATCCCAACGAAGTTTCTGAGAATGCTTCTGTCTAGAGTTTATATGAAGCCATTCCCGTTTGCAACGAAATCCTCAAAGCTATCCAAATATCCTCTTGCAGATTTTACAAAAAGAGTGTTTCAAAACTGCTCTATCAAAAGAAAGGTTCAACTCTGTTAGTTGAGGGCACACATCACAAATAAACTTCTGAGAATGCTTCTGTCTAGTTTTTACAGGGAAGATATTTCCTTTTTCACCATACGCCTGAAAGCGCTCCAAATGTCCTCATCCAGATACTACAAAAAGAGTGTTTCCAACCTGCTCTATGAAAGGGAATGCTCAACTCTGTGAATTGAATGCAGACATCACAAAGAAGTTTCTGAGAATGCTGCTGTCTCCTTTTTATATGTAATCCCGTTTCCAACGAAATCCTCAAAGCTAGCCAAATATCCACTTGCAGATTCCACGAAAACAGTGTTTCAAAACTGCTCCTTCAAAACGATGGTTCAATCCTGTTAGTTGAGCAAACACATCACAAATAAGTTTCTGAGAATGCTTCCGTCTAGTTTTTATGGGAAGATATTTCCTTTTTCAACATAGGCCTGAAAGCGCTCCAAATGTCCACTTCCAGATACTACAAAAAGAGTGTTTCAAATCTGCTCTATGAATGGGAATGTTCTACTCTGTGACTTGAATGCAACATCCCAAAGAAGTTTCTGAGAATGCTTCTGTCTAGAGTTTATCTGAAGACATACCCGTTTCCAACGAAATCCTCAAAGCTATCCAAATATCCTCTTGCAGATTCTACAAAAAGAGTGTTTCAAAGCTGCTCTTTGCAAAGAAAGGTTCAACTCTGTCAGTAGAGGGCACACATCACGAACAAGTTTCTGAGAATGCTTCTGTCTAGTTTTTATGGGAAGATATTTCCTTTTTCACGTTAGGCCTGAAAGCACGCCAAATGTTCACTTATAGACACTACAAAAAGAGTGTTTCAAACCTGCTCTGTGAAAGGGAATGTTCAACACTGTGACTTCAATTGAAACATCCCAAAGAAGTTTCTGAGAATGCTTCTGTCTAGAGTTTATCTGAAGACATTCCCGTTTCCCAAGAAATCCTCAAAGCTATCCAAATATCCTCTTGCAGATTCTACAAAAAGAGTGTTTCAAAACTGGTCTTTGCAAAGAAAGGTTCAACTCTGTCAGTAGAGGGCACACATCACAAACAAGTTTCTGAGAATGCTTCTGTCTAGTTTTTATGGGAAGATATTTCCTTTTTCACCTTAGGCCTGAAAGCAATCCATATGTTCACTTACAGACACTACAAAAAGAGTGTTTCAAACCTGCTCTGTGAAAGGGAGTGTTCAATTCTGTGACTTGAATGCAAACATCACAAAGTAGTTTCTGACAATGCTGCTGTCTGCTTTTTATACGTATTCCCGTTTCCAACGAAATCCTCCAAGCTGGCCTAATACCCACTTGCATATTCCACAAAAAGAGTGTTTCAAAACTGCTCTCTCAAAAGAAAGGTTCAACTCTGTTAGCTGAGTAGATACATCATGAAAAAAGTTCTGACATTGCTTCTATCTAGTTTTTATTGGAAGATATCTCCTTTTTCACCGTAGACCTGAAAGCGCTCCAAATGTCCACTTCCAGATAGTACAAAAAGAGTGTTTCAAACCTGCTCTATGAATGGGAATGTTCAACACTGGGACTTCAATTGAAACATCCCAAAGCAGTTTCTGAGAATGCTTCTGTGTAGAGTTTACATGAAGACATTCCCGTTTCCAACGAAATCCTCAAAGCTATCCAAATATCCTCTTGCAGATTTTACAAAAAGTGTGTTTCAGAACTGCTCTATCAAAACAAAGGTTCAACACTGTCAGTTGAGGGCACACATCACAAATAAGTTTCTGAGAATGCTTCTGTCTAGTTTTCATGGGAAGATATTTCCTTTTTCACCATAGGCCTGAAAGCGATCCAAATGTCCACATCCAGATACTACAAAAAGAGTGTTTCAAACCTGCTCTATGAAAGGGAATGTTCAACTCTGTGACTTGAATGCAAACATCACAAAGAAGTTTCTGAGAATGCTGCTGTCTGCTTTTTGTATGTAATCCCGTTTCCAACGAAATCCTCCCAGCTAGCCAAATATCCACTTGCAGATTCCGCAAAAAGAGTGTTTCAAAACTGCTCCTTCAAAACGATGGTTTAGTTCTGTTAGTTGAGTACATACATCACAGATAAGTTTCTGAGAATGCTTCTGTCTAGTTTTTATGGGAGGATATTTCCTTTTTCAACACAAGCCTGAATGCGCTCCGAATGGACACTTCCAGATATGACAAAAGGCGTGTTTCAAACCTGCTCTCTCAAAGGGAATGTTCAACTCTGTGACTTCAATGCAAACATCACAAAGAAGTTTCTGAGAATGCTGCTGTCTGCTTTTTACATGTATTCCCGTTTCCAACGAAATCCTCAAAGCTGCCCTAATATCCACTTGCATATTCCACAAAAAGAGTGTTGCAAAACTGCTCTCTCAAAAGAAAGGTTCAACTCTGTTAGCTGAGTAGATCCATCACATAAAAGTTTCTGACATTGCTTCTATCTAGATTTTCTTGGAAGATATTTCCATTTTCACCGTCGTCCTGAAAGCGCTCCAAATGTCCACTTCCAGGGAATGCAGAAAGAGTGTTTCCAACCTGCTCTATAAAAGGGAATGTTCAACACTGGGACTTCAATCGAAACATCCCAACGAAGTTTCTGAGAATGCTTCTGTCTAGAGTTTATATGAAGCCATTCCCGTTTGCAACGAAATCCTCAAAGCTATCCAAATATCCTCTTGCAGATTTTACAAAAAGAGTGTTTCAAAACTGCTCTATCAAAAGAAAGGTTCAACTCTGTTAGTTGAGGGCACACATCACAAATAAATTTCTGAGAATGCTTCTGTCTAGTTTTTACGGGAAGATATTTCCTTTTTCACCATAGGCCTGAAAGCGCTCCAAATGTCCTCATCCAGATACTACAAAAAGAGTGTTTCCAACCTGCTCTATGAAAGGGAATGCTCAACTCTGTGACTTGAATGCAGACATCACAAAGAAGTTTCTGAGAATGCTGCTGTCTCCTTTTTATATGTAATCCCGTTTCCAACGAAATCCTCAAAGCTAGCCAAATATCCACTTGCAGATTCCACGAAAACAGTGTTTCAAAACTGCTCCTTCAAAACGATGGTTCAATTCTGTTAGTTGAGCAAACACATCACAAGTAAGTTTCTGAGAATGCTTCCGTCTAGTTTTTATGGGAAGATATTTCCTTTTTCAACATAGGCCTGAAAGCGCTCCAAATGTCCACTTCCAGATACTACAAAAAGAGTGTTTCAAATCTGCTCTATGAATGGGAATGTTCTACTCTGTGACTTGAATGCAACATCCCAAAGAAGTTTCTGAGAATGCTTCTGTCTAGAGTTTATCTGAAGACATACCCGTTTCCAACGAAATCCTCAAAGCTATCCAAATATCCTCTTGCAGATTCTACAAAAAGAGTGTTTCAAAGCTGCTCTTTGCAAAGAAAGGTTCAACTCTGTCAGTAGAGGGCACACATCACGAACAAGTTTCTGAGAATGCTTCTGTCTGGTTTTTATGGGAAGATATTTCCTTTTTCACGTTACGCCTGAAAGCACGCCAAATGTTCACTTATAGACACTACAAAAAGAGTGTTTCAAACCTGCTCTGTGAAAGGGAATGTTCAACACTGTGACTTCAATTGAAACATCCCAAAGAAGTTTCTGAGAATGCTTCTGTCTAGAGTTTATCTGAAGACATTCCCGTTTCCCAAGAAATCCTCAAAGCTATCCAAATATCCTCTTGCAGATTCTACAAAAAGAGTGTTTCAAAACTGCTCTTTGCAAAGAAAGGTTCAACTCTGTCAGTAGAGGGCACACATCACAAACAAGTTTCTGAGAATGCTTCTGTCTAGTTTTTATGGGAAGATATTTCCTTTTTCACCTTAGGCCTGAAAGCAATCCAAATGTTCACTTACAGACACTACAAAAAGAGTGTTTCAAACCTGCTCTGTGAAAGGGAGTGTTCAATTCTGTGACTTGAATGCAAACATCACAAAGTAGTTTCTGACAATGCTGCTGTCTGCTTTTTATACGTATTCCCGTTTCCAACGAAATCCTCCAAGCTGGCCTAATACCCACTTGCATATTCCACAAAAAGAGTGTTTCAAAACTGCTCTCTCAAAAGAAAGGTTCAACTCTGTTTGCTGAGTAGATACATCATGAAAAAAGTTCTGACATTGCTTCTATCTAGTTTTTATTGGAAGATATCTCCTTTTTCACCGTAGACCTGAAAGCGCTCCAAATGTCCACTTCCAGATAGTACAAAAAGAGTGTTTCAAACCTGCTCTATGAATGGGAATGTTCAACACTGGGACTTCAATTGAAACATCCCAAAGCAGTTTCTGAGAATGCTTCTGTGTAGAGTTTACATGAAGACATTCCCGTTTCCAACGAAATCCTCAAAGCTATCCAAATATCCTCTTGCAGATTTTACAAAAAGTGTGTTTCAGAACTGCTCTATCAAAACAAAGGTTCAACACTGTCAGTTGAGGGCACACATCACAAATAAGTTTCTGAGAATGCTTTGCTGTCTGCTTTTTGTATGTAATCCCGTTTCCAACGAAATCCTCCCAGCTAGCCAAATATCCACTTGCAGATTCCGCAAAAAGAGTGTTTCAAAACTGCTCCTTCAAAACGATGGTTTAGTTCTGTTAGTTGAGTACATACATCACAGATAAGTTTCTGAGAATGCTTCTGTCTAGTTTTTATGGGAGGATATTTCCTTTTTCAACACAAGCCTGAATGCGCTCCGAATGGACACTTCCAGATATGACAAAAGGCGTGTTTCAAACCTGCTCTCTCAAAGGGAATGTTCAACTCTGTGACTTCAATGCAAACATCACAAAGAAGTTTCTGAGAATGCTGCTGTCTGCTTTTTACATGTATTCCCGTTTCCAACGAAATCCTCAAAGCTGCCCTAATATCCACTTGCATATTCCACAAAAAGAGTGTTGCAAAACTGCTCTCTCAAAAGAAAGGTTCAACTCTGTTAGCTGAGTAGATCCATCACAGAAAAGTTTCTGACGTTGCTTCTATCTAGATTTTCTTGGAAGATATTTCCATTTTCACCGTCGTCCTGAAAGCGCTCCAAATGTCCACTTCCAGGGAATGCAGAAAGAGTGTTTCCAACCTGCTCTATAAAAGGGAATGTTCAACACTGGGACTTCAATCGAAACATCCCAACGAAGTTTCTGAGAATGCTTCTGTCTAGAGTTTATATGAAGCCATTCCCGTTTGCAACGAAATCCTCAAAGCTATCCAAATATCCTCTTGCAGATTTTACAAAAAGAGTGTTTCAAAACTGCTCTATCAAAAGAAAGGTTCAACTCTGTTAGTTGAGGGCACACATCACAAATAAATTTCTGAGAATGCTTCTGTCTAGTTTTTACGGGAAGATATTTCCTTTTTCACCATACGCCTGAAAGCGCTCCAAATGTCCTCATCCAGATACTACAAAAAGAGTGTTTCCAACCTGCTCTATGAAAGGGAATGCTCAACTCTGTGACTTGAATGCAGACATCACAAAGAAGTTTCTGAGAATGCTGCTGTCTCCTTTTTATATGTAATCCCGTTTCCAACGAAATCCTCAAAGCTAGCCAAATATCCACTTGCAGATTCCACGAAAACAGTGTTTCAAAACTGCTCCTTCAAAACGATGGTTCAATTCTGTTAGTTGAGCAAACACATCACAAGTAAGTTTCTGAGAATGCTTCCGTCTAGTTTTTATGGGAAGATATTTCCTTTTTCAACATAGGCCTGAAAGCGCTCCAAATGTCCACTTCCAGATACTACAAAAAGAGTGTTTCAAATCTGCTCTATGAATGGGAATGTTCTACTCTGTGACTTGAATGCAACATCCCAAAGAAGTTTCTGAGAATGCTTCTGTCTAGAGTTTATCTGAAGACATACCCGTTTCCAACGAAATCCTCAAAGCTATCCAAATATCCTCTTGCAGATTCTACAAAAAGAGTGTTTCAAAGCTGCTCTTTGCAAAGAAAGGTTCAACTCTGTCAGTAGAGGGCACACATCACGAACAAGTTTCTGAGAATGCTTCTGTCTAGTTTTTATGGGAAGATATTTCCTTTTTCACCTTAGGCCTGAAAGCACGCCAAATGTTCACTTATAGACACTACAAAAAGAGTGTTTCAAACCTGCTCTGTGAAAGGGAGTGTTCAATTCTGTGACTTGAATGCAAACATCACAAAGTAGTTTCTGACAATGCTGCTGTCTGCTTTTTATACGTATTCCCGTTTCCAACGAAATCCTCCAAGCTGGCCTAATACCCACTTGCATATTCCACAAAAAGAGTGTTTCAAAACTGCTCTCTCAAAAGAAAGGTTCAACTCTGTTAGCTGAGTAGATACATCATGAAAAAAGTTCTGACATTGCTTCTATCTAGTTTTTATTGGAAGATATCTCCTTTTTCACCGTACACCTGAAAGCGCTCCAAATGTCCACTTCCAGATAGTACAAAAAGAGTGTTTCAAACCTGCTCTATGAATGGGAATGTTCAACACTGGGACTTCAATTGAAACATCCCAAAGCAGTTTGCTGAGAATGCTTCTGTGTAGAGTTTACATGAAGACATTCCCGTTTCCAACGAAATCCTCAAGCTATCCAAATATCCTCTTGCAGATTTTACAAAAAGTGTGTTTCAGAACTGCTCTATCAAAACAAAGGTTCAACACTGTCAGTTGAGGGCACACATCACAAATAAGTTTCTGAGAATGCTTCTGTCTAGTTTTCATGGGAAGATATTTCCTTTTTCACCATAGGCCTGAAAGCGATCCAAATGTCCACATCCAGATACTACAAAAAGAGTGTTTCAAACCTGCTCTATGAAAGGGAATGTTCAACTCTGTGACTTGAATGCAAACATCACAAAGAAGTTTCTGAGAATGCTGCTGTCTGCTTTTTGTATGTAATCCCGTTTCCAACGAAATCCTCCCAGCTAGCCAAATATCCACTTGCAGATTCCGCAAAAAGAGTGTTTCAAAACTGCTCCTTCAAAACGATGGTTTAGTTCTGTTAGTTGAGTACATACATCACAGATAAGTTTCTGAGAATGCTTCTGTCTAGTTTTTATGGGAGGATATTTCCTTTTTCAACACAAGCCTGAATGCGCTCCGAATGGACACTTCCAGATATGACAAAAGGCGTGTTTCAAACCTGCTCTCTCAAAGGGAATGTTCAACTCTGTGACTTCAATGCAAACATCACAAAGAAGTTTCTGAGAATGCTGCTGTCTGCTTTTTACATGTATTCCCGTTTCCAACGAAATCCTCAAAGCTGCCCTAATATCCACTTGCATATTCCACAAAAAGAGTGTTGCAAAACTGCTCTCTCAAAAGAAAGGTTCAACTCTGTTAGCTGAGTAGATCCATCACATAAAAGTTTCTGACATTGCTTCTATCTAGATTTTCTTGGAAGATATTTCCATTTTCACCGTCGTCCTGAAAGCGCTCCAAATGTCCACTTCCAGGGAATGCAGAAAGAGTGTTTCCAACCTGCTCTATAAAAGGGAATGTTCAACACTGGGACTTCAATCGAAACATCCCAACGAAGTTTCTGAGAATGCTTCTGTCTAGAGTTTATATGAAGCCATTCCCGTTTGCAACGAAATCCTCAAAGCTATCCAAATATCCTCTTGCAGATTTTACAAAAAGAGTGTTTCAAAACTGCTCTATCAAAAGAAAGGTTCAACTCTGTTAGTTGAGGGCACACATCACAAATAAACTTCTGAGAATGCTTCTGTCTAGTTTTTACGGGAAGATATTTCCCTTTTCACCATACGCCTGAAAGCGCTCCAAATGTCCTCATCCAGATACTACAAAAAGAGTGTTTCCAACCTGCTCTATGAAAGGGAATGCTCAACTCTGTGAATTAAATGCAGACATCACAAAGAAGTTTCTGAGAATGCTGCTGTCTCCTTTTTATATGTAATCCCGTTTCCAACGAAATCCTCAAAGCTAGCCAAATATCCACTTGCAGATTCCACGAAAACAGTGTTTCAAAACTGCTCCTTCAAAAGGATGGTTCAATCCTGTTAGTTGAGCAAACTCATCACAATTAAGTTTCTGAGAATGCTTCCGTCTAGTTTTTATGGGAAGATATTTCCTTTTTCAACATAGGCCTGAAAGCGCTCCAAATGTCCACTTCCAGATAGTACAAAAAGAGTGTTTCAAATCTGCTCTATGAATGGGAATGTTCTACTCTGTGACTTGCATGCAACATCCCAAAGAAATTTCTGAGAATGCTTCTGTCTAGAGTTTATCTGAAGACATACCCGTTTCCAACGAAATCCTCAAAGCTATCCAAATATCCTCTTGCAGATTCTACAAAAAGTGTGTTTCAAAGCTGCTCTTTGCAAAGAAAGGTTCAACTCTGTCAGTAGAGGGCACACATCACGAACAAGTTTCTGAGAATGCTTCTGTCTAGTTTTTATGGGAAGATATTTCCTTTTTCACGTTACGCCTGAAAGCACGCCAAATGTTCACTTATAGACACTACAAAAAGAGTGTTTCAAACCTGCTCTGTGAAAGGGAATGTTCAACACTGTGACTTCAATTGAAACATCCCAAAGAAGTTTCTGAGAATGCTTCTGTCTAGAGTTTATCTGAAGACATTCCCGTTTCCCAAGAAATCCTCAAAGCTATCCAAATATCCTCTTGCAGATTCTACAAAAAGAGTGTTTCAAAACTGCTCTTTGCAAAGAAAGGTTCAACTCTGTCAGTAGAGGGCACACATCACAAACAAGTTGCTGAGAATGCTTCTGTCTAGTTTTTATGGGAAGATATTTCCTTTTTCACCTTAGGCCTGAAAGCAATCCAAATGTTCACTTACAGACACTACAAAAAGAGTGTTTCAAACCTGCTCTGTGAAAGGGAGTGTTCAATTCTGTGACTTGAATGCAAACATCACAAAGTAGTTTCTGACAATGCTGCTGTCTGCTTTTTATACGTATTCCCGTTTCCAACGAAATCCTCCAAGCTGGCCTAATACCCACTTGCATATTCCACAAAAAGAGTGTTTCAAAACTGCTCTCTCAAAAGAAAGGTTCAACTCTGTTTGCTGAGTAGATACATCATGAAAAAGGTTCTGACATTGCTTCTATCTAGTTTTTATTGGAAGATATCTCCTTTTTCACCGTAGACCTGAAAGCGCTCCAAATGTCCACTTCCAGATAGTACAAAAAGAGTGTTTCAAACCTGCTCTATGAAAGGGAATGTTCAACACTGGGACTTCAATTGAAACATCCCAAAGCAGTTTCTGAGAATGCTTCTGTCTAGAGTTTACATGAAGACATTCCCGTTTCCAACGAAATCCTCAAAGCTATCCAAATATCCTCTTGCAGATTTTACAAAAAGTGTGTTTCAGAACTGCTCTATCAAAACAAAGGTTCAACACTGTCAGTTGAGGGCACACATCACAAATAAGTTTCTGAGAATGCTTCTGTCTAGTTTTCATGGGAAGATATTTCCTTTTTCACCATAGGCCTGAAAGCGATCCAAATGTCCACATCCAGATACTACAAAAAGAGTGTTTCAAACCTGCTCTATGAAAGGGAATGTTCAACTCTGTGACTTGAATGCAAACATCACAAAGAAGTTTCTGAGAATGCTGCTGTCTGCTTTTTGTATGTAATCCCGTTTCCAACGAAATCCTCCCAGCTAGCCAAATATCCACTTGCAGATTCCGCAAAAAGAGTGTTTCAAAACTGCTCCTTCAAAACGATGGTTTAGTTCTGTTAGTTGAGTACATACATCACAGATAAGTTTCTGAGAATGCTTCTGTCTAGTTTTATGGGAGGATATTTCCTTTTTCAACACAAGCCTGAATGCGCTCCGAATGGACACTTCCAGATATGACAAAAGGCGTGTTTCAAACCTGCTCTCTCAAAGGGAATGTTCAACTCTGTGACTTCAATGCAAACATCACAAAGAAGTTTCTGAGAATGCTGCTGTCTGCTTTTTACATGTATTCCCGTTTCCAACGAAATCCTCAAAGCTGCCCTAATATCCACTTGCATATTCCACAAAAAGAGTGTTGCAAAACTGCTCTCTCAAAAGAAAGGTTCAACTCTGTTAGCTGAGTAGATCCATCACATAAAAGTTTCTGACATTGCTTCTATCTAGATTTTCTTGGAAGATATTTCCATTTTCACCGTCGTCCTGAAAGCGCTCCAAATGTCCACTTCCAGGGAATGCAGAAAGAGTGTTTCCAACCTGCTCTATAAAAGGGAATGTTCAACACTGGGACTTCAATCGAAACATCCCAACGAAGTTTCTGAGAATGCTTCTGTCTAGAGTTTATATGAAGCCATTCCCGTTTGCAATGAAATCCTCAAAGCTATCCAAATATCCTCTTGCAGATTTTACAAAAAGAGTGTTTCAAAACTGCTCTATCAAAAGAAAGGTTCAACTCTGTTAGTTGAGGGCACACATCACAAATAAATTTCTGAGAATGCTTCTGTCTAGTTTTTACGGGAAGATATTTCCTTTTTCACCATACGCCTGAAAGCGCTCCAAATGTCCTCATCCAGATACTACAAAAAGAGTGTTTCCAACCTGCTCTATGAAAGGGAATGCTCAACTCTGTGACTTGAATGCAGACATCACAAAGAAGTTTCTGAGAATGCTGCTGTCTCCTTTTTATATGTAATCCCGTTTCCAACGAAATCCTCAAAGCTAGCCAAATATCCACTTGCAGATTCCACGAAAACAGTGTTTCAAAACTGCTCCTTCAAAACGATGGTTCAATTCTGTTAGTTGAGCAAACACATCACAAGTAAGTTTCTGAGAATGCTTCCGTCTAGTTTTTATGGGAAGATATTTCCTTTTTCAACATAGGCCTGAAAGCGCTCCAAATGTCCACTTCCAGATACTACAAAAAGAGTGTTTCAAATCTGCTCTATGAATGGGAATGTTCTACTCTGTGACTTGAATGCAACATCCCAAAGAAGTTTCTGAGAATGCTTCTGTCTAGAGTTTATCTGAAGACATACCCGTTTCCAACGAAATCCTCAAAGCTATCCAAATATCCTCTTGCAGATTCTACAAAAAGAGTGTTTCAAAGCTGCTCTTTGCAAAGAAAGGTTCAACTCTGTCAGTAGAGGGCACACATCATGAACAAGTTTCTGAGAATGCTTCTGTCTAGTTTTTATGGGAAGTATATTTCCTTTTTCACCTTAGGCCTGAAAGCACGCCAAATGTTCACTTATAGACACTACAAAAAGAGTGTTTCAAACCTGCTCTGTGAAAGGGAATGTTCAACACTGTGACTTCAATTGAAACATCCCAAAGAAGTTTCTGAGAATGCTTCTGTCTAGAGTTTATCTGAAGACATTCCCGTTTCCCAAGAAATCCTCAAAGCTATCCAAATATCCTCTTGCAGATTCTACAAAAAGAGTGTTTCAAAACTGCTCTTTGCAAAGAAAGGTTCAACTCTGTCAGTAGAGGGCACACATCACAAACAAGTTTCTGAGAATGCTTCTGTCTAGTTTTTATGGGAAGATATTTCCTTTTTCACCTTAGGCCTGAAAGCAATCCAAATGTTCACTTACAGACACTACAAAAAGAGTGTTTCAAACCTGCTCTGTGAAAGGGAGTGTTCAGTTCTGTGACTTGAATGCAAACATCACAAAGTAGTTTCTGACAATGCTGCTGTCTGCTTTTTATACGTATTCCCGTTTCCAACGAAATCCTCCAAGCTGGCCTAATACCCACTTGCATATTCCACAAAAAGAGTGTTTCAAAACTGCTCTCTCAAAAGAAAGGTTCAACTCTGTTTGCTGAGTAGATACATCATGAAAAAAGTTCTGACATTGCTTCTATCTAGTTTTTATTGGAAGATATCTCCTTTTTCACCGTAGACCTGAAAGCGCTCCAAATGTCCACTTCCAGATAGTACAAAAAGAGTGTTTCAAACCTGCTCTATGAAAGGGAATGTTCAACAGTGGGACTTCAATTGAAACATCCCAAAGCAGTTTCTGAGAATGCTTCTGTCTAGAGTTTACATGAAGACATTCCCGTTTCCAACGAAATCCTCAAAGCTATCCAAATATCCTCTTGCAGATTTTACAAAAAGTGTGTTTCAGAACTGCTCTATCAAAACAAAGGTTCAACACTGTCAGTTGAGGGCACACATCACAAATAAGTTTCTGAGAATGCTTCTGTCTAGTTTTCATGGGAAGATATTTCCTTTTTCACCATAGGCCTGAAAGCGATCCAAATGTCCACATCCAGATACTACAAAAAGAGTGTTTCAAACCTGCTCTATGAAAGGGAATGTTCAACTCTGTGACTTGAATGCAAACATCACAAAGAAGTTTCTGAGAATGCTGCTGTCTGCTTTTTGTATGTAATCCCGTTTCCAACGAAATCCTCCCAGCTAGCCAAATATCCACTTGCAGATTCCGCAAAAAGAGTGTTTCAAAACTGCTCCTTCAAAACGATGGTTTAGTTCTGTTAGTTGAGTACATACATCACAGATAAGTTTCTGAGAATGCTTCTGTCTAGTTTTTATGGGAGGATATTTCCTTTTTCAACACAAGCCTGAATGCGCTCCGAATGGACACTTCCAGATATGACGAAAGGCGTGTTTCAAACCTGCTCTCTCAAAGGGAATGTTCAACTCTGTGACTTCAATGCAAACATCACAAAGAAGTTTCTGAGAATGCTGCTGTCTGCTTTTTACATGTATTCCCGTTTCCAACGAAATCCTCAAAGCTGCCCTAATATCCACTTGCATATTCCACAAAAAGAGTGTTGCAAAACTGCTCTCTCAAAAGAAAGGTTCAACTCTGTTAGCTGAGTAGATCCATCACATAAAAGTTTCTGACGTTGCTTCTATCTAGATTTTGCTTGGAAGATATTTCCATTTTCACCGTCGTCCTGAAAGCGCTCCAAATGTCCACTTCCAGGGAATGCAGAAAGAGTGTTTCCAACCTGCTCTATAAAAGGGAATGTTCAACACTGGGACTTCAATCGAAACATCCCAACGAAGTTTCTGAGAATGCTTCTGTCTAGAGTTTATATGAAGCCATTCCCGTTTGCAACGAAATCCTCAAAGCTATCCAAATATCCTCTTGCAGATTTTACAAAAAGAGTGTTTCAAAACTGCTCTATCAAAAGAAAGGTTCAACTCTGTTAGTTGAGGGCACACATCACAAATAAATTTCTGAGAATGCTTCTGTCTAGTTTTTACGGGAAGATATTTCCTTTTTCACCATACGCCTGAAAGCGCTCCAAATGTCCTCATCCAGATACTACAAAAAGAGTGTTTCCAACCTGCTCTATGAAAGGGAATGCTCAACTCTGTGACTTGAATGCAGACATCACAAAGAAGTTTCTGAGAATGCTGCTGTCTCCTTTTTATATGTAATCCCGTTTCCAACGAAATCCTCAAAGTTAGCCAAATATCCACTTGCAGATTCCACGAAAACAGTGTTTCAAAACTGCTCCTTCAAAACGATGGTTCAATTCTGTTAGTTGAGCAAACACATCACAAGTAAGTTTCTGAGAATGCTTCCGTCTAGTTTTTATGGGAAGATATTTCCTTTTTCAACATAGGCCTGAAAGCGCTCCAAATGTCCACTTCCAGATACTACAAAAAGAGTGTTTCAAATCTGCTCTATGAATGGGAATGTTCTACTCTGTGACTTGAATGCAACATCCCAAAGAAGTTTCTGAGAATGCTTCTGTCTAGAGTTTATCTGAAGACATACCCGTTTCCAACGAAATCCTCAAAGCTATCCAAATATCCTCTTGCAGATTCTACAAAAAGAGTGTTTCAAAGCTGCTCTTTGCAAAGAAAGGTTCAACTCTGTCAGTAGAGGGCACACATCACGAACAAGTTTCTGAGAATGCTTCTGTCTAGTTTTTATGGGAAGATATTTCCTTTTTCACGTTAGGCCTGAAAGCACGCCAAATGTTCACTTATAGACACTACAAAAAGAGTGTTTCAAACCTGCTCTGTGAAAGGGAATGTTCAACACTGTGACTTCAATTGAAACATCCCAAAGAAGTTTCTGAGAATGCTTCTGTCTAGAGTTTATCTGAAGACATTCCCGTTTCCCAAGAAATCTTCAAAGCTATCCAAATATCCTCTTGCAGATTCTACAAAAAGAGTGTTTCAAAACTGCTCTTTGCAAAGAAAGGTTCAACTCTGTCAGTAGAGGGCACACATCACGAACAAGTTTCTGAGAATGCTTCTGTCTAGTTTTTATGGGAAGATATTTCCTTTTTCACCTTAGGCCTGAAAGCAATCCAAATGTTCACTTACAGACACTACAAAAAGAGTGTTTCAAACCTGCTCTGTGAAAGGGAGTTTTCAGTTCTGTGACTTGAATGCAAACATCACAAAGTAGTTTCTGACAATGCTGCTGTCTGCTTTTTATACGTATTCCCGTTTCCAACGAAATCCTCCAAGCTGGCCTAATACCCACTTGCATATTCCACAAAAAGAGTGTTTCAAAACTGCTCTCTCAAAAGAAAGGTTCAACTCTGTTTGCTGAGTAGATACATCATGAAAAAAGTTCTGACATTGCTTCTATCTAGTTTTTATTGGAAGATATCTCCTTTTTCACCGTAGACCTGAAAGCGCTCCAAATGTCCACTTCCAGATAGTACAAAAAGAGTGTTTCAAACCTGCTCTATGAATGGGAATGTTCAACACTGGGACTTCAATTGAAACATCCCAAAGCAGTTTCTGAGAATGCTTCTGTGTAGAGTTTACATGAAGACATTCCCGTTTCCAACGAAATCCTCAAAGCTATCCAAATATCCTCTTGCAGATTTTACAAAAAGTGTGTTTCAGAACTGCTCTATCAAAACAAAGGTTCAACACTGTCAGTTGAGGGCACACATCACAAATAAGTTTCTGAGAATGCTTCTGTCTAGTTTTCATGGGAAGATATTTCCTTTTTCACCATAGGCCTGAAAGCGATCCAAATGTCCACATCCAGATACTACAAAAAGAGTGTTTCAAACCTGCTCTATGAAAGGGAATGTTCAACTCTGTGACTTGAATGCAAACATCACAAAGAAGTTTCTGAGAATGCTGCTGTCTGCTTTTTGTATGTAATCCCGTTTCCAACGAAATCCTCCCAGCTAGCCAAATATCCACTTGCAGATTCCGCAAAAAGAGTGTTTCAAAACTGCTCCTTCAAAACGATGGTTTAGTTCTGTTAGTTGAGTACATACATCACAGATAAGTTTCTGAGAATGCTTCTGTCTAGTTTTTATGGGAGGATATTTCCTTTTTCAACACAAGCCTGAATGCGCTCCGAATGGACACTTCCAGATATGACAAAAGGCGTGTTTCAAACCTGCTCTCTCAAAGGGAATGTTCAACTCTGTGACTTCAATGCAAACATCACAAAGAAGTTTCTGAGAATGCTGCTGTCTGCTTTTTACATGTATTCCCGTTTCCAACGAAATCCTCAAAGCTGCCCTAATATCCACTTGCATATTCCACAAAAAGAGTGTTGCAAAACTGCTCTCTCAAAAGAAAGGTTCAACTCTGTTAGCTGAGTAGATCCATCACAGAAAAGTTTCTGACATTGCTTCTATCTAGATTTTCTTGGAAGATATTTCCATTTTCACCGTCGTCCTGAAAGCGCTCCAAATGTCCACTTCCAGGGAATGCAGAAAGAGTGTTTCCAACCTGCTCTATAAAAGGGAATGTTCAACACTGGGACTTCAATCGAAACATCCCAACGAAGTTTCTGAGAATGCTTCTGTCTAGAGTTTATATGAAGCCATTCCCGTTTGCAACGAAATCCTCAAAGCTATCCAAATATCCTCTTGCAGATTTTACAAAAAGAGTGTTTCAAAACTGCTCTATCAAAAGAAAGGTTCAACTCTGTTAGTTGAGGGCACACATCACAAATAAACTTCTGAGAATGCTTCTGTCTAGTTTTTACGGGAAGATATTTCCTTTTTCACCATACGCCTGAAAGCGCTCCAAATGTCCTCATCCAGATACTACACAAAGAGTGTTTCCAACCTGCTCTATGAAAGGGAATGCTCAACTCCTGTGACTTGAATGCAGACATCACAAAGAAGTTTCTGAGAATGCTGCTGTCTCCTTTTTATATGTAATCCCGTTTCCAACGAAATCCTCAAAGCTAGCCAAATATCCAATTGCAGATTCCACGAAAACAGTGTTTCAAAACTGCTCCTTCAAAACGATGTTTCAATTCTGTTAGTTGAGCAAACACATCACAAGTAAGTTTCTGAGAATGCTTCCGTCTAGTTTTTATGGGAAGATATTTCCTTTTTCAACATAGGCCTGAAAGCGCTCCAAATGTCCACTTCCAGATACTACAAAAAGAGTGTTTCAAATCTGCTCTATGAATGGGAATGTTCTACTCTGTGACTTGAATGCAACATCCCAAAGAAGTTTCTGAGAATGCTTCTGTCTAGAGTTTATCTGAAGACATACCCGTTTCCAACGAAATCCTCAAAGCTATCCAAATATCCTCTGGCAGATTCTACAAAAAGAGTGTTTCAAAGCTGCTCTTTGCAAAGAAAGTTTCAACTCTGTCAGTAGAGGGCACACATCACGAACAAGTTTCTGAGAATGCTTCTGTCTAGTTTTTATGGGAAGATATTTCCTTTTTCACGTTAGGCCTGAAAGCACGCCAAATGTTCACTTATAGACACTACAAAAAGAGTGTTTCAAACCTGCTCTGTGAAAGGGAATGTTCAACACTGTGACTTCAATTGAAATATCCCAAGAAGTTTCTGAGAATGCTTCTGTCTAGAGTTTATCTGAAGACATTCCGTTTCCCAAGAAATCCTCAAAGCTATCCAAATATCCTCTTGCAGATTCTACAAAAAGAGTGTTTCAAAACTGCTCTTTGCAAAGAAAGGTTCAACTCTGTCAGTAGAGGGCACACATCACAAACAAGTTTCTGAGAATGCTTCTGTCTAGTTTTTATGGGAAGATATTTCCTTTTTCACCTTAGACCTGAAAGCAATCCATATGTTCACTTACAGACACTACAAAAAGAGTGTTTCAAACCTGCTCTGTGAAAGGGAGTGTTCAATTCTGTGACTTGAATGCAAACATCACAAAGTAGTTTCTGACAATGCTGCTGTCTGCTTTTTATACGTATTCCCGTTTCCAACGAAATCCTCCAAGCTGGCCTAATACCCACTTGCATATTCCACAAAAAGAGTGTTTCAAAACTGCTCTCTCAAAAGAAAGGTTCAACTCTGTTTGCTGAGTAGATACATCATGAAAAAAGTTCTGACATTGCTTCTATCTAGTTTTTATTGGAAGATATCTCCTTTTTCACCGTAGACCTGAAAGCGCTCCAAATGTCCACTTCCAGATAGTACAAAAAGAGTGTTTCAAACCTGCTCTATGAATGGGAATGTTCAACACTGGGACTTCAATTGAAACATCCCAAAGCAGTTTCTGAGAATGCTTCTGTCTAGAGTTTACATGAAGACATTCCCGTTTCCAACGAAATCCTCAAAGCTATCCAAATATCCTCTTGCAGATTTTACAAAAAGTGTGTTTCAGAACTGCTCTATCAAAACAAAGGTTCAACACTGTCAGTTGAGGGCACACATCACAAATAAGTTTCTGAGAATGCTTCTGTCTAGTTTTCATGGGAAGATATTTCCTTTTTCACCATAGGCCTGAAAGCGATCCAAATGTCCACATCCAGATACTACAAAAAGAGTGTTTCAAACCTGCTCTATGAAAGGGAATGTTCAACTCTGTGACTTGAATGCAAACATCACAAAGAAGTTTCTGAGAATGCTGCTGTCTGCTTTTTGTATGTAATCCCGTTTCCAACGAAATCCTCCCAGCTAGCCAAATATCCACTTGCAGATTCCGCAAAAAGAGTGTTTCAAAACTGCTCCTTCAAAACGATGCTTTAGTTCTGTTAGTTGAGTACATACATCACAGATAAGTTTCTGAGAATGCTTCTGTCTAGTTTTTCTGGGAGGATATTTCCTTTTTCAACACAAGCCTGAATGCGCTCCGAATGGACACTTCCAGATATGACAAAAGGCGTGTTTCAAACCTGCTCTCTCAAAGGGAATGTTCAACTCTGTGACTTCAATGCAAACATCACAAAGAAGTTTCTGAGAATGCTGCTGTCTGCTTTTTACATGTATTCCCGTTTCCAACGAAATCCTCAAAGCTGCCCTAATATCCACTTGCATATTCCACAAAAGGAGTGTTGCAAAACTGCTCTCTCAAAAGAAAGGTTCAACTCTGTTAGCTGAGTAGATCCATCACATAAAGTTTCTGACATTGCTTCTATCTAGATTTTCTTGGAAGATATTTCCATTTTCACCGTCGTCCAGAAAGCGCTCCAAATGTCCACTTCCAGGGAATGCAGAAAGAGTGTTTCCAACCTGCTCTATAAAAGGGAATGTTCAACACTGGGACTTCAATCGAAACATCCCAACGAAGTTTCTGAGAATGCTTCTGTCTAGAGTTTATATGAAGCCATTCCCGTTTGCAACGAAATCCTCAAAGCTATCCAAATATCCTCTTGCAGATTTTACAAAAAGAGTGTTTCAAAACTGCTCTATCAAAAGAAAGGTTCAACTCTGTTAGTTGAGGGCACACATCACAAATAAATTTCTGAGAATGCTTCTGTCTAGTTTTTACGGGAAGATATTTCCTTTTTCACCATAGGCCTGAAAGCGCTCCAAATGTCCTCATCCAGATACTACAAAAAGAGTGTTTCCAACCTACTCTATGAAAGGGAATGCTCAACTCTGTGAATTGAATGCAGACATCACAAAGAAGTTTCTGAGAATGCTGCTGTCTCCTTTTTATATGTAATCCCGTTTCCAACGAAATCCTCAAAGCTAGCCAAATATCCACTTGCAGATTCCACGAAAACAGTGTTTCAAAACTGCTCCTTCAAAACGATGGTTCAATCCTGTTAGTTGAGCAAACACATCACAAATAAGTTTCTGAGAATGCTTCCGTCTAGTTTTTATGGGAAGATATTTCCTTTTTCAACATAGGCCTGAAAGCGCTCCAAATGTCCACTTCCAGATACTACAAAAAGAGTGTTTCAAATCTGCTCTATGAATGGGAATGTTCTACTCTGTGACTTGAATGCAACATCCCAAAGAAGTTTCTGAGAATGCTTCTGTCTAGAGTTTATCTGAAGACATACCCGTTTCCAACGAAATCCTCCAAGCTATCCAAATATCCTCTTGCAGATTCTACAAAAAGAGTGTTTCAAAGCTGCTCTTTGCAAAGAAAGGTTCAACTCTGTCAGTAGAGGGGACACATCAAGAACAAGTTTCTGAGAATGCTTCTGTCTAGTTTTTATGGGAAGATATTTCCTTTTTCACGTTAGGCCTGAAAGCACGCCAAATGTTCACTTATAGACACTACAAAAAGAGTGTTTCAAACCTGCTCTGTGAAAGGGAATGTTCAACACTGTGACTTCAATTGAAACATCCCAAAGAAGTTTCTGAGAATGCTTCTGTCTAGAGTTTATCTGAAGACATTCCCGTTTCCCAAGAAATCCTCAAAGCTATCCAAATATCCTCTTGCAGATTCTACAAAAAGAGTGTTTCAAAACTGCTCTCTGCAAAGAAAGGTTCAACTCTGTCAGTAGAGGGCACACATCACAAACAAGTTTCTGAGAATGCTTCTGTCTAGTTTTTATGGGAAGATATTTCCTTTTTCACCTTAGGCCTGAAAGCAATCCAAATGTTCACTTACAGACACTACAAAAAGAGTGTTTCAAACCTGCTCTATGAAAGGGAATGTTCAACACTGGGACTTCAATTGAAACATCCCAAAGCAGTTTCTGAGAATGCTTCTGTCTAGAGTTTACATGAAGACATTCCCGTTTCCAACGAAATCCTCAAAGCTATCCAAATATCCTCTTGCAGATTTTACAAAAAGTGTGTTTCAGAACTGCTCTATCAAAACAAAGGTTCAACACTGTCAGTTGAGGGCACACATCACAAATAAGTTTCTGAGAATGCTTCTGTCTAGTTTTCATGGGAAGATATTTCCTTTTTCACCATAGGCCTGAAAGCGATCCAAATGTCCACATCCAGATACTACAAAAAGAGTGTTTCAAACCTGCTCTATGAAAGGGAATGTTCAACTCTGTGACTTGAATGCAAACATCACAAAGAAGTTTCTGAGAATGCTGCTGTCTGCTTTTTGTATGTAATCCCGTTTCCAACGAAATCCTCCCAGCTAGCCAAATATCCACTTGCAGATTCCGCAAAAAGAGTGTTTCAAAACTGCTCCTTCAAAACGATGCTTTAGTTCTGTTAGTTGAGTACATACATCACAGATAAGTTTCTGAGAATGCTTCTGTCTAGTTTTTATGGGAGGATATTTCCTTTTTCAACACAAGCCTGAATGCGCTCCGAATGGACACTTCCAGATATGACAAAAGGCGTGTTTCAAACCTGCTCTCTCAAAGGGAATGTTCAACTCTGTGACTTCAATGCAAACATCACAAAGAAGTTTCTGAGAATGCTGCTGTCTGCTTTTTACATGTATTCCCGTTTCCAACGAAATCCTCAAAGCTGCCCTAATATCCACTTGCATATTCCACAAAAAGAGTGTGGCAAAACTGCTCTCTCAAAAGAAAGCTTCAACTCTGTTAGCTGAGTAGATCCATCACATAAAAGTTTCTGACATTGCTTCTATCTAGATTTTCTTGGAAGATATTTCCATTTTCACCGTCGTCCTGAAAGCGCTCCAAATGTCCACTTCCAGGGAATGCAGAAAGAGTGTTTCCAACCTGCTCTATAAAAGGGAATGTTCAACACTGGGACTTCAATCGAAACATCCCAACGAAGTTTCTGAGAATGCTTCTGTCTAGAGTTTATATGAAGCCATTCCCGTTTGCAACGAAATCCTCAAAGCTATCCAAATATCCTCTTGCAGATTTTACAAAAAGAGTGTTTCAAAACTGCTCTATCAAAAGAAAGGTTCAACTCTGTTAGTTGAGGGCACACATCACAAATAAATTTCTGAGAATGCTTCTGTCTAGTTTTTACGGGAAGATATTTCCTTTTTCACCATACGCCTGAAAGCGCTCCAAATGTCCTCATCCAGATACTACAAAAAGAGTGTTTCCAACCTGCTCTATGAAAGGGAATGCTCAACTCTGTGACTTGAATGCAGACATCACAAAGAAGTTTCTGAGAATGCTGCTGTCTCCTTTTTATATGTAATCCCGTTTCCA
Organism: Homo sapiens; assembly: GCF_000001405.40. Taxonomy (NCBI): domain Eukaryota; kingdom Metazoa; phylum Chordata; class Mammalia; order Primates; family Hominidae; genus Homo; species Homo sapiens. The sequence continues at coordinate 26,695,843 of NC_000020.11, read as the reverse complement.
ACGAAATCCTCAAAGCTAGCCAAATATCCACTTGCAGATTCCACGAAAACAGTGTTTCAAAACTGCTCCTTCAAAACGATGGTTCAATTCTGTTAGTTGAGCAAACACATCACAAGTAAGTTTCTGAGAATGCTTCCGTCTAGTTTTTATGGGAAGATATTTCCTTTTTCAACATAGGCCTGAAAGCGCTCCAAATGTCCACTTCCAGATACTACAAAAAGAGTGTTTCAAATCTGCTCTATGAATGGGAATGTTCTACTCTGTGACTTGAATGCAACATCCCAAAGAAGTTTCTGAGAATGCTTCTGTCTAGAGTTTATCTGAAGACATACCCGTTTCCAACGAAATCCTCAAAGCTATCCAAATATCCTCTTGCAGATTCTACAAAAAGAGTGTTTCAAAGCTGCTCTTTGCAAAGAAAGGTTCAACTCTGTCAGTAGAGGGCACACATCACGAACAAGTTTCTGAGAATGCTTCTGTCTCGTTTTTATGGGAAGATATTTCCTTTTTCACGTTACGCCTGAAAGCACGCCAAATGTTCACTTATAGACACTACAAAAAGAGTGTTTCAAACCTGCTCTGTGAAAGGGAATGTTCAACACTGTGACTTCAATTGAAATATCCCAAAGAAGTTTCTCAGAATGCTTCTGTCTAGAGTTTATCTGAAGACATTCCCGTTTCCCAAGAAATCCTCAAAGCTATCCAAATATCCTCTTGCAGATTCTACAAAAAGAGTGTTTCAAAACTGGTCTTTGCAAAGAAAGGTTCAACTCTGTCAGTAGAGGGCACACATCACAAACAAGTTTCTGAGAATGCTTCTGTCTAGTTTTTATGGGAAGATATTTCCTTTTTCACCTTAGGCCTGAAAGCAATCCATATGTTCACTTACAGACACTACAAAAAGAGTGTTTCAAACCTGCTCTGTGAAAGGGAGTGTTCAATTCTGTGACTTGAATGCAAACATCACAAAGTAGTTTCTGACAATGCTGCTGTCTGCTTTTTATACGTATTCCCGTTTCCAACGAAATCCTCCAAGCTGGCCTAATACCCACTTTCATATTCCACAAAAAGAGTGTTTCAAAACTGCTCTCTCAAAAGAAAGGTTCAACTCTGTTTGCTGAGTAGATACATCATGAAAAAAGTTCTGACATTGCTTCTATCTAGTTTTTATTGGAAGATATCTCCTTTTTCACCGTAGACCTGAAAGCGCTCCAAATGTCCACTTCCAGATAGTACAAAAAGAGTGTTTCAAACCTGCTCTATGAATGGGAATGTTCAACACTGGGACTTCAATTGAAACATCCCAAAGCAGTTTCTGAGAATGCTTCTGTGTAGAGTTTACATGAAGACATTCCCGTTTCCAACGAAATCCTCAAAGCTATCCAAATATCCTCTTGCAGATTTTACAAAAAGTGTGTTTCAGAACTGCTCTATCAAAACAAAGGTTCAACACTGTCAGTTGAGGGCACACATCACAAATAAGTTTCTGAGAATGCTTCTGTCTAGTTTTCATGTGAAGATATTTCCTTTTTCACCATAGGCCTGAAAGCGATCCAAATGTCCACATCCAGATACTACAAAAAGAGTGTTTCAAACCTGCTCTATGAAAGGGAATGTTCAACTCTGTGACTTGAATGCAAACATCACAAAGAAGTTTCTGAGAATGCTGCTGTCTGCTTTTTGTATGTAATCCCGTTTCCAACGAAATCCTCCCAGCTAGCCAAATATCCACTTGCAGATTCCGCAAAAAGAGTGTTTCAAAACTGCTCCTTCAAAACGATGGTTTAGTTCTGTTAGTTGAGTACATACATCACAGATAAGTTTCTGAGAATGCTTCTGTCTAGTTTTTATGGGAGGATATTTCCTTTTTCAACACAAGCCTGAATGCGCTCCGAATGGACACTTCCAGATATGACAAAAGGCGTGTTTCAAACCTGCTCTCTCAAAGGGAATGTTCAACTCTGTGACTTCAATGCAAACATCACAAAGAAGTTTCTGAGAATGCTGCTGTCTGCTTTTTACATGTATTCCCGTTTCCAACGAAATCCTCAAAGCTGCCCTAATATCCACTTGCATATTCCACAAAAAGAGTGTTGCAAAACTGCTCTCTCAAAAGAAAGGTTCAACTCTGTTAGCTTGAGTAGATCCATCACAGAAAAGTTTCTGACGTTGCTTCTATCTAGATTTTCTTGGAAGATATTTCCATTTTCACCGTCGTCCTGAAAGCGCTCCAAATGTCCACTTCCAGGGAATGCAGAAAGAGTGTTTCCAACCTGCTCTATAAAAGGGAATGTTCAACACTGGGACTTCAATCGAAACATCCCAACGAAGTTTCTGAGAATGCTTCTGTCTAGAGTTTATATGAAGCCATTCCCGTTTGCAACGAAATCCTCAAAGCTATCCAAATATCCTCTTGCAGATTTTACAAAAAGAGTGTTTCAAAACTGCTCTATCAAAAGAAAGGTTCAACTCTGTTAGTTGAGGGCACACATCACAAATAAATTTCTGAGAATGGTTCTGTCTAGTTTTTACGGGAAGATATTTCCTTTTTCACCATAGGCCTGAAAGCGCTCCAAATGTCCTCATCCAGATACTACAAAAAGAGTGTTTCCAACCTGCTCTATGAAAGGGAATGCTCAACTCTGTGACTTGAATGCAGACATCACAAAGAAGTTTCTGAGAATGCTGCTGTCTCCTTTTTATATGTAATCCCGTTTCCAACGAAATCCTCAAAGCTAGCCAAATATCCACTTGCAGATTCCACGAAAACAGTGTTTCAAAACTGCTCCTTCAAAACGATGGTTCAATTCTGTTAGTTGAGCAAACACATCACAAGTAAGTTTCTGAGAATGCTTCCGTCTAGTTTTTATGGGAAGATATTTCCTTTTTCAACATAGGCCTGAAAGCGCTCCAAATGTCCACTTCCAGATACTACAAAAAGAGTGTTTCAAATCTGCTCTATGAATGGGAATGTTCTACTCTGTGACTTGAATGCAACATCCCAAAGAAGTTTCTGAGAATGCTTCTGTCTAGAGTTTATCTGAAGACATACCCGTTTCCAACGAAATCCTCCAAGCTATCCAAATATCCTCTTGCAGATTCTACAAAAAGAGTGTTTCAAAGCTGCTCTTTGCAAAGAAAGGTTCAACTCTGTCAGTAGAGGGCACACATCATGAACAAGTTTCTGAGAATGCTTCTGTCTAGTTTTTATGGGAAGATATTTCCTTTTTCACGTTAGGCCTGAAAGCACGCGAAATGTTCACTTATACACACTACAAAAAGAGTGTTTCAAACCTGCTCTGTGAAAGGGAATGTTCAACACTGTGACTTCAATTGAAACATCCCAAAGAAGTTTCTGAGAATGCTTCTGTCTAGAGTTTATCTGAAGACATTCCCGTTTCCCAAGAAATCTTCAAAGCTATCCAAATATCCTCTTGCAGATTCTACAAAAAGAGTGTTTCAAAACTGCTCTTTGCAAAGAAAGGTTCAACTCTGTCAGTAGAGGGCACACATCACAAACAAGTTTCTGAGAATGCTTCTGTCTAGTTTTTATGGGAAGATATTTCCTTTTTCACCTTAGGCCTGAAAGCAATCCATATGTTCACTTACAGACACTACAAAAAGAGTGTTTCAAACCTGCTCTGTGAAAGGGAGTGTTCAATTCTGTGACTTGAATGCAAACATCACAAAGTAGTTTCTGACAATGCTGCTGTCTGCTTTTTATACGTATTCCCGTTTCCAACGAAATCCTCCAAGCTGGCCTAATACCCACTTGCATATTCCACAAAAAGAGTGTTTCAAAACTGCTCTCTCAAAAGAAAGGTTCAACTCTGTTTGCTGAGTAGATACATCATGAAAAAAGTTCTGACATTGCTTCTATCTAGTTTTTATTGGAAGATATCTCCTTTTTCACCGTAGACCTGAAAGCGCTCCAAATGTCCACTTCCAGATAGTACAAAAAGAGTGTTTCAAACCTGCTCTATGAAAGGGAATGTTCAACACTGGGACTTCAATTGAAACATCCCAAAGCAGTTTCTGAGAATGCTTCTGTCTAGAGTTTACATGAAGACATTCCCGTTTCCAACGAAATCCTAAAAGCTATCCAAATATCCTCTTGCAGATTTTACAAAAAGTGTGTTTCAGAACTGCTCTATCAAAACAAAGGTTCAACACTGTCAGTTGAGGGCACACATCACAAATAAGTTTCTGAGAATGCTTCTGTCTAGTTTTCATGGGAAGATATTTCCTTTTTCACCATAGGCCTGAAAGCGATCCAAATGTCCACATCCAGATACTACAAAAAGAGTGTTTCAAACCTGCTCTATGAAAGGGAATGTTCAACTCTGTGACTTGAATGCAAACATCACAAAGAAGTTTCTGAGAATGCTGCTGTCTGCTTTTTGTATGTAATCCCGTTTCCAACGAAATCCTCCCAGCTAGCCAAATATCCACTTGCAGATTCCGCAAAAAGAGTGTTTCAAAACTGCTCCTTCAAAACGATGGTTTAGTTCTGTTAGTTGAGTACATACATCACAGATAAGTTTCTGAGAATGCTTCTGTCTAGTTTTTATGGGAGGATATTTCCTTTTTCAACACAAGCCTGAATGCGCTCCGAATGGACACTTCCAGATATGACAAAAGGCGTGTTTCAAACCTGCTCTCTCAAAGGGAATGTTCAACTCTGTGACTTCAATGCAAACATCACAAAGAAGTTTCTGAGAATGCTGCTGTCTGCTTTTTACATGTATTCCCGTTTCCAACGAAATCCTCAAAGCTGCCCTAATATCCACTTGCATATTCCACAAAAAGAGTGTTGCAAAACTGCTCTCTCAAAAGAAAGGTTCAACTCTGTTAGCTGAGTAGATCCATCACAGAAAAGTTTCTGACATTGCTTCTATCCAGATTTTATTGGAAGATATTTCCATTTTCACCGTCGTCCTGAAAGCGCTCCAAATGTCCACTTCCAGGGAATGCAGAAAGACTGTTTCCAACCTGCTCTATAAAAGGGAATGTTCAACACTGGGACTTCAATCGAAACATCCCAACGAAGTTTCTGAGAATGCTTCTGTCTAGAGTTTATATGAAGCCATTCCCGTTTGCAATGAAATCCTCAAAGCTATCCAAATATCCTCTTGCAGATTTTACAAAAAGAGTGTTTCAAAACTGCTCTATCAAAAGAAAGGTTCAACTCTGTTAGTTGAGGGCACACATCACAAATAAATTTCTGAGAATGCTTCTGTCTAGTTTTTACGGGAAGATATTTCCTTTTTCACCATACGCCTGAAAGCGCTCCAAATGTCCTCATCCAGATACTACAAAAAGAGTGTTTCCAACCTGCTCTATGAAAGGGAATGCTCAACTCTGTGAATTGAATGCAGACATCACAAAGAAGTTTCTGAGAATGCTGCTGTCTCCTTTTTATATGTAATCCCGTTTCCAACGAAATCCTCAAAGCTAGCCAAATATCCACTTGCAGATTCCACGAAAACAGTGTTTCAAAACTGCTCCTTCAAAACGATGGTTCAATCCTGTTAGTTGAGCAAACACATCACAAATAAGTTTCTGAGAATGCTTCCGTCTAGTTTTTATGGGAAGATATTTCCTTTTTCAACATAGGCCTGAAAGCGCTCCAAATGTCCACTTCCAGATACTACAAAAAGAGTGTTTCAAATCTGCTCTATGAATGGGAATGTTCTACTCTGTGACTTGCATGCAACATCCCGAAGAAGTTTCTGAGAATGCTTCTGTCTAGAGTTTATCTGAAGACATACCCGTTTCCAACGAAATCCTCCAAGCTATCCAAATATCCTCTTGCAGATTCTACAAAAAGTGTGTTTCAAAGCTGCTCTTTGCAAAGAAAGGTTCAACTCTGTCAGTAGAGGGCACACATCACGAACAAGTTTCTGAGAATGCTTCTGTCTAGTTTTTATGGGAAGATATTTCCTTTTTCACGTTAGGCCTGAAAGCACTGCCAAATGTTCACTTATAGACACTACAAAAAGAGTGTTTCAAACCTGCTCTGCGAAAGGGAATGTTCAACACTGTGACTTCAATTGAAACATCCCAAAGAAGTTTCTGAGAATGCTTCTGTCTAGAGTTTATCTGAAGACCTTCCCGTTTCCCAAGAAATCCTCAAAGCTATCCAAATATCCTCTTGCAGATTCTACAAAAAGAGTGTTTCAAAACTGCTCTTTGCAAAGAAAGTTTCAACTCTGTCAGTAGAGGGCACACATCACAAACAAGTTTCTGAGAATGCTTCTGTCTAGTTTTTATGGGAAGATATTTCCTTTTTCACCTTAGGCCTGAAAGCAATCCAAATGTTCACTTACAGACACTACAAAAAGAGTGTTTCAAACCTGCTCTGTGAAAGGGAGTGTTCAATTCTGTGACTTGAATGCAAACATCACAAAGTAGTTTCTGACAATGCTGCTGTCTGCTTTTTATACGTATTCCCGTTTCCAACGAAATCCTCCAAGCTGGCCTAATACCCACTTGCATATTCCACAAAAAGAGTGTTTCAAAACTGCTCTCTCAAAAGAAAGGTTCAACTCTGTTTGCTGAGTAGATACATCATGAAAAAAGTTCTGACATTGCTTCTATCTAGTTTTTATTGGAAGATATCTCCTTTTTCACCGTAGACCTGAAAGCGCTCCAAATGTCCACTTCCAGATAGTACAAAAAGAGTGTTTCAAACCTGCTCTATGAAAGGGAATGTTCAACACTGGGACTTCAATTGAAACATCCCAAAGCAGTTTCTGAGAATGCTTCTGTCTAGAGTTTACATGAAGACATTCCCGTTTCCAACGAAATCCTCAAAGCTATCCAAATATCCTCTTGCAGATTTTACAAAAAGTGTGTTTCAGAACTGCTCTATCAAAACAAAGGTTCAACACTGTCAGTTGAGGGCACACATCACAAATAAGTTTCTGAGAATGCTTCTGTCTAGTTTTCATGGGAAGATATTTCCTTTTTCACCATAGGCCTGAAAGCGATCCAAATGTCCACATCCAGATACTACAAAAAGAGTGTTTCAAACCTGCTCTATGAAAGGGAATGTTCAACTCTGTGACTTGAATGCAAACATCACAAAGAAGTTTCTGAGAATGCTGCTGTCTGCTTTTTGTATGTAATCCCGTTTCCAACGAAATCCTCCCAGCTAGCCAAATATCCACTTGCAGATTCCGCAAAAAGAGTGTTTCAAAACTGCTCCTTCAAAACGATGGTTTAGATCTGTTAGTTGAGTACATACATCACAGATAAGTTTCTGAGAATGCTTCTGTCTAGTTTTTATGGGAGGATATTTCCTTTTTCAACACAAGCCTGAATGCGCTCCGAATGGACACTTCCAGATATGACAAAAGGCGTGTTTCAAACCTGCTCTCTCAAAGGGAATGTTCAACTCTGTGACTTCAATGCAAACATCACAAAGAAGTTTCTGAGAATGCTGCTGTCTGCTTTTTACATGTATTCCCGTTTCCAACGAAATCCTCAAAGCTGCCCTAATATCCACTTGCATATTCCACAAAAAGAGTGTTGCAAAACTGCTCTCTCAAAAGAAAGGTTCAACTCTGTTAGCTGAGTAGATCCATCACATAAAAGTTTCTGACATTGCTTCTATCTAGATTTTCTTGGAAGATATTTCCATTTTCACCGTCGTCCTGAAAGCGCTCCAAATGTCCACTTCCAGGGAATGCAGAAAGAGTGTTTCCAACCTGCTCTATAAAAGGGAATGTTCAACACTGGGACTTCAATCGAAACATCCCAACGAAGTTTCTGAGAATGCTTCTGTCTAGAGTTTATATGAAGCCATTCCCGTTTGCAACGAAATCCTCAAAGCTATCCAAATATCCTCTTGCAGATTTTACAAAAAGAGTGTTTCAAAACTGCTCTATCAAAAGAAAGGTTCAACTCTGTTAGTTGAGGGCACACATCACAAATAAACTTCTGAGAATGCTTCTGTCTAGTTTTTACGGGAAGATATTTCCTTTTTCACCATACGCCTGAAAGCGCTCCAAATGTCCTCATCCAGATACTACAAAAAGAGTGTTTCAAACCTGCTCTATGAAAGGGAATGTTCAACACTGGGACTTCAATTGAAACATCCCAAAGCAGTTTCTGAGAATGCTTCTGTCTAGAGTTTACATGAAGACATTCCCGTTTCCAACGAAATCCTCAAAGCTATCCAAATATCCTCTTGCAGATTTTACAAAAAGTGTGTTTCAGAACTGCTCTATCAAAACAAAGGTTCAACACTGTCAGTTGAGGGCACACATCACAAATAAGTTTCTGAGAATGCTTCTGTCTAGTTTTCATGGGAAGATATTTCCTTTTTCACCATAGGCCTGAAAGCGATCCAAATGTCCACATCCAGATACTACAAAAAGAGTGTTTCAAACCTGCTCTATGAAAGGGAATGTTCAACTCTGTGACTTGAATGCAAACATCACAAAGAAGTTTCTGAGAATGCTGCTGTCTGCTTTTTGTATGTAATCCCGTTTCCAACGAAATCCTCCCAGCTAGCCAAATATCCACTTGCAGATTCCGCAAAAAGAGTGTTTCAAAACTGCTCCTTCAAAACGATGGTTTAGTTCTGTTAGTTGAGTACATACATCACAGATAAGTTTCTGAGAATGCTTCTGTCTAGTTTTTATGGGAGGATATTTCCTTTTTCAACACAAGCCTGAATGCGCTCCGAATGGACACTTCCAGATATGACAAAAGGCGTGTTTCAAACCTGCTCTCTCAAAGGGAATGTTCAACTCTGTGACTTCAATGCAAACATCACAAAGAAGTTTCTGAGAATGCTGCTGTCTGCTTTTTACATGTATTCCCGTTTCCAACGAAAACCTCAAAGCTGCCCTAATATCCACTTGCATATTCCACAAAAAGAGTGTTGCAAAACTGCTCTCTCAAAAGAAAGGTTCAACTCTGTTAGCTGAGTAGATCCATCACATAAAAGTTTCTGACATTGCTTCTATCTAGATTTTCTTGGAAGATATTTCCATTTTCACCGTCGTCCTGAAAGCGCTCCAAATGTCCACTTCCAGGGAATGCAGAAAGAGTGTTTCCAACCTGCTCTATAAAAGGGAATGTTCAACACTGGGACTTCAATCGAAACATCCCAACGAAGTTTCTGAGAATGCTTCTGTCTAGAGTTTATATGAAGCCATTCCCGTTTGCAACGAAATCCTCAAACTATCCAAATATCCTCTTGCAGATTTTACAAAAAGAGTGTTTCAAAACTGCTCTATCAAAAGAAAGGTTCAACTCTGTTAGTTGAAGGCACACATCACAAATAAATTTCTGAGAATGCTTCTGTCTAGTTTTTATGGGAAGATATTTCCTTTTTCACCTTAGGCCTGAATGCACTCCAAATGTGCACTTCCAGATACTACAAAAAGAGTGTTTCAAACCTGCTCTATGAAAGGGAATGTTCAACTCTGTGACTTGAATGCAAACATCACAGAGATGTTTCTGAGAATGCTGCTGTCTCCTTTTTATATGTAATCCCGTTTCCAACGAAATCCTCAAAGCTAGCCAAATATCCACTTGCAGATTCCACGAAAACAGTGTTTCAAAACTGCTCCTTCAAAACGATGGTTCAATTCTGTTAGTTGAGCAAACACATCACAAGTAAGTTTCTGAGAATGCTTCCGTCTAGTTTTTATGGGAAGATATTTCCTTTTTCAACATAGGCCTGAAAGCGCTCCAAATGTCCACTTCCAGATACTACAAAAAGAGTGTTTCAAATCTGCTCTATGAATGGGAATGTTCTACTCTGTGACTTGAATGCAACATCCCAAAGAAGTTTCTGAGAATGCTTCTGTCTAGAGTTTATCTGAAGACATTCCCGTTTCCCAAGAAATCCTCAAAGCTATCCAAATATCCTCTTGCAGATTCTACAAAAAGAGTGTTTCAAAACTGCTCTTTGCAAAGAAAGGTTCAACTCTGTCAGTAGAGGGCACACATCACAAACAAGTTTCTGAGAATGCTTCTGTCTAGTTTTTATGGGAAGATATTTCCTTTTTCACCTTAGGCCTGAAAGCAATCCAAATGTTCACTTACAGACACTACAAAAAGAGTGTTTCAAACCTGCTCTGTGAAAGGGAGTGTTCAATTCTGTGACTTGAATGCAAACATCACAAAGTAGTTTCTGACAATGCTGCTGTCTGCTTTTTATACGTATTCCCGTTTCCAACGAAATCCTCCAAGCTGGCCTAATACCCACTTGCATATTCCACAAAAAGAGTGTTTCAAAACTGCTCTCTCAAAAGAAAGCTTCAACTCTGTTTGCTGAGTAGATACATCATGAAAAAAGTTCTGACATTGCTTCTATCTAGTTTTTATTGGAAGATATCTCCTTTTTCACCGTAGACCTGAAAGCGCTCCAAATGTCCACTTCCAGATACTACAAAAAGAGTGTTTCAAACCTGCTCTATGAAAGGGAATGTTCAACACTGGGACTTCAATTGAAACATCCCAAAGCAGTTTCTGAGAATGCTTCTGTCTAGAGTTTACATGAAGACATTCCCGTTTCCAACGAAATCCTCAAAGCTATCCAAATATCCTCTTGCAGATTTTACAAAAAGTGTGTTTCAGAACTGCTCTATCAAAACAAAGGTTCAACACTGTCAGTTGAGGGCACACATCACAAATAAGTTTCTGAGAATGCTTCTGTCTAGTTTTCATGGGAAGATATTTCCTTTTTCACCATAGGCCTGAAAGCGATCCAAATGTCCACATCCAGATACTACAAAAAGAGTGTTTCAAACCTGCTCTATGAAAGGGAATGCTCAACTCTGTGAATTGAATGCAAACATCACAAAGAAGTTTCTGAGAATGCTGCTGTCTCCTTTTTATATGTAATCCCGTTTCCAACGAAATCCTCAAAGCTAGCCAAATATCCACTTGCAGATTCCACGAAAACAGTGTTTCAAAACTGCTCCTTCAAAACGATGGTTCAATCCTGTTAGTTGAGCAAACACATCACAAATAAGTTTCTGAGAATGCTTCCGTCTAGTTTTTATGGGAAGATATTTCCTTTTTCAACATAGGCCTGAAAGCGCTCCAAATGTCCACTTCCAGATACTACAAAAAGAGTGTTTCAAATCTGCTCTATGAATGGGAATGTTCTACTCTGTGACTTGAATGCAACATCCCAAAGAAGTTTCTGAGAATGCTTCTGTCTAGAGTTTATCTGAAGACATACCCGTTTCCAACGAAATCCTCAAAGCTATCCAAATATCCTCTTGCAGATTCTACAAAAAGTGTGTTTCAAAGCTGCTCTTTGCAAAGAAAGGTTCAACTCTGTCAGTAGAGGGCACACATCACGAACAAGTTTCTGAGAATGCTTCTGTCTAGTTTTTATGGGAAGATATTTCCTTTTTCACGTTAGGCCTGAAAGCACGCCAAATGTTCACTTATAGACACTACAAAAAGAGTGTTTCAAACCTGCTCTGTGAAAGGGAATGTTCAACACTGTGACTTCAATTGAAACATCCCAAAGAAGTTTCTGAGAATGCTTCTGTCTAGAGTTTATCTGAAGACATTCCCGTTTCCCAAGAAATCCTCAAAGCTATCCAAATATCCTCTTGCAGATTCTACAAAAAGAGTGTTTCAAAACTGCTCTTTGCAAAGAAAGGTTCAACTCTGTCAGTAGAGGGCACACATCACAAACAAGTTTCTGAGAATGCTTCTGTCTAGTTTTTATGGGAAGATATTTCCTTTTTCACCTTAGGCCTGAAAGCAATCCAAATGTTCACTTACAGACACTACAAAAAGAGTGTTTCAAACCTGCTCTGTGAAAGGGAGTGTTCAATTCTGTGACTTGAATGCAAACATCACAAAGTAGTTTCTGACAATGCTGCTGTCTGCTTTTTATACGTATTCCCGTTTCCAACGAAATCCTCCAAGCTGGCCTAATACCCAGTTGCATATTCCACAAAAAGAGTGTTTCAAAACTGCTCTCTCAAAAGAAAGGTTCAACTCTGTTTGCTGAGTAGATACATCATGGAAAAAGTTCTGACATTGCTTCTATCTAGTTTTTATTGGAAGATATCTCCTTTTTCACCGTAGACCTGAAAGCGCTCCAAATGTCCACTTCCAGATAGTACAAAAAGAGTGTTTCAAACCTGCTCTATGAATGGGAATGTTCAACACTGGGACTTCAATTGAAACATCCCAAAGCAGTTTCTGAGAATGCTTCTGTCTAGAGTTTACATGAAGACATTCCCGTTTCCAACGAAATCCTCAAAGCTATCCAAATATCCTCTTGCAGATTTTACAAAAAGTGTGTTTCAGAACTGCTCTATCAAAACAAAGGTTCAACACTGTCAGTTGAGGGCACACATCACAAATAAGTTTCTGAGAATGCTTCTGTCTAGTTTTCATGGGAAGATATTTCCTTTTTCACCATAGGCCTGAAAGCGATCCAAATGTCCACATCCAGATACTACAAAAAGAGTGTTTCCAACCTGCTCTATGAAAGGGAATGTTCAACTCTGTGACTTGAATGCAAACATCACAAAGAAGTTTCTGAGAATGCTGCTGTCTGCTTTTTCTATGTAATCCCGTTTCCAACGAAATCCTCCCAGCTAGCCAAATATCCACTTGCAGATTCCGCAAAAAGAGTGTTTCAAAACTGCTCCTTCAAAACGATGGTTTAGTTCTGTTAGTTGAGTACATACATCACAGATAAGTTTCTGAGAATGCTTCTGTCTAGTTTTTATGGGAGGATATTTCCTTTTTCAACACAAGCCTGAATGCGCTCCGAATGGACACTTCCAGATATGACAAAAGGCGTGTTTCAAACCTGCTCTCTCAAAGGGAATGTTCAACTCTGTGACTTCAATGCAAACATCACAAAGAAGTTTCTGAGAATGCTGCTGTCTGCTTTTTACATGTATTCCCGTTTCCAACGAAATCCTCAAAGCTGCCCTAATATCCACTTGCATATTCCACAAAAAGAGTGTTGCAAAACTGCTCTCTCAAAAGAAAGGTTCAACTCTGTTAGCTGAGTAGATCCATCACATAAAAGTTTCTGACATTGCTTCTATCTAGATTTTCTTGGAAGATATTTCCATTTTCACCGTCGTCCTGAAAGCGCTCCAAATGTCCACTTCCAGGGAATGCAGAAAGAGTGTTTCCAACCTGCTCTATAAAAGGGAATGTTCAACACTGGGACTTCAATCGAAACATCCCAACGAAGTTTCTGAGAATGCTTCTGTCTAGAGTTTATATGAAGCCATTCCCGTTTGCAACGAAATCCTCAAAGCTATCCAAATATCCTCTTGCAGATTTTACAAAAAGAGTGTTTCAAAACTGCTCTATCAAAAGAAAGGTTCAACTCTGTTAGTTGAGGGCACACATCACAAATAAACTTCTGAGAATGCTTCTGTCTAGTTTTTAGGGGAAGATATTTCCTTTTTCACCATACGCCTGAAAGCGCTCCAAATGTCCTCATCCAGATACTACAAAAAGAGTGTTTCCAACCTGCTCTATGAAAGGGAATGCTCAACTCTGTGAATTGAATGCAGACATCACAAAGAAGTTTCTGAGAATGCTGCTGTCTCCTTTTTATATGTAATCCCGTTTCCAACGAAATCCTCAAAGCTAGCCAAATATCCACTTGCAGATTCCACGAAAACAGTGTTTCAAAACTGCTCCTTCAAAACGATGGTTCAATCCTGTTAGTTGAGCAAACTCATCACAATTAAGTTTCTGAGAATGCTTCCGTCTAGTTTTTATGGGAAGATATTTCCTTTTTCAACATAGGCCTGAAAGCGCTCCAAATGTCCACTTCCAGATAGTACAAAAAGAGTGTTTCAAATCTGCTCTATGAATGGGAATGTTCTACTCTGTGACTTGCATGCAACATCCCAAAGAAATTTCTGAGAATGCTTCTGTCTAGAGTTTATCTGAAGACATACCCGTTTCCAACGAAATCCTCAAAACTATCCAAATATCCTCTTGCAGATTCTACAAAAAGTGTGTTTCAAAGCTGCTCTTTGAAAAGAAAGGTTCAACTCTGTCAGTAGAGGGCACACATCACGAACAAGTTTCTGAGAATGCTTCTGTCTAGTTTTTATGGGAAGATATTTCCTTTTTCACGTTAGGCCTGAAAGCACGCCAAATGGTCACTTATAGACACTACAAAAAGAGTGTTTCAAACCTGCTCTGTGAAAGGGAATGTTCAACACTGTGACTTCAATTGAAACATCCCAAAGAAGTTTCTGAGAATGCTTCTGTCTAGAGTTTATCTGAAGACATTCCCGTTTCCCAAGAAATCCTCAAAGCTATCCAAATATCCTCTTGCAGATTCTACAAAAAGAGTGTTTCAAAACTGCTCTTTGCAAAGAAAGGTTCAACTCTGTCAGTAGAGGGCACACATCACAAACAAGTTTCTGAGAATGCTTCTGTCTAGTTTTTATGGGAAGATATTTCCTTTTTCACCTTAGGCCTGAAAGCAATCCAAATGTTCACTTACAGACACTACAAAAAGAGTGTTTCAAACCTGCTCTGTGAAAGGGAGTGTTCAATTCTGTGACTTGAATGCAAACATCACAAAGTAGTTTCTGACAATGCTGCTGTCTGCTTTTTATACGTATTCCCGTTTCCAACGAAATCCTCCAAGCTGGCCTAATACCCACTTGCATATTCCACAAAAAGAGTGTTTCAAAACTGCTCTCTCAAAAGAAAGGTTCAACTCTGTTTGCTGAGTAGATACATCATGAAAAAAGTTCTGACATTGCTTCTATCTAGTTTTTATTGGAAGATATCTCCTTTTTCACCGTAGACCTGAAAGCGCTCCAAATGTCCACTTCCAGATAGTACAAAAAGAGTGTTTCAAACCTGCTCTATGAATGGGAATGTTCAACACTGGGACTTCAATTGAAACATCCCAAAGCAGTTTCTGAGAATGCTTCTGTCTAGAGTTTACATGAAGACATTCCCGTTTCCAACGAAATCCTCAAAGCTATCCAAATATCCTCTTGCAGATTTTACAAAAAGTGTGTTTCAGAACTGCTCTATCAAAACAAAGGTTCAACACTGTCAGTTGAGGGCACACATCACAAATAAGTTTCTGAGAATGCTGCTGTCTGCTTTTTGTATGTAATCCCGTTTCCAACGAAATCCTCCCAGCTAGCCAAATATCCACTTGCAGATTCCGCAAAAAAGTGTTTCAAAACTGCTCCTTCAAAACGATGGTTTAGTTCTGTTAGTTGAGTACATACATCACAGATAAGTTTCTGAGAATGCTTCTGTCTAGTTTTTATGGGAGGATATTTCCTTTTTCAACACAAGCCTGAATGCGCTCCGAATGGACACTTCCAGATATGACAAAAGGCGTGTTTCAAACCTGCTCTCTCAAAGGGAATGTTCAACTCTGTGACTTCAATGCAAACATCACAAAGAAGTTTCTGAGAATGCTGCTGTCTGCTTTTTACATGTATTCCCGTTTCCAACGAAATCCTCAAAGCTGCCCTAATATCCACTTGCATATTCCACAAAAAGAGTGTTGCAAAACTGCTCTCTCAAAAGAAAGCTTCAACTCTGTTAGCTGAGTAGATCCATCACATAAAAGTTTCTGACATTGCTTCTATCTAGATTTTCTTGGAAGATATTTCCATTTTCACCGTCGTCCTGAAAGCGCTCCAAATGTCCACTTCCAGGGAATGCAGAAAGAGTGTTTCCAACCTGCTCTATAAAAGGGAATGTTCAACACTGGGACTTCAATCGAAACATCCCAACGAAGTTTCTGAGAATGCTTCTGTCTAGAGTTTATATGAAGCCATTCCCGTTTGCAACGAAATCCTCAAAGCTATCCAAATATCCTCTTGCAGATTTTACAAAAAGAGTGTTTCAAAACTGCTCTATCAAAAGAAAGGTTCAACTCTGTTAGTTGAGGGCACACATCACAAATAAATTTCTGAGAATGCTTCTGTCTAGTTTTTACGGGAAGATATTTCCTTTTTCACCATAGGCCTGAAAGCGCTCCAAATGTCCTCATCCAGATACTACAAAAAGAGTGTTTCCAACCTGCTCTATGAAAGGGAATGCTCAACTCTGTGACTTGAATGCAGACATCACAAAGAAGTTTCTGAGAATGCTGCTGTCTCCTTTGTATATGTAATCCCGTTTCCAACGAAATCCTCAAAGCTAGCCAAATATCCACTTGCAGATTCCACGAAAACAGTGTTTCAAAACTGCTCCTTCAAAACGATGGTTCAATTCTGTTAGTTGAGCAAACACATCACAAGTAAGTTTCTGAGAATGCTTCCCGTCTAGTTTTTATGGGAAGATATTTCCTTTTTCAACATAGGCCTGAAAGCGCTCCAAATGTCCACTTCCAGATACTACAAAAAGAGTGTTTCAAATCTGCTCTATGCATGGGAATGTTCTACTCTGTGACTTGAATGCAACATCCCAAAGAAGTTTCTGAGAATGTTTCTGTCTAGAGTTTATCTGAAGTACATACCCGTTTCCAACGAAATCCTCAAAGCTATCCAAATATCCTCTTGCAGATTCTACAAAAAGAGTGTTTCAAAGCTGCTCTTTGCAAAGAAAGGTTCAACTCTGTCAGTAGAGGGCACACATCATGAACAAGTTTCTGAGAATGCTTCTGTCTAGTTTTTATGGGAAGATATTTCCTTTTTCACGTTAGGCCTGAAAGCACGCCAAATGTTCACTTATAGACACTACAAAAAGAGTGTTTCAAACCTGCTCTGTGAAAGGGAATGTTCAACACTGTGACTTCAATTGAAACGTCCCAAAGAAGTTTCTGAGTATGCTTCTGTCTAGAGTTTATCTGAAGACATTCCCGTTTCCCAAGAAATCCTCAAAGCTATCCAAATATCCTCTTGCAGATTCTACAAAAAGAGTGTTTCAAAACTGCTCTTTGCAAAGAAAGGTTCAACTCTGTCAGTAGAGGGCACACATCACAAACAAGTTTCTGAGAATGCTTCTGTCTAGTTTTTATGGGAAGATATTTCCTTTTTCACCTTAGGCCTGAAAGCAATCCAAATGTTCACTTACAGACACTACAAAAAGAGTGTTTCAAACCTGCTCTGTGAAAGGGAGTGTTCAGTTCTGTGACTTGAATGCAAACATCACAAAGTAGTTTCTGACAATGCTGCTGTCTGCTTTTTATACGTATTCCCGTTTCCAACGAAATCCTCCAAGCTGGCCTAATACCCACTTTCATATTCCACAAAAAGAGTGTTTCAAAACTGCTCTCTCAAAAGAAAGGTTCAACTCTGTTTGCTGAGTAGATACATCATGAAAAAAGTTCTGACATTGCTTCTATCTAGTTTTTATTGGAAGATATCTCCTTTTTCACCGTAGACCTGAAAGCGCTCCAAATGTCCACTTCCAGATAGTACAAAAAGAGTGTTTCAAACCTGCTCTATGAATGGGAATGTTCAACACTGGGACTTCAATTGAAACATCCCAAAGCAGTTTCTGAGAATGCTTCTGTGTAGAGTTTACATGAAGACATTCCCGTTTCCAACGAAATCCTCAAAGCTATCCAAATATCCTCTTGCAGATTTTACAAAAAGTGTGTTTCAGAACTGCTCTATCAAAACAAAGGTTCAACACTGTCAGTTGAGGGCACACATCACAAATAAGTTTCTGAGAATGCTTCTGTCTAGTTTTCATGGGAAGATATTTCCTTTTTCACCATAGGCCTGAAAGCGATCCAAATGTCCACATCCAGATACTACAAAAAGAGTGTTTCAAACCTGCTCTATGAAAGGGAATGTTCAACTCTGTGACTTGAATGCAAACATCACAAAGAAGTTTCTGAGAATGCTGCTGTCTGCTTTTTGTATGTAATCCCGTTTCCAACGAAATCCTCCCAGCTAGCCAAATATCCACTTGCAGATTCCGCAAAAAGAGTGTTTCAAAACTGCTCCTTCAAAACGATGGTTTAGTTCTGTTAGTTGAGTACATACATCACAGATAAGTTTGCTGAGAATGCTTTCTGTCTAGTTTTTATGGGAGGATATTTCCTTTTTGAACACAAACCTGAATGCGCTCCGAATGGACACTTCCAGATATGACAAAAGGCGTGTTTCAAACCTGCTCTCTCAAAGGGAATGTTCAACTCTGTGACTTCAATGCAAACATCACAAAGAACTTTCTGAGAATGCTGCTGTCTGCTTTTTACATGTATTCCCGTTTCCAACGAAATCCTCAAAGCTGCCCTAATATCCACTTGCATATTCCACAAAAAGAGTGTTGCAAAACTGCTCTCTCAAAAGAAAGGTTCAACTCTGTTAGCTGAGTAGATCCATCACAGAAAAGTTTCTGACGTTGCTTCTATCTAGATTTTCTTGGAAGATATTTCCATTTTCACCGTCGTCCTGAAAGCGCTCCAAATGTCCACTTCCAGGGAATGCAGAAAGAGTGTTTCCAACCTGCTCTATAAAAGGGAATGTTCAACACTGGGACTTCAATCGAAACATCCCAACGAAGTTTCTGAGAATGCTTCTGTCTAGAGTTTATATGAAGCCATTCCCGTTTGCAACGAAATCCTCAAAGCTATCCAAATATCCTCTTGCAGATTTTACAAAAAGAGTGTTTCAAAACTGCTCTATCAAAAGAAAGGTTCAACTCTGTTAGTTGAGGGCACACATCACAAATAAATTTCTGAGAATGCTTCTGTCTAGTTTTTACGGGAAGATATTTCCTTTTTCACCATAGGCCTGAAAGCGCTCCAAATGTCCTCATCCAGATACTACAAAAAGAGTGTTTCCAACCTGCTCTATGAAAGGGAATGCTCAACTCTGTGACTTGAATGCAGACATCACAAAGAAGTTTGCTGAGAATGCTGCTGTCTCCTTTGTATATGTAATCCCGTTTCCAACGAAATCCTCAAAGCTAGCCAAATATCCACTTGCAGATTCCACGAAAACAGTGTTTCAAAACTGCTCCTTCAAAACGATGGTTCAATTCTGTTAGTTGAGCAAACACATCACAAGTAAGTTTCTGAGAATGCTTCCGTCTACTTTTTATGGGAAGATATTTCCTTTTTCAACATAGGCCTGAAAGCGCTCCAAATGTCCACTTCCAGATACTACAAAAAGAGTGTTTCAAATCTGCTCTATGAATGGGAATGTTCTACTCTGTGACTTGAATGCAACATCCCAAAGAAGTTTCTGAGAATGCTTCTGTCTAGAGTTTATCTGAAGACATACCCGTTTCCAACGAAATCCTCAAAGCTATCCAAATATCCTCTTGCAGATTCTACAAAAAGAGTGTTTCAAAGCTGCTCTTTGCAAAGAAAGGTTCAACTCTGTCAGTAGAGGGCACACATCATGAACAAGTTTCTGAGAATGCTTCTGTCTAGTTTTTATGGGAAGATATTTCCTTTTTCACGTTAGGCCTGAAAGCACGCCAAATGTTCACTTATAGACACTACAAAAAGAGTGTTTCAAACCTGCTCTGTGAAAGGGAATGTTCAACACTGTGACTTCAATTGAAACATCCCAAAGAAGTTTCTGAGAATGCTCTGTCTAGAGTTTATCTGAAGACATTCCCGTTTCCCAAGAAATCCTCAAAGCTATCCAAATATCCTCTTGCAGATTCTACAAAAAGAGTGTTTCAAAACTGGTCTTTGCAAAGAAAGGTTCAACTCTGTCAGTAGAGGGCACACATCACAAACAAGTTTCTGAGAATGCTCTCTGTCTAGTTTTTATGGGAAGATATTTCTTTTTTCACCTTAGGCCTGAAATCAATCCAAATGTTCACTTACAGACACTACAAAAAGAGTGTTTCAAACCTGCTCTGTGAAAGGGAGTGTTCAATTCTGTGACTTGAATGCAAACATCACAAAGTAGTTTCTGACAATGCTGCTGTCTGCTTTTTATACGTATTCCCGTTTCCAACGAAATCCTCCAAGCTGGCCTAATACCCACTTGCATATTCCACAAAAAGAGTGTTTCAAAACTGCTCTCTCAAAAGAAAGGTTCAACTCTGTTTGCTGAGTAGATACATCATGAAAAAAGTTCTGACATTGCTTCTATCTAGTTTTTATTGGAAGATATCTCCTTTTTCACCGTAGACCTGAAAGCCCTCCAAATGTCCACTTCCAGATACTACAAAAAGAGTGTTTCAAACATGCTCTATGAATGGGAATGTTCAACACTGGGACTTCAATTGAAACATCCCAAAGCAGTTTCTGAGAATGCTTCTGTCTAGAGTTTACATGAAGACATTCCCGTTTCCAACGAAATCCTCAAAGCTATCCAAATATCCTCTTGCAGATTTTACAAAAAGTGTGTTTCAGAACTGCTCTATCAAAACAAAGGTTCAACACTGTCAGTTGAGGGCACACATCACAAATAAGTTTCTGAGAATGCTTCTGTCTAGTTTTCATGGGAAGATATTTCCTTTTTCACCATAGGCCTGAAAGCGATCCAAATGTCCACATCCAGATACTACAAAAAGAGTGTTTCAAACCTGCTCTATGAAAGGGAATGTTCAACTCTGTGACTTGAATGCAAACATCACAAAGAAGTTTCTGAGAATGCTGCTGTCTGCTTTTTGTATGTAATCCCGTTTCCAACGAAATCCTCCCAGCTAGCCAAATATCCACTTGCAGATTCCGCAAAAAGAGTGTTTCAAAACTGCTCCTTCAAAACGATGGTTTAGTTCTGTTAGTTGAGTACATACATCACAAATAAGTTTCTGAGAATGCTTCTGTCTAGTTTTTATGGGAGGATATTTCCTTTTTCAACACAAGCCTGAATGCGCTCCGAATGGACACTTCCAGATATGACAAAAGGCGTGTTTCAAACCTGCTCTCTCAAAGGGAATGTTCAACTCTGTGACTTCAATGCAAACATCACAAAGAAGTTTCTGAGAATGCTGCTGTCTGCTTTTTACATGTATTCCCGTTTCCAACGAAATCCTCAAAGCTGCCCTAATATCCACTTGCATATTCCACAAAAAGAGTGTTGCAAAACTGCTCTCTCAAAAGAAAGGTTCAACTCTGTTAGCTGAGTAGATCCATCACAGAAAAGTTTCTGACGTTGCTTCTATCTAGATTTTCTTGGAAGATATTTCCATTTTCACCGTCGTCCTGAAAGCGCTCCAAATGTCCACTTCCAGGGAATGCAGAAAGAGTGTTTCCAACCTGCTCTATAAAAGGGAATGTTCAACACTGGGACTTCAATCGAAACATCCCAACGAAGTTTCTGAGAATGCTTCTGTCTAGAGTTTATATGAAGCCATTCCCGTTTGCAACGAAATCCTCAAAGCTATCCAAATATCCTCTTGCAGATTTTACAAAAAGAGTGTTTCAAAACTGCTCTATCAAAAGAAAGGTTCAACTCTGTTAGTTGAGGGCACACATCACAAATAAATTTCTGAGAATGCTTCTGTCTAGTTTTTACGGGAAGATATTTCCTTTTTCACCATAGGCCTGAAAGCGCTCCAAATGTCCTCATCCAGATACTACAAAAAGAGTGTTTCCAACCTGCTCTATGAAAGGGAATGCTCAACTCTGTGACTTGAATGCAGACATCACAAAGAAGTTTCTGAGAATGCTGCTGTCTCCTTTTTATATGTAATCCCGTTTCCAACGAAATCCTCAAAGCTAGCCAAATATCCACTTGCAGATTCCACGAAAACAGTGTTTCAAAACTGCTCCTTCAAAACGATGGTTCAATTCTGTTAGTTGAGCAAACACATCACAAGTAAGTTTCTGAGAATGCTTCCGTCTAGTTTTTATGGGAAGATATTTCCTTTTTCAACATAGGCCTGAAAGCGCTCCAAATGTCCACTTCCAGATACTACAAAAAGAGTGTTTCAAATCTGCTCTATGAATGGGAATGTTCTACTCTGTGACTTGAATGCAACATCCCAAAGAAGTTTCTGAGAATGCTTCTGTCTAGAGTTTATCTGAAGACATACCCGTTTCCAACGAAATCCTCCAAGCTATCCAAATATCCTCTTGCAGATTCTACAAAAAGAGTGTTTCAAAGCTGCTCTTTGCAAAGAAAGGTTCAACTCTGTCAGTAGAGGGCACACATCACGAACAAGTTTCTGAGAATGCTTCTGTCTAGTTTTTATGGGAAGATATTTCCTTTTTCACGTTAGGCCTGAAAGCACGCCAAATGTTCACTTATAGACACTACAAAAAGAGTGTTTCAAACCTGCTCTGTGAAAGGGAATGTTCAACACTGTGACTTCAATTGAAACATCCCAAAGAAGTTTCTGAGAATTCTTCTGTCTAGAGTTTATCTGAAGACATTCCCGTTTCCCAAGAAATCCTCAAAGCTATCCAAATATCCTCTTGCAGATTCTACAAAAAGAGTGTTTCAAAACTGCTCTTTGCAAAGAAAGGTTCAACTCTGTCAGTAGAGGGCACACATCACAAACAAGTTTCTGAGAATGCTTCTGTCTAGTTTTTATGGGAAGACATTTCCTTTTTCACCTTAGGCCTGAAAGCAATCCAAATGTTCACTTACAGACACTACAAAAAGAGTGTTTCAAACCTGCTCTGTGAAAGGGAGTGTTCAATTCTGTGACTTGAATGCAAACATCACAAAGTAGTTTCTGACAATGCTGCTGTCTGCTTTTTATACGTATTCCCGTTTCCAACGAAATCCTCCAAGCTGGCCTAATACCCACTTGCATATTCCACAAAAAGAGTGTTTCAAAACTGCTCTCTCAAAAGAAAGGTTCAACTCTGTTTGCTGAGTAGATACATCATGAAAAAAGTTCTGACATTGCTTCTATCTAGTTTTTATTGGAAGATATCTCCTTTTTCACCGTAGACCTGAAAGCGCTCCAAATGTCCACTTCCAGATAGTACAAAAAGAGTGTTTCAAACCTGCTCTATGAAAGGGAATGTTCAACACTGGGACTTCAATTGAAACATCCCAAAGCAGTTTCTGAGAATGCTTCTGTCTAGAGTTTACATGAAGACATTCCCGTTTCCAACGAAATCCTCAAAGCTATCCAAATATCCTCTTGCAGATTTTACAAAAAGTGTGTTTCAGAACTGCTCTATCAAAACAAAGGTTCAACACTGTCAGTTGAGGGCACACATCACAAATAAGTTTCTGAGAATGCTTCTGTCTAGTTTTCATGGGAAGATATTTCCTTTTTCACCATAGGCCTGAAAGCGATCCAAATGTCCACATCCAGATACTACAAAAAGAGTGTTTCAAACCTGCTCTATGAAAGGGAATGTTCAACTCTGTGACTTGAATGCAAACATCACAAAGAAGTTTCTGAGAATGCTGCTGTCTGCTTTTTGTATGTAATCCCGTTTCCAACGAAATCCTCCCAGCTAGCCAAATATCCACTTGCAGATTCCGCAAAAAGAGTGTTTCAAAACTGCTCCTTCAAAAGGATGGTTTAGTTCTGTTAGTTGAGTACATACATCACAGATAAGTTTCTGAGAATGCTTCTGTCTAGTTTTTATGGGAGGATATTTCCTTTTTCAACACAAGCCTGAATGCGCTCCGAATGGACACTTCCAGATATGACAAAAGGCGTGTTTCAAACCTGCTCTCTCAAAGGGAATGTTCAACTCTGTGACTTCAATGCAAACATCACAAAGAAGTTTCTGAGAATGCTGCTGTCTGCTTTTTACATGTATTCCCGTTTCCAACGAAATCCTCAAAGCTGCCCTAATATCCACTTGCATATTCCACAAAAAGAGTGTTGCAAAACTGCTCTCTCAAAAGAAAGGTTCAACTCTGTTAGCTGAGTAGATCCATCACAGAAAAGTTTCTGACGTTGCTTCTATCTAGATTTTCTTGGAAGATATTTCCATTTTCACCGTCGTCCTGAAAGCGCTCCAAATGTCCACTTCCAGGGAATGCAGAAAGAGTGTTTCCAACCTGCTCTATAAAAGGGAATGTTCAACACTGGGACTTCAATCGAAACATCCCAACGAAGTTTCTGAGAATGCTTCTGTCTAGAGTTTATATGAAGCCATTCCCGTTTGCAACGAAATCCTCAAAGCTATCCAAATATCCTCTTGCAGATTTTACAAAAAGAGTGTTTCAAAACTGCTCTATCAAAAGAAAGGTTCAACTCTGTTAGTTGAGGGCACACATCACAAATAAATTTCTGAGAATGCTTCTATCTAGTTTTTATGGGAAGATATTTCTTTTTTCACCATAGGCCTCAAAGCGACCCAAATGTCCACTTCCAGATACCACAAAAAGAGTGTCTCAAACCTGCTCTATGAAAGAGAATGTTCAACTCTGTGACTTGAATGCAAACATCCCAAAGATGTTTCTGAGAATGCTGCTGTCTGCTTTTTGTATGTAATCCCGTTTCCAACGAAATCCTCAAAGCTAGCCAAATATCCACTTGCAGATTCCACGAAAACAGTGTTTCAAAACTGCTCCTTCAAAACGATGGTTCAATCCTGTTAGTTGAGCAAACACATCACAAATAAGTTTCTGAGAATGCTTCCGTCTAGTTTTTATGGGAAGATATTTCCTTTTTCAACATAGGCCTGAAAGCGCTCCAAATGTCCACTTCCAGATACTACAAAAAGAGTGTTTCAAATCTGCTCTATGAATGGGAATGTTCTACTCTGTGACTTGAATGCAACATCCCAAAGAAGTTTCTGAGAATGCTTCTGTCTAGAGTTTATCTGAAGACATACCCGTTTCCAACGAAATCCTCCAAGCTATCCAAATATCCTCTTGCAGATTCTACAAATGTGTGTTTCAAAGCTGCTCTTTGCAAAGAAAGGTTCAACTCTGTCAGTAGAGGGCACACATCACGAACAAGTTTCTGAGAATGCTTCTGTCTAGTTTTTATGGGAAGATATTTCCTTTTTCACGTTAGGCCTGAAAGCACGCCAAATGTTCACTTATAGACACTACAAAAAGAGTGTTTCAAACCTGCTCTGTGAAAGGGAATGTTCAACACTGTGACTTCAATTGAAACATCCCAAAGAAGTTTCTGAGAATGCTTCTGTCTAGAGTTTATCTGAAGACATTCCCGTTTCCCAAGAAATCCTCAAAGCTATCCAAATATCCTCTTGCAGATTCTACAAAAAGAGTGTTTCAAAACTGCTCTTTGCAAAGAAAGGTTCAACTCTGTCAGTAGAGGGCACACATCACAAACAAGTTTCTGAGAATGCTTCTGTCTAGTTTTTATGGGAAGATATTTCCTTTTTCACCTTACGCCTGAAAGCAATCCAAATGTTCACTTACAGACACTACAAAAAGAG
Organism: Homo sapiens; assembly: GCF_000001405.40. Classification (NCBI taxonomy): domain Eukaryota; kingdom Metazoa; phylum Chordata; class Mammalia; order Primates; family Hominidae; genus Homo; species Homo sapiens. Next base: position 26,670,633 of record NC_000020.11, on the reverse strand, counting down.
TGTTTCAAACCTGCTCTGTGAAAGGGAGTGTTCAATTCTGTGACTTGAATGCAAACATCACAAAGTAGTTTCTGACAATTCTGCTGTCTGCTTTTTATACGTATTCCCGTTTCCAACGAAATCCTCCAAGCTGGCCTAATACCCACTTGCATATTCCACAAAAAGAGTGTTTCAAAACTGCTCTCTCAAAAGAAAGGTTCAACTCTGTTTGCTGAGTAGATACATCATGAAAAAAGTTCTGACATTGCTTCTATCTAGTTTTTATTGGAAGATATCTCCTTTTTCACCGTAGACCTGAAAGCGCTCCAAATGTCCACTTCCAGATAGTACAAAAAGAGTGTTTCAAACCTGCTCTATGAATGGGAATGTTCAACACTGGGACTTCAATTGAAACATCCCAAAGCAGTTTCTGAGAATGCTTCTGTCTAGAGTTTACATGAAGACATTCCCGTTTCCAACGAAATCCTCAAAGCTATCCAAATATCCTCTTGCAGATTTTACAAAAAGTGTGTTTCAGAACTGCTCTATCAAAACAAAGGTTCAACACTGTCAGTTGAGGGCACACATCACAAATAAGTTTCTGAGAATGCTTCTGTCTAGTTTTCATGGGAAGATATTTCCTTTTTCACCATAGGCCTGAAAGCGATCCAAATGTCCACATCCAGATACTACAAAAAGAGTGTTTCAAACCTGCTCTATGAAAGGGAATGTTCAACTCTGTGACTTGAATGCAAACATCACAAAGAAGTTTCTGAGAATGCTGCTGTCTGCTTTTTGTATGTAATCCCGTTTCCAACGAAATCCTCCCAGCTAGCCAAATATCCACTTGCAGATTCCGCAAAAAGAGTGTTTCAAAACTGCTCCTTCAAAACGATGGTTTAGTTCTGTTAGTTGAGTACATACATCACAGATAAGTTTCTGAGAATGCTTCTGTCTAGTTTTTATGGGAGGATATTTCCTTTTTCAACACAAGCCTGAATGCGCTCCGAATGGACACTTCCAGATATGACAAAAGGCGTGTTTCAAACCTGCTCTCTCAAAGGGAATGTTCAACTCTGTGACTTCAATGCAAACATCACAAAGAAGTTTCTGAGAATGCTGCTGTCTCCTTTTTACATGTATTCCCGTTTCCAACGAAATCCTCAAAGCTGCCCTAATATCCACTTGCATATTCCACAAAAAGAGTGTTGCAAAACTGCTCTCTCAAAAGAAAGGTTCAACTGCTGTTAGCTGAGTAGATCCATCACATAAAAGTTTCTGACGTTGCTTCTATCTAGATTTTCTTGGAAGATATTTCCATTTTCACCGTCGTCCTGAAAGCGCTCCAAATGTCCACTTCCAGGGAATGCAGAAAGAGTGTTTCCAACCTGCTCTATAAAAGGGAATGTTCAACACTGGGACTTCAATCGAAACATCCCAACGAAGTTTCTGAGAATGCTTCTGTCTAGAGTTTATATGAAGCCATTCCCGTTTGCAATGAAATCCTCAAAGCTATCCAAATATCCTCTTGCAGATTTTACAAAAAGAGTGTTTCAAAACTGCTCTATCAAAAGAAAGGTTCAACTCTGTTAGTTGAGGGCACACATCACAAATAAATTTCTGAGAATGCTTCTGTCTAGTTTTTACGGGAAGATATTTCCTTTTTCACCATACGCCTGAAAGCGCTCCAAATGTCCTCATCCAGATACTACAAAAAGAGTGTTTCCAACCTGCTCTATGAAAGGGAATGCTCAACTCTGTGACTTGAATGCAGACAGCACAAAGAAGTTTCTGAGAATGGTGCTGTCTCCTTTTTATATGTAATCCCGTTTCCAACGAAATCCTCAAAGCTAGCCAAATATCCACTTGCAGATTCCACGAAAACAGTGTTTCAAAACTGCTCCTTCAAAACGATGGTTCAATTCTGTTAGTTGAGCAAACACATCACAAGTAAGTTTCTGAGAATGCTTCCGTCTAGTTTTTATGGGAAGATATTTCCTTTTTCAACATAGGCCTGAAAGCGCTCCAAATGTCCACTTCCAGATACTACAAAAAGAGTGTTTCAAATCTGCTCTATGAATGGGAATGTTCTACTCTGTGACTTGAATGCAACATCCCAAAGAAGTTTCTGAGAATGCTTCTGTCTAGAGTTTATCTGAAGACATCCCCGTTTCCAACGAAATCCTCAAAGCTATCCAAATATCCTCTTGCAGATTCTACAAAAAGAGTGTTTCAAAGCTGCTCTTTGCAAAGAAAGGTTCAACTCTGTCAGTAGAGGGCACACATCACGAACAAGTTTCTCAGAATGCTTCTGTCTAGTTTTTATGGGAAGATATTTCCTTTTTCACGTTTGGCCTGAAATCACGCCAAATGTTCACTTATAGACACTACAAAAAGAGTGTTTCAAACCTGCTCTGTGAAAGGGAATGTTCAACCCTGTGACTTCAATTGAAACATCCCAAAGAAGTTTCTGAGAATGCTTCTGTCTAGAGTTTATCTGAAGACATTCCCGTTTCCCAAGAAATCCTCAAAGCTATCCAAATATCCTCTTGCAGATTCTACAAAAAGAGTGTTTCAAAACTGCTCTTTGCAAAGAAAGGTTCAACTCTGTCAGTAGAGGGCACACATCACAAACAAGTTTCTGAGAATGCTTCTGTCTAGTTTTTATGGGAAGATATTTCCTTTTTCACCTTAGGCCTGAAAGCAATCCAAATGTTCACTTACAGACACTACAAAAAGAGTGTTTCAAACCTGCTCTGTGAAAGGGAGTGTTCAATTCTGTGACTTGAATGCAAACATCACAAAGTAGTTTCTGACAATGCTGCTGTCTGCTTTTTATACGTATTACCGTTTCCAACGAAATCCTCCAAGCTGGCCTAATACCCACTTGCATATTCCACAAAAATAGTGTTTCAAAACTGCTCCCTCAAAAGAAAGGTTCAACTCTGTTTGCTGAGTAGATACATCATGAAAAAAGTTCTGACATTGCTTCTATCTAGTTTTTATTGGAAGATATCTCCTTTTTCACCGTAGACCTGAAAGCGCTCCAAATGTCCACTTCCAGATAGTACAAAAAGAGTGTTTCAAACCTGCTCTATGAATGGGAATGTTCAACACTGGGACTTCAATTGAAACATCCCAAAGCAGTTTCTGAGAATGCTTCTGTCTAGAGTTTACATGAAGACATTCCCGTTTCCAACGAAATCCTCAAAGCTATCCAAATATCCTCTTGCAGATTTTACAAAAAGTGTGTTTCAGAACTGCTCTATCAAAACAAAGGTTCAACACTGTCAGTTGAGGGCACACATCACAAATAAGTTTCTGAGAATGCTTCTGTCTAGTTTTCATGGGAAGATATTTCCTTTTTCACCGTCGGCCTGAAAGCGATCCAAATGTCCACATCCAGATACTACAAAAAGAGTTTTTCAAACCTGCTCTATGAAAGGGAATGTTCAACTCTGCGACTTGAATGCAAACATCACAAAGAAGTTTCTGAGAATGCTGCTGTCTCCTTTTTATATGTAATCCCGTTTCCAACGAAATCCTCAAGCTAGCCAAATATCCACTTGCAGATTCCACGAAAACAGTGTTTCAAAACTGCTCCTTCAAAACGATGGTTCAATTCTGTTAGTTGAGCAAACACATCACAAGTAAGTTTCTGAGAATGCTTCCGTCTAGTTTTTATGGGAAGATATTTCCTTTTTCAACATAGGCCTGAAAGCGCTCCAAATGTCCACTTCCAGATACTACAAAAAGAGTGTTTCAAATCTGCTCTATGAATGGGAATGTTCTACTCTGTGACTTGAATGCAACATCCCAAAGAAGTTTCTGAGAATGCTTCTGTCTAGAGTTTATCTGAAGACATACCCGTTTCCAACGAAATCCTCAAAGCTATCCAAATATCCTCTTGCAGATTCTACAAAAAGAGTGTTTCAAAGCTGCTCTTTGCAAAGAAAGGTTCAACTCTGTCAGTAGAGGGCACACATCACGAACAAGTTTCTGAGAATGCTTCTGTCTCGTTTTTATGGGAAGATATTTCCTTTTTCACGTTAGGCCTGAAAGCACGCCAAATGTTCACTTATAGACACTACAAAAAGAGTGTTTCAAACCTGCTCTGTGAAAGGGAATGTTCAACACTGTGACTTCAATTGAAACATCCCAAAGAAGTTTCTCAGAATGCTTCTGTCTAGAGTTTATCTGAAGACATTCCCGTTTCCCAAGAAATCCTCAAAGCTATCCAAATATCCTCTTGCAGATTCTACAAAAAGAGTGTTTCAAAACTGGTCTTTGCAAAGAAAGGTTCAACTCTGTCAGTAGAGGGCACACATCACAAACAAGTTTCTGAGAATGCTTCTGTCTAGTTTTTATGGGAAGATATTTCCTTTTTCACCTTAGGCCTGAAAGCAATCCATATGTTCACTTACAGACACTACAAAAAGAGTGTTTCAAACCTGCTCTGTGAAAGGGAGTGTTCAATTCTGTGACTTGAATGCAAACATCACAAAGTAGTTTCTGACAATGCTGCTGTCTGCTTTTTATACGTATTCCCGTTTCCAACGAAATCCTCCAAGCTGGCCTAATACCCACTTGCATATTCCACAAAAAGAGTGTTTCAAAACTGCTCTCTCAAAAGAAAGGTTCAACTCTGTTTGCTGAGTAGATACATCATGAAAAAAGTTCTGACATTGCTTCTATCTAGTTTTTATTGGAAGATATCTCCTTTTTCACCGTAGACCTGAAAGCGCTCCAAATGTCCACTTCCAGATAGTACAAAAAGAGTGTTTCAAACCTGCTCCTATGAAAGGGAATGTTCAACACTGGGACTTCAATTGAAACATCCCAAAGCAGTTTCTGAGAATGCTTCTGTCCAGAGTTTACATGAAGACATTCCCGTTTCCAACGAAATCCTCAAAGCTATCCAAATATCCTCTTGCAGATTTTACAAAAAGTGTGTTTCAGAACTGCTCTATCAAAACAAAGGTTCAACACTGTCAGTTGAGGGCACACATCACAAATAAGTTTCTGAGAATGCTTCTGTCTAGTTTTCATGGGAAGATATTTCCTTTTTCACCATAGGCCTGAAAGCGATCCAAATGTCCACATCCAGATACTACAAAAAGAGTGTTTCAAACCTGCTCTATGAAAGGGAATGTTCAACTCTGTGACTTGAATGCAAACATCACAAAGAAGTTTCTGAGAATGCTGCTGTCTGCTTTTTGTATGTAATCCCGTTTCCAACGAAATCCTCCCAGCTAGCCAAATATCCACTTGCAGATTCCGCACAAAGAGTGTTTCAAAACTGCTCCTTCAAAACGATGGTTTAGTTCTGTTAGTTGAGTACATACATCACAGATAAGTTTCTGAGAATGCTTCTGTCTAGTTTTTATGGGAGGATATTTTCCTTTTTCAACACAAGCCTGAATGCGCTCCGAATGGACACTTCCAGATATGACAAAAGGCGTGTTTCAAACCTGCTCTCTCAAAGGGAATGTTCAACTCTGTGACTTCAATGCAAACATCACAAAGAAGTTTCTGAGAATGCTGCTGTCTGCTTTTTACATGTATTCCCGTTTCCAACGAAATCCTCAAAGCTGCCCTAATATCCACTTGCATATTCCACAAAAAGAGTGTTGCAAAACTGCTCTCTCAAAAGAAAGGTTCAACTCTGTTAGCTGAGTAGATCCATCACATAAAAGTTTCTGACGTTGCTTCTATCTAGATTTTCTTGGAAGATATTTCCATTTTCACCGTCGTCCTGAAAGCGCTCCAAATGTCCACTTCCAGGGAATGCAGAAAGAGTGTTTCCAACCTGCTCTATAAAAGGGAATGTTCAACACTGGGACTTCAATCGAAACATCCCAACGAAGTTTCTGAGAATGCTTCTGTCTAGAGTTTATATGAAGCCATTCCCGTTTGCAACGAAATCCTCAAAGCTATCCAAATATCCTCTTGCAGATTTTACAAAAAGAGTGTTTCAAAACTGCTCTATCAAAAGAAAGGTTCAACTCTGTTAGTTGAGGGCACACATCACAAATAAATTTCTGAGAATGCTTCTGTCTAGTTTTTACGGGAAGATATTTCCTTTTTCACCATACGCCTGAAAGCGCTCCAAATGTCCTCATCCAGATACTACAAAAAGAGTGTTTCCAACCTGCTCTATGAAAGGGAATGCTCAACTCTGTGACTTGAATGCAGACATCACAAAGAAGTTTCTGAGAATGCTGCTGTCTCCTTTTTATATGTAATCCCGTTTCCAACGAAATCCTCAAAGCTAGCCAAATATCCACTTGCAGATTCCACGAAAACAGTGTTTCAAAACTGCTCCTTCAAAACGATGGTTCAATTCTGTTAGTTGAGCAAACACATCACAAGTAAGTTTCTGAGAATGCTTCCGTCTAGTTTTTATGGGAAGATATTTCCTTTTTCAACATAGGCCTGAAAGCGCTCCAAATGTCCACTTCCAGATACTACAAAAAGAGTGTTTCAAATCTGCTCTATGAATGGGAATGTTCTACTCTGTGACTTGAATGCAACATCCCAAAGAAGTTTCTGAGAATGCTTCTGTCTAGAGTTTATCTGAAGACATACCCGTTTCCAACGAAATCCTCCAAGCTATCCAAATATCCTCTTGCAGATTCTACAAAAAGAGTGTTTCAAAGCTGCTCTTTGCAAAGAAAGGTTCAACTCTGTCAGTAGAGGGCACACATCATGAACAAGTTTCTGAGAATGCTTCTGTCTAGTTTTTATGGGAAGATATTTCCTTTTTCACGTTAGGCCTGAAAGCACGCCAAATGTTCACTTATAGACACTACAAAAAGAGTGTTTCAAACCTGCTCTGTGAAAGGGAATGTTCAACACTGTGACTTCAATTGAAACATCCCAAAGAAGTTTCTGAGAATGCTTCTGTCTAGAGTTTATCTGAAGACATTCCCGTTTCCCAAGAAATCTTCAAAGCTATCCAAATATCCTCTTGCAGATTCTACAAAAAGAGTGTTTCAAAACTGCTCTTTGCAAAGAAAGGTTCAACTCTGTCAGTAGAGGGCACACATCACAAACAAGTTTCTGAGAATGCTTTCTGTCTAGTTTTTATGGGAAGATATTTCCTTTTTCACCTTAGGCCTGAAAGCAATCCATATGTTCACTTACAGACACTACAAAAAGAGTGTTTCAAACCTGCTCTGTGAAAGGGAGTGTTCAATTCTGTGACTTGAATGCAAACATCACAAAGTAGTTTCTGACAATGCTGCTGTCTGCTTTTTATACGTATTCCCGTTTCCAACGAAATCCTCCAAGCTGGCCTAATACCCACTTGCATATTCCACAAAAAGAGTGTTTCAAAACTGCTCTCTCAAAAGAAAGGTTCAACTCTGTTTGCTGAGTAGATACATCATGAAAAAAGTTCTGACATTGCTTCTATCTAGTTTTTATTGGAAGATATCTCCTTTTTCACCGTAGACCTGAAAGCGCTCCAAATGTCCACTTCCAGATAGTACAAAAAGAGTGTTTCAAACCTGCTCTATGAATGGGAATGTTCAACACTGGGACTTCAATTGAAACATCCCAAAGCAGTTTCTGAGAATGCTTCTGTGTAGAGTTTACATGAAGACATTCCCGTTTCCAACGAAATCCTCAAAGCTATCCAAATATCCTCTTGCAGATTTTACAAAAAGTGTGTTTCAGAACTGCTCTATCAAAACAAAGGTTCAACACTGTCAGTTGAGGGCACACATCACAAAGAAGTTTCTGAGAATGCTTCTGTCTAGTTTTCATGGGAAGATATTTCCTTTTTCACCATAGGCCTGAAAGCGATCCAAATGTCCACATCCAGATACTACAAAAAGAGTGTTTCAAACCTGCTCTATGAAAGGGAATGTTCAACTCTGTGACTTGAATGCAAACATCACAAAGAAGTTTCTGAGAATGCTGCTGTCTGCTTTTTGTATGTAATCCCGTTTCCAACGAAATCCTCCCAGCTAGCCAAATATCCACTTGCAGATTCCGCAAAAAGAGTGTTTCAAAACTGCTCCTTCAAAACGATGGTTTAGTTCTGTTAGTTGAGTACATACATCACAGATAAGTTTCTGAGAATGCTTCCGTCCTAGTTTTTATGGGAGGATATTTCCTTTTTCAACACAAGCCTGAATGCGCTCCGAATGGACACTTCCAGATATGACAAAAGGCGTGTTTCAAACCTGCTCTCTCAAAGGGAATGTTCAACTCTGTGACTTCAATGCAAACATCACAAAGAAGTTTCTGAGAATGCTGCTGTCTGCTTTTTACATGTATTCCCGTTTCCAACGAAATCCTCAAAGCTGCCCTAATATCCACTTGCATATTCCACAAAAAGAGTGTTGCAAAACTGCTCTCTCAAAAGAAAGGTTCAACTCTGTTAGCTGAGTAGATCCATCACATAAAAGTTTCTGACATTGCTTCTATCTAGATTTTCTTGGAAGATATTTCCATTTTCACCGTCGTCCTGAAAGCGCTCCAAATGTCCACTTCCAGGGAATGCAGAAAGAGTGTTTCCAACCTGCTCTATAAAAGGGAATGTTCAACACTGGGACTTCAATCGAAACATCCCAACGAAGTTTCTGAGAATGCTTCTGTCTAGAGTTTCTATGAAGCCATTCCCGTTTGCAACGAAATCCTCAAATCTATCCAAATATCCTCTTGCAGATTTTACAAAAAGAGTGTTTCAAAACTGCTCTATCAAAAGAAAGGTTCAACTCTGTTAGTTGAGGGCACACATCACAAATAAACTTCTGAGAATGCTTCTGTCTAGTTTTTACGGGAAGATATTTCCTTTTTCACCATACGCCTGAAAGCGCTCCAAATGTCCTCATCCAGATACTACAAAAAGAGTGTTTCCAACCTGCTCTATGAAAGGGAATGCTCAACTCTGTGAATTGAATGCAGACATCACAAAGAAGTTTCTGAGAATGCTGCTGTCTCCTTTTTATATGTAATCCCGTTTCCAACGAAATCCTCAAAGCTAGCCAAATATCCACTTGCAGATTCCACGAAAACAGTGTTTCAAAACTGCTCCTTCAAAACGATGGTTCAATCCTGTTAGTTGAGCAAACACATCACAAATAAGTTTCTGAGAATGCTTCCGTCTAGTTTTTATGGGAAGATATTTCCTTTTTCAGCATAGGCCTGAAAGCGCTCCAAATGTCCACTTCCAGATACTACAAAAAGAGTGTTTCAAATCTGCTCTATGAATGGGAATGTTCTACTCTGTGACTTGAATGCAACATCCCAAAGAAGTTTCTGAGAATGCTTCTGTCTAGAGTTTATCTGAAGACATACCCGTTTCCAACGAAATCCTCCAAGCTATCCAAATATCCTCTTGCAGATTCTACAAAAAGAGTGTTTCAAAGCTGCTCTTTGCAAAGAAAGGTTCAACTCTGTCAGTAGAGGGCACACATCACGAACAAGTTTCTGAGAATGCTTCTGTCTAGTTTTTATGGGAAGATATTTCCTTTTTCACGTTAGGCCTGAAAGCACGCCAAATGTTCACTTATAGACACTACAAAAAGAGTGTTTCAAACCTGCTCTGTGAAAGGGAATGTTCAACACTGTGACTTCAATTGAAACATCCCAAAGAAGTTTCTGAGAATGCTTCTGTCTAGAGTTTATCTGAAGACATTCCCGTTTCCCAAGAAATCCTCAAAGCTATCCAAATATCCTCTTGCAGATTCTACAAAAAGAGTGTTTCAAAACTGCTCTTTGCAAAGAAAGGTTCAACTCTGTCAGTAGAGGGCACACATCACAAACAAGTTTCTGAGAATGCTTCTGTCTAGTTTTTATGGGAAGATATTTCCTTTTTCACCTTAGGCCTGAAAGCAATCCAAATGTTCACTTACAGACACTACAAAAAGAGTGTTTCAAACCTGCTCTGTGAAAGGGAGTGTTCAATTCTGTGACTTGAATGCAAACATCACAAAGTAGTTTCTGACAATGCTGCTGTCTGCTTTTTATACGTATTCCCGTTTCCAACGAAATCCTCCAAGCTGGCCTAATACCCACTTGCATATTCCACAAAAAGAGTGTTTCAAAACTGCTCTCTCAAAAGAAAGGTTCAACTCTGTTTGCTGAGTAGATACATCATGAAAAAAGTTCTGACATTGCTTCTATCTAGTTTTTATTGGAAGATATCTCCTTTTTCACCGTAGACCTGAAAGCGCTCCAAATGTCCACTTCCAGATAGTACAAAAAGAGTGTTTCAAACCTGCTCTATGAAAGGGAATGTTCAACACTGGGACTTCAATTGAAACATCCCAAAGCAGTTTCTGAGAATGCTTCTGTCTAGAGTTTACATGAAGACATTCCCGTTTCCAACGAAATCCTCAAAGCTATCCAAATATCCTCTTGCAGATTTTACAAAAAGTGTGTTTCAGAACTGCTCTATCAAAACAAAGGTTCAACACTGTCAGTTGAGGGCACACATCACAAATAAGTTTCTGAGAATGCTTCTGTCTAGTTTTCATGGGAAGATATTTCCTTTTTCACCATAGGCCTGAAAGCGATCCAAATGTCCACATCCAGATACTACAAAAAGAGTGTTTCAAACCTGCTCTATGAAAGGGAATGTTCAACTCTGTGACTTGAATGCAAACATCACAAAGAAGTTTCTGAGAATGCTGCTCTCTGCTTTTTGTATGTAATCCCGTTTCCAACGAAATCCTCCCAGCTAGCCAAATATCCACTTGCAGATTCCGCAAAAAGAGTGTTTCAAAACTGCTCCTTCAAAACGATGGTTTAGTTCTGTTAGTTGAGTACATACATCACAGATAAGTTTCTGAGAATGCTTCTGTCTAGTTTTTATGGGAGGATATTTCCTTTTTCAACACAAGCCTGAATGCGCTCCGAATGGACACTTCCAGATATGACAAAAGGCGTGTTTCAAACCTGCTCTCTCAAAGGGAATGTTCAACTCTGTGACTTCAATGCAAACATCACAAAGAAGTTTCTGAGAATGCTGCTGTCTGCTTTTTACATGTATTCCCGTTTCCAACGAAATCCTCAAAGCTGCCCTAATATCCACTTGCATATTCCACAAAAAGAGTGTTGCAAAACTGCTCTCTCAAAAGAAAGGTTCAACTCTGTTAGCTGAGTAGATCCATCACATAAAAGTTTCTGACATTGCTTCTATCTAGATTTTCTTGGAAGATATTTCCATTTTCACCGTCGTCCTGAAAGCGCTCCAAATGTCCACTTCCAGGGAATGCAGAAAGAGTGTTTCCAACCTGCTCTATAAAAGGGAATGTTCAACACTGGGACTTCAATCGAAACATCCCAACGAAGTTTCTGAGAATGCTTCTGTCTAGAGTTTATATGAAGCCATTCCCGTTTGCAACGAAATCCTCAAAGCTATCCAAATATCCTCTTGCAGATTTTACAAAAAGAGTGTTTCAAAACTGCTCTATCAAAAGAAAGGTTCAACTCTGTTAGTTGAGGGCACACATCACAAATAAACTTCTGAGAATGCTTCTGTCTAGTTTTTACGGGAAGATATTTCCTTTTTCACCATACGCCTGAAAGCGCTCCAAATGTCCTCATCCAGATACTACAAAAAGAGTGTTTCCAACCTGCTCTATGAAAGGGAATGCTCAACTCTGTGAATTGAATGCAGACATCACAAAGAAGTTTCTGAGAATGCTGCTGTCTCCTTTTTATATGTAATCCCGTTTCCAACGAAATCCTCAAAGCTAGCCAAATATCCACTTGCAGATTCCACGAAAACAGTGTTTCAAAACTGCTCCTTCAAAACGATGTTTCAATTCTGTTAGTTGAGCAAACACATCACAAGTAAGTTTCTGAGAATGCTTCCGTCTAGTTTTTATGGGAAGATATTTCCTTTTTCAACATAGGCCTGAAAGCGCTCCAAATGTCCACTTCCAGATACTACAAAAAGAGTGTTTCAAATCTGCTCTATGAATGGGAATGTTCTACTCTGTGACTTGAATGCAACATCCCAAAGAAGTTTCTGAGAATGCTTCTGTCTAGAGTTTATCTGAAGACATACCCGTTTCCAACGAAATCCTCAAAGCTATCCAAATATCCTCTGGCAGATTCTACAAAAAGAGTGTTTCAAAGCTGCTCTTTGCAAAGAAAGGTTCAACTCTGTCAGTAGAGGGCACACATCACGAACAAGTTTCTGAGAATGCTTCTGTCTAGTTTTTATGGGAAGATATTTCCTTTTTCACGTTAGGCCTGAAAGCACGCCAAATGTTCACTTATACACACTACAAAAAGAGTGTTTCAAACCTGCTCTGTGAAAGGGAATGTTCAACACTGTGACTTCAATTGAAACATCCCAAAGAAGTTTCTGAGAATGCTTCTGTCTAGTTTTTATGGGAAGATATTTCCTTTTTCACCTTAGGCCTGAAAGCAATCCATATGTTCACTTACAGACACTACAAAAAGAGTGTTTCAAACCTGCTCTTTGAAAGGGAGTGTTCAATTCTGTGACTTGAATGCAAACATCACAAAGTAGTTTCTGACAATGCTTCTGTCTAGTTTTTATGGGAAGATATTTCCTTTTTCACCATAGGCCTGAAAGCAATCCAAATGTTCACTTACAGACACTACAAAAAGTGTGTTTCAAACCTGCTCTGTGAAAGGGAGTGTTCAATTCTGTGACTTGAATGCAAACATCACAAAGTAGTTTCTGACAATGCTGCTGTCTGCTTTTTATACGTATTCCCGTTTCCAACGAAATCCTCCAAGCTGGCCTAATACCCACTTGCATATTCCACAAAAAGAGTGTTTCAAAACGGCTCTCTCAAAAGAAAGGTTCAACTCTGTTTGCTGAGTAGATACATCATGAAAAAAGTTCTGACATTGCTTCTATCTAGTTTTTATTGGAAGATATCTCCTTTTTCACCGTAGACCTGAAAGCGCTCCAAATGTCCACTTCCAGATAGTACAAAAAGAGTGTTTCAAACCTGCTCTATGAAAGGGAATGTTCAACACTGGGACTTCAATTGAAACATCCCAAAGCAGTTTCTGAGAATGCTTCTGTCTAGAGTTTACATGAAGACATTCCCGTTTCCAACGAAATCCTCAAAGCTATCCAAATATCCTCTTGCAGATTTTACAAAAAGTGTGTTTCAGAACTGCTCTATCAAAACAAAGGTTCAACACTGTCAGTTGAGGGCACACATCACAAATAAGTTTCTGAGAATGCTTCTGTCTAGTTTTCATGGGAAGATATTTCCTTTTTCACCATAGGCCTGAAAGCGATCCAAATGTCCACATCCAGATAGTACAAAAAGAGTGTTTCAAACCTGCTCTATGAAAGGGAATGTTCAACTCTGTGACTTGAATGCAAACATCACAAAGAAGTTTCTGAGAATGCTGCTGTCTGCTTTTTGTATGTAATCCCGTTTCCAACGAAATCCTCCCAGCTAGCCAAATATCCACTTGCAGATTCCGCAAAAAGAGTGTTTCAAAACTGCTCCTTCAAAACGATGGTTTAGTTCTGTTAGTTGAGTACATACATCACAGATAAGTTTCTGAGAATGCTTCTGTCTAGTTTTTATGGGAGGATATTTCCTTTTTCAACACAAGCCTGAATGCGCTCCGAATGGACACTTCCAGATATGACAAAAGGCGTGTTTCAAACCTGCTCTCTCAAAGGGAATGTTCAACTGCTGTGACTTCAATGCAAACATCACAAAGAAGTTTCTGAGAATGCTGCTGTCTGCTTTTTACATGTATTCCCGTTTCCAACGAAATCCTCAAAGCTGCCCTAATATCCACTTGCATATTCCACAAAAAGAGTGTTGCAAAACTGCTCTCTCAAAAGAAAGGTTCAACTCTGTTAGCTGAGTAGATCCATCACAGAAAAGTTTCTGACGTTGCTTCTATCTAGATTTTCTTGGAAGATATTTCCATTTTCACCGTCGTCCTGAAAGCGCTCCAAATGTCCACTTCCAGGGAATGCAGAAAGAGTGTTTCCAACCTGCTCTATAAAAGGGAATGTTCAACACTGGGACTTCAATCGAAACATCCCAACGAAGTTTCTGAGAATGCTTCTGTCTAGAGTTTATATGAAGCCATTCCCGTTTGCAACGAAATCCTCAAAGCTATCCAAATATCCTCTTGCAGATTTTACAAAAAGAGTGTTTCAAAACTGCTCTATCAAAAGAAAGGTTCAACTCTGTTAGTTGAGGGCACACATCAGAAATAAACTTCTGAGAATGCTTCTGTCTAGTTTTTACGGGAAGATATTTCCTTTTTCACCATACGCCTGAAAGCGCTCCAAATGTCCTCATCCAGATACTACAAAAAGAGTGTTTCCAACCTGCTCTATGAAAGGGAATGCTCAACTCTGTGAATTGAATGCAGACATCACAAAGAAGTTTCTGAGAATGCTGCTGTCTCCTTTTTATATGTAATCCCGTTTCCAACGAAATCCTCAAAGCTAGCCAAATATCCACTTGCAGATTCCACGAAAACAGTGTTTCAAAACTGCTCCTTCAAAACGATGGTTCAATCCTGTTAGTTGAGCAAACACATCACAAATAAGTTTCTGAGAATGCTTCCGTCTAGTTTTTATGGGAAGATATTTCCTTTTTCAACATAGGCCTGAAAGCGCTCCAAATGTCCACTTCCAGATACTACAAAAAGAGTGTTTCAAATCTGCTCTATGAATGGGAATGTTCTACTCTGTGACTTGAATGCAACATCCCAAAGAAGTTTCTGAGAATGCTTCTGTCTAGAGTTTATCTGAAGACATACCCGTTTCCAAAGAAATATTCAAAGCTATCCAAATATCCTCTTGCAGATTCTACAAAAAGAGTGTTTCAAAGCTGCTCTTTGCAAAGAAAGGTTCAACTCTGTCAGTAGAGGGCACACATCATGAACAAGTTTCTGAGAATGCTTCTGTCTAGTTTTTATGGGAAGATATTTCCTTTTTCACGTTAGGCCTGAAAGCACGCCAAATGTTCACTTATAGACACTACAAAAAGAGTGTTTCAAACCTGCTCTGTGAAAGGGAATGTTCAACACTGTGACTTCAATTGAAACATCCCAAAGAAGTTTCTGAGAATGCTTCTGTCTAGAGTTTATCTGAAGACATACCCGTTTCCAACGAAATCCTCAAAGCTATCCACATATCCTCTTGCAGATTCTACAAAAAGAGTGTTTCAAAGCTGCTCTTTGCAAAGAAAGGTTCAACTCTGTCAGTAGAGGGCACACATCACAAACAAGTTTCTGAGAATGCTTCTGTCTAGTTTTTATGGGAAGATATTTCCTTTTTCACCTTAGGCCTGAAAGCAATCCATATGTTCACTTACAGACACTACAAAAAGAGTGTTTCAAACCTGCTCTGTGAAAGGGAGTGTTCAATTCTGTGACTTGAATGCAAACATCACAAAGTAGTTTCTGACAATGCTGCTGTCTGCTTTTTATACGTATTCCCGTTTCCAACGAAATCCTCCAAGCTGGCCTAATACCCACTTGCATATTCCACAAAAAGAGTGTTTCAAAACTGCTCTCTCAAAAGAAAGGTTCAACTCTGTTAGCTGAGTAGATACATCATGAAAAAAGTTCTGACATTGCTTCTATCTAGTTTTTATTGGAAGATATCTCCTTTTTCACCGTAGACCTGAAAGCGCTCCAAATGTCCACTTCCAGATATTACAAAAAGAGTGTTTCAAACCTGCTCTATGAATGGGAATGTTCAACACTGGGACTTCAATTGAAACATCCCAAAGCAGTTTCTGAGAATGCTTCTGTGTAGAGTTTACATGAAGACATTCCCGTTTCCAACGAAATCCTCAAAGCTATCCAAATATCCTCTTGCAGATTTTACAAAAAGTGTGTTTCAGAACTGCTCTATCAAAACAAAGGTTCAACACTGTCAGTTGAGGGCACACATCACAAATAAGTTTCTGAGAATGCTTCTGTCTAGTTTTCATGGGGAAGATATTTCCTTTTTCACCATAGGCCTGAAAGCGATCCAAATGTCCACATCCAGATACTACAAAAAGAGTGTTTCAAACCTGCTCTATGAAAGGGAATGTTCAACTCTGTGACTTGAATGCAAACATCACAAAGAAGTTTCTGAGAATGCTGCTGTCTGCTTTTTGTATGTAATCCCGTTTCCAACGAAATCCTCCCAGCTAGCCAAATATCCACTTGCAGATTCCGCAAAAAGAGTGTTTCAAAACTGCTCCTTCAAAACGATGGTTTAGTTCTGTTAGTTGAGTACATACATCACAGATAAGTTTCTGAGAATGCTTCTGTCTAGTTTTTATGGGAGGATATTTCCTTTTTCAACACAAGCCTGAATGCGCTCCGAATGGACACTTCCAGATATGACAAAAGGCGTGTTTCAAACCTGCTCTCTCAAAGGGAATGTTCAACTCTGTGACTTCAATGCAAACATCACAAAGAAGTTTCTGAGAATGCTGCTGTCTGCTTTTTACATGTATTCCCGTTTCCAACGAAATCCTCAAAGCTGCCCTAATATCCACTTGCATATTCCACAAAAAGAGTGTTGCAAAACTGCTCTCTCAAAAGAAAGGTTCAACTCTGTTAGCTGAGTAGATCCATCACAGAAAAGTTTCTGACGTTGCTTCTATCTAGATTTTCTTGGAAGATATTTCCATTTTCACCGTCGTCCTGAAAGCGCTCCAAATGTCCACTTCCAGGGAATGCAGAAAGAGTGTTTCCAACCTGCTCTATAAAAGGGAATGTTCAACACTGGGACTTCAATCGAAACATCCCAACGAAGTTTCTGAGAATGCTTCTGTCTAGAGTTTATATGAAGCCATTCCCGTTTGCAACGAAATCCTCAAAGCTATCCAAATATCCTCTTGCAGATTTTACAAAAAGAGTGTTTCAAAACTGCTCTATCAAAAGAAAGGTTCAACTCTGTTAGTTGAGGGCACACATCACAAATAAATTTCTGAGAATGCTTCTGTCTAGTTTTTACGGGAAGATATTTCCTTTTTCACCATAGGCCTGAAAGCGCTCCAAATGTCCTCATCCAGATACTACAAAAAGAGTGTTTCCAACCTGCTCTATGAAAGGGAATGCTCAACTCTGTGACTTGAATGCAGACATCACAAAGAAGTTTCTGAGAATGCTGCTGTCTCCTTTGTATATGTAATGCCGTTTCCAACGAAATCCTCAAAGCTAGCCAAATATCCACTTGCAGATTCCACGAAAACAGTGTTTCAAAACTGCTCCTTCAAAACGATGGTTCAATCCTGTTAGTTGAGCAAACACATCACAAATAAGTTTCTGAGAATGCTTCCGTCTAGTTTTTATGGGAAGATATTTCCTTTTTCAACATAGGCCTGAAAGCGCTCCAAATGTCCACTTCCAGATACTACAAAAAGAGTGTTTCAAATCTGCTCTATGAATGGGAATGTTCTAATCTGTGACTTGAATGCAACATCCCAAAGAAGTTTCTGAGAATGCTTCTGTCTAGAGTTTATCTGAAGACATACCCGTTTCCAACGAAATCCTCAAAGCTATCCAAATATCCTCTTGCAGATTCTACAAAAAGTGTGTTTCAAAGCTGCTCTTTGCAAAGAAAGGTTCAACTCTGTCAGTAGAGGGCACACATCACGAACAAGTTTCTGAGAATGCTTCTGTCTAGTTTTTATGGGAAGATATTTCCTTTTTCACGTTAGGCCTGAAAGCACGCCAAATGTTCACTTATAGACACTACAAAAAGAGTGTTTCAAACCTGCTCTGTGAAAGGGAATGTTCAACACTGTGACTTCAATTGAAACATCCCAAAGAAGTTTCTGAGAATGCTTCTGTCTAGAGTTTATCTGAAGACATTCCCGTTTCCCAAGAAATCCTCAAAGCTATCCAAATATCCTCTTGCAGATTCTACAAAAAGAGTGTTTCAAAACTGCTCTTTGCAAAGAAAGGTTCAACTCTGTCAGTAGAGGGCACACATCACAAACAAGTTTCTGAGAATGCTTCTGTCTAGTTTTTATGGGAAGATATTTCCTTTTTCACCTTAGGCCTGAAAGCAATCCAAAAGTTCACTTACAGACACTACAAAAAGAGTGTTTCAAACCTGCTCTGTGAAAGGGAGTGTTCAATTCTGTGACTTGAATGCAAACATCACAAAGTAGTTTCTGACAATGCTGCTGTCTGCTTTTTATACGTATTCCCGTTTCCAACGAAATCCTCCAAGCTGGCCTAATACCCACTTGCATATTCCACAAAAAGAGTGTTTCAAAACTGCTCTCTCAAAAGAAAGGTTCAACTCTGTTTGCTGAGTAGATACATCATGAAAAAAGTTCTGACATTGCTTCTATCTAGTTTTTATTGGAAGATATCTCCTTTTTCACCGTAGACCTGAAAGCGCTCCAAATGTCCACTTCCAGATAGTACAAAAAGAGTGTTTCAAACCTGCTCTATGAATGGGAATGTTCAACACTGGGACTTCAATTGAAACATCCCAAAGCAGTTTCTGAGAATGCTTCTGTCTAGAGTTTACATGAAGACATTCCCGTTTCCAACGAAATCCTCAAAGCTATCCAAATATCCTCTTGCAGATTTTACAAAAAGTGTGTTTCAGAACTGCTCTATCAAAACAAAGGTTCAACACTGTCAGTTGAGGGCACACATCACAAATAAGTTTCTGAGAATGCTTCTGTCTAGTTTTCATGGGAAGATATTTCCTTTTTCACCATAGGCCTGAAAGCGATCCAAATGTCCACATCCAGATACTACAAAAAGAGTGTTTCAAACCTGCTCTATGAAAGGGAATGTTCAACTCTGTGACTTGAATGCAAACATCACAAAGAAGTTTCTGAGAATGCTGCTGTCTGCTTTTTGTATGTAATCCCGTTTCCAACGAAATCCTCCCAGCTAGCCAAATATCCACTTGCAGATTCCGCAAAAAGAGTGTTTCAAAACTGCTCCTTCAAAACGATGGTTTAGTTCTGTTAGTTGAGTACATACATCACAGATAAGTTTCTGAGAATGCTTCTGTCTAGTTTTTATGGGAGGATATTTCCTTTTTCAACACAAGCCTGAATGCGCTCCGAATGGACACTTCCAGATATGACAAAAGGCGTGTTTCAAACCTGCTCTCTCAAAGGGAATGTTCAACTCTGTGACTTCAATGCAAACATCACAAAGAAGTTTCTGAGAATGCTGCTGTCTGCTTTTTACATGTATTCCCGTTTCCAACGAAATCCTCAAAGCTGCCCTAATATCCACTTGCATATTCCACAAAAAGAGTGTTGCAAAACTGCTCTCTCAAAAGAAAGGTTCAACTCTGTTAGCTGAGTAGATCCATCACATAAAAGTTTCTGACGTTGCTTCTATCTAGATTTTATTGGAAGATATTTCCATTTTCACCGTCGTCCTGAAAGCGCTCCAAAGGTCCACTTCCAGGGAATGCAGAAAGAGTGTTTCCAACCTGCTCTATAAAAGGGAATGTTCAACACTGGGACTTCAATCGAAACATCCCAACGAAGTTTCTGAGAATGCTTCTGTCTAGAGTTTATATGAAGCCATTCCCGTTTGCAATGAAATCCTCAAAGCTATCCAAATATCCTCTTTGCAGATTTTACAAAAAGAGTGTTTCAAAACTGCTCTATCAAAAGAAAGGTTCAACTCTGTTAGTTGAGGGCACACATCACAAATAAATTTCTGAGAATGCTTCTGTCTAGTTTTTACGGGAAGATATTTCCTTTTTCACCATACGCCTGAAAGCGCTCCAAATGTCCTCATCCAGATACTACAAAAAGAGTGTTTCCAACCTGCTCTATGAAAGGGAATGCTCAACTCTGTGACTTGAATGCAGACATCACAAAGAAGTTTCTGAGAATGCTGCTGTCTCCTTTTTATATGTAATCCCGTTTCCAACGAAATCCTCAAAGCTAGCCAAATATCCACTTGCAGATTCCACGAAAACAGTGTTTCAAAACTGCTCCTTCAAAACGATGGTTCAATCCTGTTAGTTGAGCAAACACATCACAAATAAGTTTCTGAGAATGCTTCCGTCTAGTTTTTATGGGAAGATATTTCCTTTTTCAACATAGGCCTGAAAGCGCTCCAAATGTCCACTTCCAGATACTACAAAAAGAGTGTTTCAAATCTGCTCTATGAATGGGAATGTTCTACTCTGTGACTTGAATGCAACATCCCAAAGAAGTTTCTGAGAATGCTTCTGTCTAGAGTTTATCTGAAGACATACCCGTTTCCAACGAAATCCTCCAAGCTATCCAAATATCCTCTTGCAGATTCTACAAAAAGTGTGTTTCAAAGCTGCTCTTTGCAAAGAAAGGTTCAACTCTGTCAGTAGAGGGCACACATCACGAACAAGTTTCTGAGAATGCTTCTGTCTAGTTTTTATGGGAAGATATTTCCTTTTTCACGTTAGGCCTGAAAGCACGCCAAATGTTCACTTATAGACACTACAAAAAGAGTGTTTCAAACCTGCTCTGTGAAAGGGAATGTTCAACACTGTGACTTCAATTGAAACATCCCAAAGAAGTTTCTGAGAATGCTTCTGTCTAGAGTTTATCTGAAGACATTCCCGTTTCCCAAGAAATCCTCAAAGCTATCCAAATATCCTCTTGCAGATTCTACAAAAAGAGTGTTTCAAAACTGCTCTTTGCAAAGAAAGGTTCAACTCTGTCAGTAGAGGGCACACATCACAAACAAGTTTCTGAGAATGCTTCTGTCTAGTTTTTATGGGAAGATATTTCCTTTTTCACCTTAGGCCTGAAAGCAATCCAAATGTTCACTTACAGACACTACAAAAAGAGTGTTTCAAACCTGCTCTGTGAAAGGGAGTGTTCAATTCTGTGACTTGAATGCAAACATCACAAAGTAGTTTCTGACAATGCTGCTGTCTGCTTTTTATACGTATTCCCGTTTCCAACGAAATCCTCCAAGCTGGCCTAATACCCACTTGCATATTCCACAAAAAGAGTGTTTCAAAACTGCTCTCTCAAAAGAAAGGTTCAACTCTGTTTGCTGAGTAGATACATCATGAAAAAAGTTCTGACATTGCTTCTATCTAGTTTTTATTGGAAGATATCTCCTTTTTCACCGTAGACCTGAAAGCGCTCCAAATGTCCACTTCCAGATAGTACAAAAAGAGTGTTTCAAACCTGCTCTATGAAAGGGAATGTTCAACACTGGGACTTCAATTGAAACATCCCAAAGCAGTTTCTGAGAATGCTTCTGTCTAGAGTTTACATGAAGACATTCCCGTTTCCAACGAAATCCTCAAAGCTATCCAAATATCCTCTTGCAGATTTTACAAAAAGTGTGTTTCAGAACTGCTCTATCAAAACAAAGGTTCAACACTGTCAGTTGAGGGCACACATCACAAATAAGTTTCTGAGAATGCTTCTGTCTAGTTTTCATGGGAAGATATTTCCTTTTTCACCATAGGCCTGAAAGCGATCCAAATGTCCACATCCAGATACTACAAAAAGAGTGTTTCAAACCTGCTCTATGAAAGGGAATGTTCAACTCTGTGACTTGAATGCAAACATCACAAAGAAGTTTCTGAGAATGCTGCTCTCTGCTTTTTGTATGTAATCCCGTTTCCAACGAAATCCTCCCAGCTAGCCAAATATCCACTTGCAGATTCCGCAAAAAGAGTGTTTCAAAACTGCTCCTTCAAAACGATGGTTTAGTTCTGTTAGTTGAGTACATACATCACAGATAAGTTTCTGAGAATGCTTCTGTCTAGTTTTTATGGGAGGATATTTCCTTTTTCAACACAAGCCTGAATGCGCTCCGAATGGACACTTCCAGATATGACAAAAGGCGTGTTTCAAACCTGCTCTCTCAAAGGGAATGTTCAACTCTGTGACTTCAATGCAAACATCACAAAGAAGTTTCTGAGAATGCTGCTGTCTGCTTTTTACATGTATTCCCGTTTCCAACGAAATCCTCAAAGCTGCCCTAATATCCACTTGCATATTCCACAAAAAGAGTGTTGCAAAACTGCTCTCTCAAAAGAAAGGTTCAACTCTGTTAGCTGAGTAGATCCATCACAGAAAAGTTTCTGACGGTTGCTTCTATCTAGATTTTCTTGGAAGATATTTCCATTTTCACCGTCGTCCTGAAAGCGCTCTAAATGTCCACTTCCAGGGAATGCAGAAAGAGTGTTTCCAACCTGCTCTATAAAAGGGAATGTTCAACACTGGGACTTCAATCGAAACATCCCAACGAAGTTTCTGAGAATGCTTCTGTCTAGAGTTTATATGAAGCCATTCCCGTTTGCAACGAAATCCTCAAAGCTATCCAAATATCCTCTTGCAGATTTTACAAAAAGAGTGTTTCAAAACTGCTCTATCAAAAGAAAGGTTCAACTCTGTTACTTGAGGGCACACATCACAAATAAAATTCTGAGAATGCTTCTGTCTAGTTTTTACGGGAAGATATTTCCATTTTCACCATACGCCTGAAAGCGCTCCAAATGTCCTCATCCAGATACTACAAAAAGAGTGTTTCCAACCTGCTCTATGAAAGGGAATGCTCAACTCTGTGACTTGAATGCAGACATCACAAAGAAGTTTCTGAGAATGCTGCTGTCTCCTTTTTATATGTAATCCCGTTTCCAACGAAATCCTCAAAGCTAGCCAAATATCCACTTGCAGATTCCACGAAAACAGTGTTTCAAAACTGCTCCTTCAAAACGATGGTTCAATTCTGTTAGTTGAGCAAACACATCACAAGTAAGTTTCTGAGAATGCTTCCGTCTAGTTTTTATGGGAAGATATTTCCTTTTTCAACATAGGCCTGAAAGCGCTCCAAATGTCCACTTCCAGATACTACAAAAAGAGTGTTTCAAATCTGCTCTATGAATGGGAATGTTCTACTCTGTGACTTGAATGCAACATCCCAAAGAAGTTTCTGAGAATGCTTCTGTCTAGAGTTTATCTGAAGACATACCCGTTTCCAACGAAATCCTCAAAGCTATCCAAATATCCTCTTGCAGATTCTACAAAAAGAGTGTTTCAAAGCTGCTCTTTGCAAAGAAAGGTTCAACTCTGTCAGTAGAGGGCACACATCATGAACAAGTTTCTGAGAATGCTTCTGTCTAGTTTTTATGGGAAGATATTTCCTTTTTCACGTTAGGCCTGAAAGCACGCCAAATGTTCACTTATAGACACTACAAAAAGAGTGTTTCAAACCTGCTCTGTGAAAGGGAATGTTCAACACTGTGACTTCAATTGAAACATCCCAAAGAAGTTTCTGAGAATGCTTCTGTCTAGAGTTTATCTGAAGACATACCCGTTTCCAACGAAATCCTCAAAGCTATCCACATATCCTCTTGCAGATTCTACAAAAAGAGTGTTTCAAAGCTGCTCTTTGCAAAGAAAGGTTCAACTCTGTCAGTAGAGGGCACACATCACAAACAAGTTTCTGAGAATGCTTCTGTCTGGTTTTTATGGGAAGATATTTCCTTTTTCACGTTACGCCTGAAAGCACGCCAAATGTTCACTTATAGACACTACAAAAAGAGTGTTTCAAACCTGCTCTGTGAAAGGGAATGTTCAACACTGTGACTTCAATTGAAACATCCCAAAGAAGTTTCTGAGAATGCTTCTGTCTAGAGTTTATCTGAAGACATACCCGTTTCCAACGAAATCCTCAAAGCTATCCACATATCCTCTTGCAGATTCTACAAAAAGAGTGTTTCAAAGCTGCTCTTTGCAAAGAAAGGTTCAACTCTGTCAGTAGAGGGCACACATCACGAACAAGTTTCTGAGAATGCTTCTGTCTAGTTTTTATGGGAAGATATTTCCTTTTTCACGTTAGGCCTGAAAGCACGCCAAATGTTCAATTATAGACACTACAAAAAGAGTGTTTAAAACCTGCTCTGTGAAAGGGAATGTTCAACACTGTGACTTCAATTGAAACATCCCAAAGAAGTTTCTGAGAATGCTCTTCTGTCTAGTTTTTATGGGAAGATATTTCCTTTTTCACCTTAGGCCCGAAACCAATCCAAAAGTTCAGTTTTTTTTGTAGAGGCAAAGATTTTCCATGTCGGCCTGGCTGGCCGGGAACTCCCGGCCCCAAGTGATCCACCCGCCATCATCCCAAAGTGTTGGGATTACAGGTGTCAGCCACTGCTCCCGGC